>NC_000005.10:114958291-115261322 GCF_000001405.40 Homo sapiens
TAAACCTGGAAACACAAGACTAAGAGGTCCATGTTTAAACTTCACATGGCAGAACTGGGAGTGAAACAAATGGATTTTTAAGCAGAATAATTACATGACTTCAAATGGAACATAGTTTGGACAATGAGCAGCTTATCAGCAACAGTAAGATACGGAGCCTAGAGGCCCTCGGGGACTTCCTGAACAGTATAAGAAGCCTCCCATTCTTGGATAACCCCAGTGGGTAGAAGGAAACCCCCAAACATGCTTTAAATATTATTTATTACCAGATAGCCCTATGAAGACTCAGAACCAAGTATAATTTAAAGAAGAGAAATAAGATAAACATTGTTTCTTGCACCCAAATACTGTGGATCAAATTCATGCTCCTTGAGAAAATGATCAGGACAAACCTTATATTTTAAATCCCTGAATGACCCTCCCTGGTTACTTTTACCAAAACTGTTACACCCATACTGCTTAGCATATCCTCATCTGAATCAATCCCCCTTTGGTCCCTTTCCACCCAAAGCTTTCCTCTTACCTCTGGAATTCATGGTGGGAATAAGCAAACTACCCTATATATACAAGCTCTTCTTAGAATGGTTCCTCCACCTTTTTATTTAATCAAAATCTGGTCCTGCCATGAAAACAAAGCATCCATGGATCACCTTCCCAGGAAAGGATATTCTTGTCTCAAGTCTCATGTTGTGGTGGGCAGGTGGCTCTCCTTGTTTCCCATTGGCATGTCCAATCCATTGTGTATCCACACTCTTACAAACCTCCTATTCTGAGACTATGCCACCTGGCTATACCAGCTTACTCCTGACTCGGAACCTTCCTCTCCACCCCAACTCTTTTTATCATTTTATGTAATACCAACCTATGAATGGAAACCCTCTGGAACACCCGGAGACACTCAAATTCTTGAGTCCCTTCTTTTGTAACTTGACTTAACTTCATTCCACCACTCTCATAGTTACACCATGGTGGGACGTTGTCATCACTAAAAATTGTACAGCCTCTCTACTGCTAGCAAACTTGCTTAACTACTACCACTTTAAAATGTTTCAACCCCAACCTGATTTCTAATCCACTGGGCCTGTCACTTTTTCTCTTTGTCTAGAGCTTTATCCTCCATTTACTTTTCTCCTTGTCCCGCTTAGATGACATGCTCCAATGCTATATTTCTGCAAACACCATCAATTCCCTTGCCCCTTCTCTCCCTCCACTATACCCACCTGGAAAATCTCCCACACTGGAGACAAAGCAACCATTTACCACATCTGTGCCTGCACCCAAACAGCTTAATATTTCTAGAGAAATTCAAATTACCAGAAAAAAAAGGTTTTCCTTTTAATTTATATCCACATATTGCAAATAGAATCTCAACTCCCTAGCAATTCTATTTGTTACTACAGTAAATTTGATTTCCAGTCTTCTAAGAAGACTTTTACATGTTCACTTTTCTCCTCAAATTTCCCACCACACACTTGGTCTCAAATGTTGACCTTGCCTCATACTGCACAATACTTCCTCGTCTTTTTACCACCAGATCTGTAAACATTTGCCCATGTGCACACATATTCCACAGTTTCCCTTTGTTACAATTAAAGAAGTGACCTGTGCTTTGCTAAGGTTTTCCCCAATGCTTTCACAGGGACTTTGGCTGCCGTAATTCTCCAGCAATATCAGTCTTTCTCCTTCTACTGTATTATTTCCAGCAGCATACAAAAATGCTGTAATATATCTTGTCATGAAGAAGACTAAGAGGAGGAAGAGGAGAGAAGAAACTACACCCTTTCATATATCCTGCCAGCCATTGCTCTTCTTTACATGCAAAATTTTCTAAAGAATTGCTTGCACATATAATCTCTATAACCTGCTTCCCATCCACTCCTCAAATCCCTTCAACCTGGTATCTTCCCCCATCTTCCTCATATGTTCTCTTTGTTGATAGTGCCTAGAAAAGCTGAGGACTTTTGTAAATTCTTTTCTGATTTACTCTCTTAAAAGCACTATTCATGTGTCACCAGATTCTGTTTTGATTTTTAAGTAGACAAACACAATATCCGCAAATATGTGATTTTTTTCCAGAATTAGTGACTATTATGTATTTTGTTCTCCTTATTGAACACATTAGGACTTCTAGTACAAAATAGAATGGTAGCAACGAAAACAGACAGTCTTGACATAATTCTGACTTCAAAAAGAATGCTTTGTGTGTGATTTTTTGTGTTTATTTTGAAATGATTTCAGGCTTTTAAAACCTGCATAAATAGTACAAGAAAATAATATATATATATATATATATATATATATATATATAACAAATGGTAAGAAACATTAACATGATTCTAAAGACACAGAGGCATACTCAGAGAAGTGTCACTCTCCCCATGCCTTCTAACCCATTCTCATCTCCTGTCATTTCTATTATATTCCACTATTCCTATGTTTCTTTTTGTACAATAAGAAGATACATTTTTATTTCTTCTTCTTTCTCACACAAAATGAAATGTACTATATTCTTTTACATTTTATATATTTTTAATTAACAACATACCCTGGACATCATTCCATATTTTTATTCATAGAGATTCTCTTCACTGACCCTCCAGCTTGTGGTTATACCACAGTTTGTTCAATCACTCTCCTATACATGGGTATTTGTTTCTGTTATTTCACAATTTTAAAAATACTGCCATGAATAACCATGTGCATTTATAATATAATATAATTTATAAAGAAAAAGAAGTTTAATGGACTCAGTTCCACATAGCTGGGGAGGCCTTACAATCATGGCAGAAGGCAAAGAAGGAGCAAAGTCAAGACTTACATGGCAGCAGGCAAGAGAGAGAGCATGTGCAGGGGAACTCCTCTTAATAAAACCATCAGATGTCATCAGACTTATTCATTATCATGAAAACAGCATGAGAAAGACCCACCCCATGATTCAATTACCTCCCACTGGGTCCCTTCCATGACACGTGGGAATTATGGAAGCTAAAATTCAAGATTTGGGTGGGGATGCAGGCATACCATATCATTCTACCCCGACCCCTCCCAAATCTCATGTCCTCCTTTTCAAAACCAATCATGCCTTCCCAACAGTCTCCCAAAATCTTAGGTCAGCATTAACTCAAAAGTCCGCAGTCCAAAGTCTTATCTGGGACAAGGCAAGTCCCATCCACCTATGAGCTTGTAAAATCAAAAGCAAGTTAGTTACTTCCTAGATACAATGGGGGTCCAGGTATTAGGTAAATACATTTATTCCAAATGGGAGAAATTGGCCAAAACCAAAGGGCTACAGGTCCCATGCCAATCTGAAATCCAGTGAAGCAGTCAAATCTTAAAGCTCTGAAATGATCTCTTGTGACTTCATGCCTCACATCCACATCACTCTGATGTAAGAGGGGGGCTCACATGGCCTTGGGCAGCTAAACACCTGTGGCTTTGCAGGGTACAGCTCCCATCGCAGCTGCTTTCACTGGCTGGCATTGAGGGCCTGCAGCTTTTCCAGGTGCATGATGCAAGCTGTATGTGGACCTACCATTCTGGACTCTGGAGGATAATAACCCTCTTCTCACAGCTCCGCTAGGCAGTGCCCCAGTGGGGATGCTGTGTGGGTGTCCTGAGCCCACATTTCCCTTCTTCACTGCCCTAGCAGAGGTTCTCCATGAGTGCTCCACCCCTGCAGCACACCTCTGTCTGGACATCCAGGCATTTCCATACAGCCTCTGAAATCTAGGAGAAGGTTCCCAAACCTCAATTGTTGACTTCTGTGTACCTGCAGGCTCAATAACACAAAGAAGCTGCCAAGGCTTGGGCCTTGCACCCATTGAAGCCATGGCCCAAGCTGTACCTTGGCCTGTTTTAGCCATGGCTAGAGCAGCTGGGATGGAGGGCATAAAGTCCCTAGGCTGCACACAGCAGAATGTCCCTGGGCCTAGCCCACAACATCATATTTTCCTCCTAGGCCTCTGGGCCTGTGATGGGAGGGGCTGCCACAAAGGTCTCTAACATGCTCTGGCAACATTTTCCCCATTGTCTTGGTGATTCATATTTGGCTCCTCATTACTTACGTAAATTTCTGCAGCCAGCTTGAATTTCTCCCCAGGAAATGGGTTTTACTTTTCTATCGCATCATCAGGCGGCAAATTTTCCAAACTTTTATGCTCTGCTTCCTCTTGAATGCTTTGCCACTTAGAAATTTCTTCTGCCAGGTACCCTACATCATCTTTCTCAAGTTCAAAGTTCCACAGATCTCTAGGGCAGGGACAAAATGTGGCCAGTCTCTTTGCTAAAGCATAACAAGGGTCACCTTTGCTCCTGTTCCCAACAATCTCCTCATCTCCGTCTGAGAACACCTAGCCTGGACTTTATTGTTCACATTACTATCAACATTTAGGTCAAAGCCATTCAACAAGTCTCTAGGAAGTTCCAAACTTTCCCCCATCTTTCTGTCTTCTTCTGAGACTTCCAAATTATTCCAATCTCTGCCTGTTAACCAGTTTCAAAGTCACTTTCACATTTTCGGGTATCTTTACAGCAGTGCCCACTCCAGTGCCAATTTACTGTATTTGTCTACTGTCAGGCTGCTAATAAAGACATAGCTGAGACTGGATAATTTATAAAGAAAATGAGATTTATGCACTTACATTTCCACTGGCTAGAGAGGTCTCACAATCATGGTAGAAGGCAAATGTGGAGCAAAGTCAAGTCTTGCATGGCAGTAGACGAGATAGAGTATGTGCAGGGAAGCTCCCCTTTATAAAACCATCAGAACTCATAAGACTTATTCACTATCACAAGAACAACATGGAAAAGACCTACCCTCATAATTCAATTACCTGCCACCGGGTTCCTTCCACAGCACGTAGGAATTATGGGAGCTAAAATTCAAGATTTGAGCGTGGAAACAGCCAAACCATATCTTGTATCTTCAAGGTAAATTTCTAGAAGTGGAAGTGCTGAGTCAAAAAATAAACATTTTTATGGTTAAAACCTACATTAACAACCTTAAGACTGAAAATATATCCAAGATCATTTCTAACCACAATAGTATGAAACTAGAAATCAATAAGAGAAAGAATCTTGGAAAGTTCACAAATATATATAAATTAAACATGCTCCTAAACAACCAGTAGGTCAAATAAGTTATCAAAACAGAAATTTAAAAATTCCTTGAAGGTCGGGCACAGTGGCTCACGCCTGTAATCGCAGCACTTTGGGAAGCCGAGGCAGGCTGATTGCCTGAGGTCAGGAGTTCAAGACCACCCTGGGCAACACAGTGAAACCCCATTTCTACTAAAATACAAAAAATTAGCTGAGTGTGGTGGCATGCGCCTGTAGTCCCAGCTACTCACGAGGCTGAGGCAGGAGAATTGCTTGAAACTGGGAGGTGGAGGTTGCAGTGAGCCGAGATCGTGCCACTGCACTCCAGCCTGTGTGCAACAGAGTGAGACTCCTTCTCCAAAAATAAATAAATAAATAAATAAATAAATAAATAAATAAATATACCTTGAGTGCTTTTTCCTACGAATATTGGCCATGTGTATGTATTCTTTTCAAAAGTATCTGTTCATGTCCTTTGTTCACCTTCTAATGGGGCTATTTGTTTTTTGCTTGCAGATTTATTTAAGTTCCTTATAGATTCCGGATATCAGACCCTCATCAGAGGCAGAGTTTGCAAATATTTTCACCTGTTCTGTAGGCTGTTTACTCTGTTGATAGTTTCTTTTGCTGTGCTAAAGCTCTTTAGTTTAATCACCAAATCTTACCTTGAATTTTTGCTGCAATTGCTTTTGGCATCTTGGTCGTGAAATCTTTGCCTAGTCTTATGTCCAGAATGATATTTCCTAGGTTATCTTCCAGGTTTTTTTTTTAACATTTTATGTTTTACGTTTAAGTCTTTAATTCATTTTAAGTGAATTTTTGTATATGGTATAAGGAAGGGATCCAGTTTCAATCTTCACATGCTAGCCAGTTATCCTAGCATCATTTACTGAATGGGGAGTACCTTCCCCATTGTTTGCATCTGTCAAGTTTGTCAAAGATCAGATGGTGGTAGGTGTGTGACATTATTTCTGGGCTCTCAATTCTGTTCCATTGTTCTATGTGTCTGTTTTTTTACCAGTACCATGCTGTTTTGGTTTTTATACCTTTGTAGTATAGTTTGAAGTTGGGTAATGTGATGCTTCCCACTTTGTTCTTCTTGCTTAGGACTGCCTTGGTTATTCAGGCTCTTTTTTATTCCATATGAATTTTTAAATAGTTTTTTTCTAAATCTGTGATGAATGTGATTGATAGTTTGATAGGAATATCATTGAATCTATAAATTGCTGTGGGCAGTATGGCCATTTTAACAATATTGATTTTTCCTATCCTTGATCATGGAATTTTTTCTATTTATTTGTGTCACTTCTGATTTCTTTGAGCAGTGTTTTGTAATTCTTGTTGTAGGGATCTTTTACCTCCCTGGTTAGCTGTTTTTCTAGGTATTTTATTCTTTTTGTGGTTATTGTGAATGGGATTGCATTTCTCTCTTGACTCTCATTTTGGATATGATTGGTGTATAGGAATGCTACTGATTTTGTATTCTGAAACTTTGCCTAAATTGTTTATCAGATCAAGGAGCTATTGGGCCGAGACTATGGGGTTTTCTAGGTACAGAATTATAACATCTAGAGACAGGGATAGTTTCACTTTCTCTCATCCTATTTGGATGGCTTTTATTTCTTCTTCTTGTCTGATTGTTCTGGCCAGGACTTCCAGTACTACGTTGAACAGAGAAAAACCATTGAGATTGTTTGTCTCTGTGTCCCCACCAAATCTCACCTTGAATTGTAATAATTCCCACATGTTGTGTCAGGGACCAAGTGGGAGGTAACTGAATCATGAGGGCAGGTTTTTCCCATGCTACTCTTGTGATAGTGAATAAGTCTCATGAGATCTGGCGGTTTTATAAAGGGGAGTTCCCCTGAACACAATCTCTCACCTGCTGCCATGTAAGACAAGATTTTGCTCCTCATTCACCTTCCACCTTGATTGTGAGGCTGCTCAACTATGTGGAACTGTGAGTCAATTAAACCTCTTTCCTTTATAAATTCCCAGTCTTGAGTATGTCTTTATTAGCAGTGTGAGAACAGACTAATAAAACCAGGGAAAGAATCAATATATCTAAGAGTTGGTGATTTTTTTTTTTTTTTTGAGGTGGAGTCTCGCTCTGTCACCCAGGCTGGAGTGCAGTGGTGTGATCTCGGCTCACTGCAACTTCCACTTCCCAGGTTCAAGCAATTCTCCTGCCTCAGCCTCCCGAGTAGCTGGGACTACAGGCACCTGCCACCATGTCTGGCTAATTTTTGTATTTTTAGTAGAGATGGAGTTTTTCCATATTGGCCAGGCTGGTCTCAAACTCTTGACCTTGTGATCCGCCCACCTCAGCCTCCCAAAGTGCTGGGATTACAGGCGTGAGCCACTGTGCCCGGCCAGAGTTGGTTTTTTGAAAAAAAAAAAAAATTCAACAAATCCTTAGCTAGACTAAGAAAAAAAAGAGAACTCAAATAAAATCAAAAATAAAAGTGAAGAAATTAAAACATATGCCTCAGAAGTAAAAAGCATCATAAGAGACTATTATGAACAATTATATGCCAACAAACTGAATAACCTAAAGGAAGTTGATAAATTCCTAGAATAATGCAACCTTTTGAATAAGGAAGAAAAATAAAGTCGGAACAGTTCAATAACAAAAGAGACTGAAGAAGTGATCAAAAACCTTTCAAAACAAAAAAAGCCCAGGACCACTTGGTTTCATGGCTAAATTCTATCAAACATTCAAAGAATTAAAACAAGTTCTTAAACTCTTCCAAAAAATAGAGCTAGAGTGAACATTTTTAAACACATTTTATGAAATCAACATCACCTTGATATCTGAACCAAACACATCACAAGAAAAGAAAACTACAGGCCAAACTCTTTGATGAACACTGATGCAAAAAATCCTCAGTAAAATACTGGCAAATTGAATCCAGTAACACATCAAAAAGATTATACATCATGACCACATTGGATTTATCCCTGGCATGCAAGTCTGGTTTAATGTATGCAAATCAATCAATATGATACATCACTTTAACAAAATGAAAGATAAAAACCACATGATCATCTTACTTACATTAAAGAAAAAAGCATTCTATGAAGTCCCACATCCCTTCTTGATTAAAAATTCTCAGCAGTTTAGGAATAGAAAGAAACTTCCTCACCATAATAAAGGACATTTGTGAAAAACCCATGATGAACATCATAATCAATGAGGAAAAACTGAAAGCTTCTCCACTTAAATCTCATGCCAGGCAAGAATGCCCACTCTCACCACTTCTATTTGACATAGTACTGGAAGTACCAGCAGGAGCAATCACATAAGAAAAGGAAATAAAAGGCATCTGAGTCAGAAAAGTAGGAGGATATCTCTATTTGCAGATGACATGATCCTATACATAAAGAAAAAAAAAGATTCCACAAAAAATGTGTTAGAACTATTAAGTGAATTTATTAAATAGTAGTGTATAAAATCAATGTGCAAACATCAGTAGCATTTTTATACACAAATAACCTACTTGATAAAGAAAACAATCACTTTTATGATAGTATCAAAAAAACACAAAAAAACTTAGAAATAAATTTAATCAAGGAGGTAAAAGAACTGTACATAGAAATCTTTATGGAAAAAAGATTGAAGAGACAAATAAATGGAAATATATCCTGTATTCACGAAGCCAAAGAATTAATCTTGTTAAAATGTCCAAACTACCCAAAGCAATATACAGATTCAATGCAATCCCTATCAAAATTCAAAAATAATTCTGAGAAAGAAAAAGTTGGAGGCATCACACTTCCTGATTTTGAATTATATTACAAAGATATAGTAATCAAAAAAGTATGACACTGGCATAAACACAGACACATAGACAGGTGGAATAAAATAGAGAACCCAGAAATAAATCCACACATATATGGTCAACTGATTTTTGACAAGGGCATCTAGAGGATCCAACGGGGAAAAGATAGTCTCTTCAATAAATAATGCTGATAAAACTTGATTTCCAAACACCAAAGAATGAAATTGGACTCTTATCTTATACCATACCCAGAAATCAACTAAAAAATGGGTAAGACCTAAATATAAGATCAGAAACTAGAAAACTTCTAGAAGAGAACATAAGGAGAATGCTTTTGGACATTGGTCTTGGCAATAACTTTTTAGATATCATACTGAAAGCTCAAGCCACAAAAGTAAAAATAAGTATGGGACCACACTAAACTAAAAAGCTTCTGCATCACAAAGGAAGCAATCAACAAAACAAAATGGAAGCCTACAGATTGGGAAAAAGTATTTGCAAACCATGTATCTGATAAGGGGTTAATATCCAAAATTTATAAAGATTTCATACAACTCAATGGTAGAAAAACAAATAACATGATTAAAAATGGGCAAAAGACCTGAACAGACTTTTCTCCAAAGAAGACATCAAAATGGTCAACAGATACAAGGAAAAGGTGCTGAACATCATTAATTATCAGGAAGATGGAAATCAAAACCATTATGAGTACCATCTCATACCCATTAGGATGGGTATTATCTAAAAGTTAAAAAGTAACAAATATTGACAAAGGTGTGGAGAAAAGAAAACTCTTGTACACTGTTGGTGGAAATGTAGATTGGTACAGCCATTATAGAAAACAATATATAGGTTTCTAAAGAAATTAAACATAGAACTAGCATATGACCCAGCAATCCCTCTTCTAAGCATATACCCAAAGGAAATGAAATCACCACCTCATAAAGATACTGTCCATCATCATTCACAGTAGACAAGTTGTGAAACAACCCAAGTGTCTGTCAATGGATAAGTGGAT
The DNA here is from genome assembly GCF_000001405.40 of Homo sapiens. Classification (NCBI taxonomy): domain Eukaryota; kingdom Metazoa; phylum Chordata; class Mammalia; order Primates; family Hominidae; genus Homo; species Homo sapiens. The sequence continues at coordinate 114,968,189 of NC_000005.10, forward strand.
AATCCATGGTATATGTATACATGCACTAAAATATTATTCAGTCCTAAAAAAAAAATGAGATCTTGCCATTTGCCACAACATAGATGAGCCTGGAAGACATTATGCTAAATGAAATAATCCAGACACAGAATGAAAAATATTACATAATTTCACTTAAACATGAAATCTAAAAAAAAATGTTTTCAAATATACAGAGATAGAGAACAAAACAGTGGTTGTCAGGGGACGGTGGGGAGATGTAGGTCAGAAGACACAAAGTAGATAATATGCATTGCCAGGCATAGCTGTAATCCCAGCTACTCAGGAGGTTGAAGAGGGAGGATCACGTGAAACCAGAAGTTTGAGACCAGGCTGGGCAATAAAGCAAGTTTTCTTCTCTAGGGAAAACATTGGGCATGGCTTTAGTGAGCTATGCCAGCCTGGGTGACCCCATCTGAAAAAGTGAGACCCCATCTGAAAAAATAGTGGTTAATATGTAGGATGAGCAAGCCTAAAAATATAATGTATGATATAAAGACTACAGGTAATAAAATTGTTCTGTATTTTGAATTCATGCAAAATGAGTAGATTTTAGTTGCTCTTGCCACAAAAAAAAATGGGTAACTATGTGAGACTATATATATATATTTCAGTGCAGGAGTGAAATTCTATTAAAAAGCTTTAGAACAGTAAGGAAAGGAAAGAAAAGAAGGAAAGTACAACTTGGAAGAGGGCCAAACAGGTGACTTGAGAAATCAAGTGCACCAACAATAAATATATTAATGTGCTTCACTATAGTAACTTTTTGCTATCTGTATGTATCCTATAACATCATGTTGTATACCTAAACATACAAAATAAAATTTATTTTTAAAAGAGAATTTTTAAAAGGTAAATGCCTATGTAACTTTGCTACCTATTGCTAAATTCCATCCGAAAGTAATTTACTAGTTTTAATTTCCACCATTAATGTATGAAAGTGGCTGTTTTCCCCACAACCTCACCAAAATAATTTGTAGTAATATTGTTTTTAATTTGTATCAATATGATAGGTGAGAAATGGTATCACATGTGGTTTTATCTTGCATTTCTGTAATTATGAGTGAGGTTGAAGAGTCTTTTTATATCAAAAGGTGATTTTAATGTCTTTTTTTCTTTTTGTCTCTTCATGTCATCTCATTTTCCTGTCAGGTCTTCCTATTTTATGCTCTCAATATCTTAGAGTCCTATATCTAATAGAGATATTACCCTTTACCTACAATATATGTGGAAATATTTTTCTGCCAGTTTGTCATTTGCCTTTTGCCTTGTGGTTCCTTTTGATAGATAAATTTTTATATAGTAAAATTTATCAATCTTTTATAGCCTCTGGATTTTGAACCATAGTTAGAAAACCTTTTCTTTTACTCAGGTAATAGAAAAATTCACCCATTTTTCTTCTACTGCTTGGTTGGCTTCATTTTTATGTTTAAAACCTACATACATTTGGAGTTCAATCTTGTGTGTGGTGTGAGAAAATGACGTAATTTTATCTTTTTCCAAATCAGTGAACAGGTTTTTTTTCAACACTATTTATTTAAAAGTACATCTTTTACCTAGTAATTTCAGATGTCACCTTTATCATGCATACAATTTCCAGATGTACTTGATGCTTTTCCTGAACTTGTTATTTTACATGACTAGCTTGCTTGTTTACTTATGTACCAGTGTACTTATGTACACCGTTTTATTGCAGAGGCTTTATGTTTTAATGTTAGATAAAACATTAGTTCCCTTCATGTTTGGTTGTGGGGCTTTTTGGGTTTGTTTGGTTTTGTTTTGCCACTTTCCTAGATATTCTTGCATGTTTGTCTTTCCAATTGATCTTTAGAATCAACCTGCCAAGCCTCGTAGGAAAACTTACTGGTGTTTCTGTAGAAATTTCATGAATGGGCCAGGCGCGGTGGCTCACGCCTAAGATCCTGGCACTTTGGGAGGCTGAGGCGGGTAGATCACAAGGTCTAGAGATTGAGACCATCCTGGCCAATATGGTGAAACCCCGTCTCCACTAAAAATACAAAAATTAGCCAGGCGTGGTGTCAGGTGCCTGTAATCCCAGCTACTCGGGAGACTGAGGTAGGAGAATTGCTTGAACCCGGGAGGCAGAGGTTGCAGAGAGCCAAGATCGCGCCATTGCACTCCAGCCTGGGCGATAAAGGCGAAACTCAGTCTCACAAAAAATAAAAAAAGAAAAAGGAAAAAAAAAAAAAGAAATTTCATGAATGAATTTAGAGAGTCATCCTATCAAAAATAAGGCATGTCTTTCCAGATGCTCAAGGATCCTTTTGAGCCTTCCATGAGTATGTTAAAGTTTCCTCAAATAAGATTTGCACATTTCTTGCTAAGATATTTCTAGATATTTAGTCTTCTTTGCCACTATAATATGTTGGGTTTTTTCTACCTTCCTATCCTCTAACTCATTATTTTTTGTAGATATGTAGGCTGCTGGTTTTGTATGTAAATTTTATAGCCTACAACTTCGCTGCCTTTTCATTGTTTGTGTTAATTTTCTCATTAATTTTCTAGAGTGTTTCGGGTATGCTATCATGTAATTAGCAAATTGAAATAATTTTATTTTTTGCAAAGTTTTATTCTCTAGTTGATCTTGCTTGTCTAAGTGTATTGGCCAATACTTCCAATACGATGTTAAGTAGTAATGGAGATAATAGGAATTCTCTACATTTCTCTATGTTTAAAGTTATGGGCCGGGCGCAGTGGTTCACGCCTGTAATTCCAGCACTTTGGGAGGCTGAGGCGGGCGGATCATGAGGTCAAGAGAGCGAGACCATCCTGGCCAACATGGTGAAACCCCGTTTCTACTAAAAATACAAAAATTAGCTGGGCGTGGTGGCGGGCGCCAGTAGTCCCAAATACTCAGGAGGCTGAGGCAGGAGAATTGCTCGAACCCGGGAGGCAGAAGTTGCAGTACCGAGATTGTGCCACTGCTCTCCAGCCTGGGGACACAGTGAGACTCAGTCTCAAAAAAAAAAAAAAAAAAAAAAGTTATATATTGGGACCCCTAGTTACTTGAAGGATAGCTTGGCTGAAATGAATTTTTAGTTCAAACTTTTTTGGAGTCTGTTGAAAATTTTTTGTTGTTGTTTTTGAGGAATCTAATGTCAGGTTGAATTCTTTGTTTTTGTATTTGATCTTTACACCTGAATCCTTGAGGATTTTTTTATATTAGAAGTCTAATCATCTTTCTCAGATATGTCTTAAGGTTAATTTTTCTTGGTTAATTTCCAGATGTTCAGTGATGTCTTAATATATGGATCTGGATTTTATTTCTGAAAGTTATCTTGAATTATAGATTTAAAAGTTAGTTCTATTCTGTTGCTCTGTTTCTCCTCCTACAAATGTTTTAATTAAGCTTTTATTGTTTCTTCTTTGTCTTCCATTTCAACCACTTCCTTTCTGACTTTTTTTTACTTCTATCCATATCCTGTATTTGTTCTCTGGGTTGTTTTCTATGTTTCTTCAATGCTTCTTTCAAAATTTCCTTTTGAGCCTATTCTCCCTCGGGCAACTTGTAATTTAGTCTCTATTTGTGATGTGATATGGTCCTTTTTCTTCTATTTCTTTCCAGAGTTTAATCAAGTCTCTTTTCATTTCTTTCTGTGGTTTTGTCTATTTCTGTTTTTAATGTTCGCATTTTTTATTCAAGATAAGTTTTCATACCCAAATGCTTGTTTGAGTATATTGCATCAGTTTGGAGTATTGCATTACAGTTTCTTATGCTTCTTAGTTGCTTTGTTTGTTGTTCTTTTGTTCGAATAAATGAATTTTTATCAACTAAGGTAGATTGACTCTCATTTTCTAATTCAGTAACTTTACATAGATTTATTCACACAGGAAACAAAAGCAAAAATAGACAAATGGGAATACATCAAACTTAAAAGCTTATTCTGTGCAGCAAAAAAAAAAAAATCAACAGAGTGAAAAGACAAACTGCATAATGGGAGAAAATATTTGCAAACTGCATCTGACAAAGGGTTAATATCCAGACTATATTAGGAACTCAACAGCAACAACAACACAAAAATCTGATTTAAAATGATCAAAAAACCTGAATAGACATTCCTCAAAAGAAGATATACAAATAGTCAACAGATATATGAAAACATGCTCAACATCACTAATCGTCAGGGAAATGCAAATACAAAACACAATTAGATATCACCTCATTCCAGTCATAGTGGCTACTATCAAAAATCAAAAGATAAGTGTTGGCAAAGATGTGGAGAAAAAGGAAGCCTTACACCCTGCTGGTGGCCATGTAAATTAGTACAGCCATTATGGAAAACAGCATGAAGTTTCCTCAAATAATTAAAAATGGAACTACCATATTATCCAGTAATCCCATTACTGGGTATATATCCAAAGGAAATGAAATCAATATGTCAACAAGATATCTGCATTCCCATGTTTATTGGGGCATTCTTCACAATAGCCAAAATGTGGAATCAACCTAAATGTCCATCAACAGATGAATGGTTAAATGAAATGTAGTATATATACACAATAGAATACTATTCAGCCACACACACACAAAAAAAATAAAAATAAAATCCTGTCATTTACAGCAACATGGATGAACCTGGAGGACATTTTAAGTGAAATAAGCCAGGCACAGAAAGTCAAATATGCATCACCCATATGTGGAATCTAAAGAAGGTGATTTCATAGAAGTAGAGAGTAGAATGGTGATTAATAGAAGCCAGGGAGGGGAGGGAGAAGGGATAGATAGGAAGAGATTGGTCAATGGGTACAATGTCACAGTTGGATGGGAGAAATAAGTTTGAGTATTATAGCATAGCAGAGTAACTACGGTTAATAATATTGTATTGCATATTTCAAAACAGCTAGCAGAAAGGATTTTGAATGTTCTCACCACAAATAAATGACAAATGCATGAGGCAATAGTTACCCTAAATATTGATTGTATTTTTTACACAATGCATACATGTATCAAAATGTCACACAGTACCCCGTAAATATGTACAATTATTATGTGTCAAAAACAAAATTTAAGAAAAAAACATATTTATTCAGTTATTTTCTATTCATTTTGTGAGTTTGAGGTGGGTTTCTAGATTTCTAATTCAATGTCACAATCTTCTACTAGTAAGCAATTTCTTGTTTCTTTAGTTGATGAATTTTAGTGTTTCTGTTTATCCATTCTCTTAATTTTTGAAAAATTGTATGTTGATAGAAAAGTTGCAGAGAGCTCCTATATATCCCCTAGCCAGTCTCAGCTTCCTTTAGTGTTAAACCTAAGAAACTGCCATTCGTATATCAGTATTAACCAAACTCTGGACTTCATTTGAATTTCCCTTCCAAGATCCAATCCAATATATCACATGGCATTTAGTTGTCATTTCACTCTTGGTCTATGACAGTTTCTCAGTATTCTCTAACTTTTCATGACCTAACAGTTTTGTGCAGTACTGGTAAGGTATCATGTAGAAAGTCTCTCAATATGAGTTTGTGTGATGTTTTTCTCATGCACTGTGAGACTGGACCATATTCGAGCTTGAAAAGAACTGAGACAATTTGGCAAGAACACCACAGAGGTAAAGTGTCCTTCTAATTACATCACATCGGGGGTACAGAATACCCACATGACATCATGATCATGTTAACCTTGATTATTTGATTAAGATAGTGTTTGTCAGATTTTTCCACTGGAAAATATTAATTTCCTTTTTCATATATATCCTTTGGAAGCAAGTCCTACAATCTGGCTCACAGTTAAAAGAGGAGAGTGAGGGGCTGGGTGTGGTGGCTCACACCTGTAATCCCAGCAATTTGGGAGACCGAGGCAGGTGAATCACCTGAGGTCAGGAGTTTGAGACCCAGCCTGGCCAACTTTGTGAAACCCTGTCTCTACTAAAAATACAAAAATTAGCTGGGCATGGTGGCAGACACCTGTAATCCCAGCTACTCAGGAGGCTGAGGTAGGAGAATCACTTGAACTCAGGAAACAGAGGGAGACTCCGTCTCAAAAAAGAGGAAAAAAAAAAAAAGAGGAGAGGGACTAAGCTCTACCTCCTGGAGAGGGGAATGTCAACTTACATTATTTGGAATTCTCCTGTATGGAAAAGTTGTCTCTTCTACCCCAGTTATATATTTATTTAGTCATTCATTTATAACAGACGAGAATGGACTCATCTATATTTATTTTTCACTTTGGCTTATAATTCAATATTACATTATTTATTTTGTTGCTCAAAATATTCCAACTTGGCCATTGGTAATTCTTTCAAATTGGCTGCTGTGTCCCTTTGACATACCTCCATTCTTTTATTTGGTATTGAAAGAGGAATTTTAGCCTTCTAACTTTTGTTCTTCTCTTTTGTCTTGAAGGACTCTAAATTGTCCCCTATTCTTATCCTTTACCACTCAATTATTACAGAGTGCCTTTCCCTTCCTTTTTGCCTACTTCACCCAGAACTAGGTGGGAATTGAACAATGAGATCACATGGACACAGGAAGAGGAATATCACACTCTGGGGACTGTTGTGTGGTGGGGGGACGGGGGAGGGATAGCATCAGCAGATATACCTAATGCTAGATGATGAGTTAGTGGGTGCAGTGCACCAGCATGGCACATGTATACATATGTAACTAACCTGCACAATGTGCACATGTACCCTAAAACTTAAAGTATAATAAAAAATAAATAAATAAATAAATAAAAAAGGAAAAAAAAAAAAAAGACAGCCACTTCATATCATGTGTATTTTTTGACTCTTCCCTGTAGTCGATGCTCTCATCTAATGGGACAATTTTTTTATTCTTTTTATGCATCAAATAAACTTCTCTTTCCAGTGGTTATTTTGGGGCAATTGCAGGTCCCCTGCTAGTTCTACACTTCTTTCTTCCTCAGCTTTTCTTTGGACTGCTCTTACTTGCCTCAAACACTTACACCAGAAGCCTGAGTGATCACTTACTGGAATTTGGTGCTTTTTCATTTTTTATTAGCAGGTAATTTGAATCTCAGCATATTTTCCCTTTACTTATGCTGAAGGCATGATATTTGTAACATTTTATGTGTTCTAGTTGTTCTGCACTGTTATTTGGAGGATATGGAGATACAGATTTAAGCAGCTGCCATAAATTCTCATCTACTCCACGAATGATGCTTGATGTTGTTGCCTCTATCAACTTAAAGAAGTTTTGTTTAATCTTAGAATTTTTATTTATAATAGGTATATATTTTTACCAAATACTTTCCACATTTAGTGAGATAATAAAATGACACAATCAATTGTCAGTTCTCCATTAATTCTTTAATGCAGTGATTACATTAGTGGGTTTTTTTTTAAAGTTGCCTCCTCTTCCATTACTGTAACAATCCCAGAGTTGACGATAATAAATTGATCTTTTAATTCATTGCAAATTACATTTGTAAATTCTTCATTTCAGATTTTTGTACCCATGTTCATAAATGAGATTGCCTACACCTATTTTGTGGGCCTGATATACTTGTCCAGTTCTGATATCAGAGAAGTTTTAGGATTCTGAAATGAGTATCATGCCATGTTTTCCTCTTCTAGAACATAAGGGTTAACTTTCTCTTAAAGTACAGAAAAAATTTACTTGCAAAAATTCCTGGTTCTAGAAAAGATAAAGCATATTTTATTTTTTGCATGATGTTAGATTTACTGAGGTTTTCTACTTCTTTAATTTTAGTCATTTATATTTCAAAAAACATACTTTATCTAATGTTTTAATTTACTGGTAATATTTATTCTCAGCCTTTTCTTTTTTAAATTTGTCATATCTACAATTGTGTACCCCCTGACACTTTTGTTTTTGTATCTTTTCTCTATTTTCTAGATAAACCTGACAGTTTATTTTGTTATATATTTTTTAAAGTTGTAGTTATTCATCTGCTCCCATATGTGTTCTATTTTGTTTTTATCCCTATTGTCATTCCTTCTAGTTTTTCTAATTTATTTTGTTCTCTTGTTAGCTTCTTATGCTGAGCACTCAGTTCAATTACTCTCCCTTTTTCTCATTTGTTAACGTGTGCATCTAAGTCTAGACTTTTTTCTCTGTGTACCATTTTGGCCATATCCCAAAGCACAGGTTTTGAAATATAATGCTCAGTCCTCTTCATTTTTAAGTACTTCGTCATTTTTGTCTTTATAATTTTATGAGTGAAGAATTATTTAAATGAGTGTTTTTCCAAAGATTTTTGGAGGTAGAAACTAACTGTGAGAATTTTTACTTGAATTGAGTTATGCACAGTAAATGTGGCTTCTGAGATTTTCCCTTTTCTATGTTGGTTTAGGTTTTCTTTGTGACCTAACACATGGTCTGTTTGAGGATGTTTAACAGAAGTGTATGTGTGTGTGTATATGTGTGTGTTTGTGTGTGTGTGTATACTCAACTTACAATTGGCTTACATTCTGATAAATTCATTGTAAGTCGAAAGTAACATAAATCAAAACTGATTTACTTCCCTAATAAACTCATCATAAAGTCAAAAAGTGTTAAATCAAATCTTAAAAGCCCAGATGTTCCTCAACTTCTGATGAGGTTCCATCCTGATAAATCTATCATAAAGTCAAAAAAATCATCCGTCATGCAATTGTAAGTCCAGATGCTCCTCCACTTACAATGGGGTTATGTCTCAATAAGCCCATTGTAAATTCAAAAAATCATAAGACAAATCATTTTATGTCAAGGACCATCTAAACACACACACACACATATACATATGTGATCACCAAAACTATTTTCTTTTTATACATTCAACTAGATAACACTTCCCAGGCTCCTTTCCAGGCACATATGGCAAAACAATGAAGGAAAGAGTATGGTGTCTGTCTTAGTGCATTTTGGGATGCTATAGTAGAATACTTGAGACTGATAATTTATAAAGAACATATATTTATTTCTTACACTTTTAGAGGCTGGGAAGTCCAGCATCAAGGGACTCACCTCTGGCAAGGGCTCTTGTGCTACATCATTCCAGGGCAGAGGGCAGAGGGCAGAAGGGCAAGAGAAAGTGAGAGAGCAAGAGATGGTGGGTAAACTCACCCCTGTTATAACAAACCTATTCCCACTGTAACAGCATTTATCGCATTTATTCATTCATGAGGGCAGAAGTATCATGGCCTAATCACCTCTTATTAGGCCCTACTTCCTAAAACTGTTTCACTGGGGATTCAGTTTCCAACACATGATTTTTGGTAGACACATTCAAACCATAGCAATGTCTACCTCAGGTTTTGGCCATAAAAATCTTCCACTTTTGATCCAATAGGCTCTTTTAAGGCTTGAGGTGATAAACACAGAAAGCTTGTAAGCCAGATGTTAAAGGGGGAAAGATTTTTGATATTGGTTGGATAATAACTTTATCCAACATAAGGAGAAAGATTCTTGATATTGGTTGGATAATAACTTTATGGATATGACACCAAAAGCACAGGCAACAAAAGCAAAAATAGACAAATGGGTTTATATCAGACTAAAAGCTTTTGCACAGCAAGGGAAACCATCAACAGAATGAAGAGGTAATCTGTAGAATGGGAGAAAATATTTGCAAACCATGTATCTGAGAACAGGTTAATATCCAAAATATATAAAAAAACTCAAACAACTCAATCGCAAGAATTTAAATAACCTGATTTTATAAATGGGCAAAGGACTGGATAGACATTTATCAAAAAGAAGTCATACAAATGGCCAATAGGTAAATTTTTTAAATGCTCCACATCACTAATCATGAGGAAAATGAGAATCAAAACCACAATGAGATGTCACCTCATCCACACTGTATTGGGTATTATTTTAAAAGATGAAATACAGTAAGTGTTGGTGAGGATGAGAAGAAAAGGGAACGCTTGTACACTGTTGATGGCATTATAAATTGGTACAGTCATTTTGGAAAACAGTATAAAGTTTCTTCAAAAAACTAAAAACAGAATTACCATATGATTCAGCAATCCCACTTCTAGGTATATATACCCCAGAGGAACTGAAATCAGTACGTATAAGAGGTATCTGTCCTTTCATGTTTATTGCAGCATTATTCATAATACAAAGATATAAACAACCTAAATTTCTGTGGACAGATGAATAGACAAAGAAAATGAAAGATTATTCATTCTTAAAGAAGGAGGAAACCCTGTAATTTGCAGCAAAATGGATGAGCCTGGAGGACATTACGCTAAGTGAAATGAGCCAGAAACAGAAAAACAAACTCTGCATGATCTCACCTATATGTGAAATCTAAAATAGCTGCACTCATAGAAGCAGGGTAAAATGGTGGTTGCCATATGTTGGTGTGGGGGAAATGGGAAGAGGGTCAGAAGTACAAAGTTCCAATTGTGCGAGAGGAATAGCTCTGGAGATCTAACAACAACAACAACTCATCTAATGTAGCAAAAAGAATGCTAACCACGTTTGAAGAAAAAATTTGAAATCTTGATGTAGGGAAAATTTCTCTTTTAAGGAAAATTTCCAAGCCTGGGGTGGAGTATTAAGCAGATAGTACTACAGTTGAAAAGAAAAGTCTAAAATAAAAAGAAAGTATAAGAAAAAGTGAGAGACGAGAGTTGCCAGATACACTACAGAAGATTGCAATATTCTTGACAAATAAGCCCAGACATAGGAAGCTGAGTGAAGTTGACTACTAATGTCCTTCAGAATTGGAGTTGTATGTGAATACCCTACAAACTGGATCCTTCAGATACACTTGAATCAAATATGAATACAGTATTCCTGAGACACAGCCCTACCTCTTTTTATACATTGTACTCAAAGGTCACAGCTGAGAAGTCTCAGCAGGCAATTTGGGCAAAATCGGTCTAATTTTAATCAGGGTGCAAAAGCTCTCATTTCAAGTTGTGTATTTTTTTTCTCTCTTTGATAAAATACCTTCTATGTTGTTTTCTCTATCACAACACCTATGTAGCCTATGACACACGGGTGCATAGTGGGGGTAAATGTTGCTCCATGATTCTTTAAATATTTCCAACATTACTTCCACAATTACTTTAGCAGCTTTTTTTAAGAACATGGGTAAATCACTTAGATTATAGAGATACTAAGTTTTAACACTGAAAGTACCAATAGACACGTTCAAGACCTGAGAAGGCAAAAAAAAAAAAAAATTTTGTCATTGTTAACTGTGATTGATTGCTCCTGACTGCTTGGAGTTCTGCTTTGTGAAGGACTCTAAGGTCATTTCTGTGGCAAGAGTGGTACAATTCATTAGTGATGCCTGCTAAGGAAAATGGTAGCTTGCATTCTGCATGTTCACCATCCCTTATCTAGGATAATGCCTCCTTTTACAGATACAGGAACTGAGTCTTAGAAAACAAGTAATTGGCTCAAAGGCCAATAGCTGTTTAGTGTCAAAGCCAAAACAACCTAGGTCTCCCGTATTAGTGCTCATTTCATTGCATAATACTTGGGCTGAGATTTTTGGTTGTTATCAATTTTCCTATAATATTAACTCAAATTTTTGGTTGGGCATGGTGGCTCATGCCTGTAATCCCAGGGCTTTGAGAGGCCAAGGCATGAGGATTGCTTGAGGTCAGGAGTTCAAGACCAGCCTGGCCAACATGGTGAAACCCCATCTCTACTAAAAATACAAAAATTAGCCAGGCCTGGTGGTGGGTGCCATTAATCCCAGCTACTCAGGAGGCTGAGGAAGGAGAATAGCTTGAACCCAGGAGGCGGAGGTTGCAATGAGCTGAGATCATACCACTGCACTCCAGCCTGAGTGACAGAGCAAGACTTCATCTCAAAAAAAAAAAAAATTAACTCAATTTTTGGACTTTAAAAAAATAGCTGAAGAGACAGTAATGGTAAAACCTTCAAAATCCAATATAAACAAAAATCCCTGAAGACAAAGCTACTTATTTTAAAAGACCATTCTAAAAAATGTTAACCTAAAATGTGGTAATATTTATTTCCCCACAAACCAGTATATATTAGTTGTCTGTGGCTATATAACCAATCAACCCAAAACATACTGGATGAAAAAATAATAATAATCATTTATTAACGTTTCTCTGTGTTAGAACTTTGGGAGTGCCTTGGCTGGGCAGTACAGCTGAGTCTTCTATGAGGTTGCAATCAAACAGTGTTAAAGCCGGGGTCATCCGAACAGAGAAAACTTGAATTTCTGGGGGCTGGAATGGCTCGGCACCTAAAGCACCTTCTCTGTGTGGTCCCTCCATGTGTTCCCTCCAGCCCAATGGCTTCAGGGTAGCCAAACTTACTACATGTCAGCTCAGGGCTCACTCAAGGGGGATGTCTTAAGAGAAAGAGAGCCTGATGGAAGTTGTACTGCCTTTAAGGAGCCAGCATCAGGATAATGTAACTTCCACTATAATCTATTGTTCAAGGCAGTTACAAAGTGCATGCAGATCCTAATTCTTAATGAAAGAGTGTCGATGTCACATTGTAAGATGACAACATGGAATGGTATATATAATACAATCTGCCATGCAGGAGTAGGAAGAGTCCAACAACTAGCATTGCAGGAAAGAGTTCAAAAGCAACCAGGTCATAACATCCTGAGAATTGGGCTAAGATTATTAATGACCCCAATTATGCTTTCAAATGCAGGGAATTCAGTTAAATTTGAACTTCAGATAAACAATGAATAATGTTCAATACAACTATGTCCCATGCAATATTTGTGATATACTTAACCCCCAAAATTATTTATTATTTGAAATTCAAATTTAGCTACGCATTCTGAATTTTTATTTGCTAAATTTGGGAACCCTATGCCAGACTGACTCAGATGGACAAGGAATCATATTTCTACATGGTGTTCATATTGGAAATGAGACCACCTTACTGCTAGTATCATCATTTCCAAGTTTGCCTGGATAGAGTAACCAAAATTGTCTTATTCGAAGTTGGTTCCATCACTGGAGTGAAACATGAACGTCCATGTTCCAAGGAGGGTGTGAATTTGGGATCATTGTCATTTTAGCTCTCCTCTCTTAGTTTCCCAGAGTTTTCTCTTTCAATCTTTCAGTTGTGCATAAGCTGATCTCCTGGCACTGGTTTCGTTTCCTGACAGGCAACATTAATTCATTTTCACATTCACACTAAAATCACTTCCCTCTCTGTCTAACGACAACAATAATGGTGAAAGCCTACTTGGAAAACAGCTTGATGGAACAGCTGCTTCAGACTCATTAGGAATCTCACACTTTCTGTAATTTAGGGGAAAGGATGCCCACAACCACAAGCACATTGCAGTTCAGGTATCAAGCAGACACTGTACTTCTTTTTCTGGTTCATTTTTCTACTCATAAAATTAATATGTAAACTATTCACTCAATTATTATAGAATCATAAGTGACTTGCTAAAATTTTCACCACTAATTTCCAGGATATTCAACCAGATTGTCTTGCAATGGCTGTCCCCTTATTCCATAAGTTTCAAAGCTGTCTCACATTCCCAAAGTCAGTTAAATACTGGCTTAAATCTTCCCTTTTATGTGGCATCATTAGTTGTTGTATAACCCATTCTGGGTCCCCAAATTAAGATCTGAGACTTAAGATATTCATTAACAAACTAAGAACATATTTATCGCTATGTTCTTCCTCTGCTACAGACAAGTACAAGTTTTGATGACTCACCTGAATTGAAGTTACCATGGGAACTATCAGAGTGATGCTACCATATGTAGAAAATGTCCTTGGTTGCAACATAATATTAGGGCCCTCCATCTATTTCATGGGTAGAGCCAGCTTTTCTCTTTCATTGCTACAATAAAGTATGTAGTAGACACTGTTGGTACCAACACAACATCCATTGTCTTCTCTTTCCTTAATAACAGAACCTCAATTTTTCACAACTATCTACCCCCTTCCACCATGTGCCTCAGGGAACAGTTCAAGGCTCAGAGAACAAACACTGAGACCAACTGTGAGGTATCCTGATGCATACCAAACTCATCTACAGGTTAGTCTAAGTCAACCAAAGAATGGTATTTCCCTGGCCACTGTTATTGGTCCAAGCATAGGCAGGTGGACATGGAAAGGCAAGTAGGTAGCCTCAGTTATAATAAAGGTCACCCTGAAGTAATGTCAGAACTACTCTTGGAATTAAGCCAACATGAACCCCAGCAAAATGGTGAGGCAGAAAGAACCTGGGTCATTGATGGCATCACTGAAGCACTGTGACACCATCTGCTTTGACCCACAACTGAAGCAAAATAGAAGATAAATTTCTTTATTTATTAATCACTTTGAGTCAGGATTTTCTGATTCTAGCAGTCAAAAGCTTCTTCAGCAACACTAGATATAGAATGTCATGTGATGTAACACAGTGTCAGCCAACAAATTGTCTGATTCTGTGCTGACATTTGCCTAGATTACAAACATGTACCTGCCACTACTGTACTTTTGGGATCTTGCCCTACAAGTATCAGAGTTCCTAAGCAAAATTTGAAGTATCAGAGATACCAAGCAAAAACACAGAATTTACTGGCTAATGTCCCTGAGAAATACAAAGATTAAATATAACTTCCATTAAATTCATAGTTTCTAATGGTATTATCAGGACTTCATCTCTCTTCCCATTTCTCTCCATTCTATTTTTCACCAGTGGGCCTCATTATCAGTAAGACCTTACCCATAGCAGATCAATGACCTCCAGCAGATCCAATTTTATGTTTTAATGTCAGATATAAAGACCCCTCATTTTCTATCAGCATATATATAAATCCCTAAAGAGGGATCTGATTAGCTCATTGGTCATGTTCCTCCTCTAAGTAACAGTGGTGCTATAGATTAAATTGTGTCCCCATAAAATTCATATATCAAACTCCTAACTATATTTGAAGAGAGGGCCTGTGAGGAGTTGATAAAAGCTAAATGAGGTCATAGGATGTGGCCCTAACCCCTATGGCCTCATCTTATAAGGCTGGTGCCCTTATAAGAATAAAACACCAGAGTAAGTAAGCCCTTAAAATCACCCCCTACTATCCTCTAGCTCCTTCTTACCTTCCCCAGAAACTTCAGAAGTCACATGTTCTGCATGGTATAGCTACAAAATGGAAGCAGGTTGGGTCCCTACTTCCTGCTTGGACAAAGCTTCTCATTTCCTACCAGACTGGAATGTAAGCAAGAAAATGCCTTAATTTAACCAACTGAGATTTTAGTATTTGTTTATCACAGTACTGCCAGCCTAGCTTAAATAATATACCAAGATGTATTACTGTACTATTATACTAGACATTAGTAATGTGTAAGTTGGGAAACTAAAGTATTCTAAAATCCTTTCTTTGTTCAGGAAAACAGTGGCTATTTTGATTACCATTTTAAAAACTAATAGAATATGAATATAATTTGAACAACTAGAAAGAAATGGAAAAAATAAAGAAAATTGAAATATTCACAATTATTTAAGGTGAAATATAATTCTATTTGTGAACGGCTTTAAAATCCTTAGGTAAAGAGAGAGAAAGAAGCATTAAATAAAGTACACCAGTAAAAGCATTAATAACATAAGGGTTTATTATAATACTATTTTCTTTTTTGTATGCATTTGAAAATTTTTGAATAAAAACTTTAAAAAACCAAGATAGCCTAAAAGGAGGTAAAGCAAAAAAACAATAATCAACCACAAGAAATAGAAAGAAGAAAATCAAATGACAGAAATAAATCCCATTCAATAATCCAAATAAGTGTAACTATACCAATTATACTAAATAAAAGACTTCCAGATTAAGAAAAACAAAACCAAATGAAACAAAACACATATGCTTCTTGTAAGAGAGACAATAAGATAAAATAAAATGATATAGTAATGTTGAGAGTAATGAGACAGAAAATCTGAGGAAATTGATTCTAAAGCTTAAAGTGTCATTAAATGTATCCCTTAACTGCCTATTTAATACCCATTTTCCCTTTCTTCCTTTATACTAGAACTCGATTGTGTTGTTACCCATTTATTATGGGATTAGGGGAAGATTACTTCCTCCCCAATTCAGGGATGAACGTTGACAGTCATTGGGACCTTTGCTTGCCAGTGATTCACTGATAAGAGGACACATCACCCCTTTCTGGCCAATAAGAAGTAAACAGAAGCTGCTGGAGGCCTTCTGGGAAAAATTTTATCAGGCTTGCAAGGTTATATATAGATAGATTGATCATATATAGAAAAATAATACAGATAAAATATATTTTATATTGATATATTATCCTAGTAATTAGTAAAAGTTGATTACCTTGCATAAGTCAGCTTCTAAAAGGTAGGAACCCAACCCAACTCTACAATAATATAGGGATAGGTGAGATAAGAGCATAAGAGGGGAAAACGCTAAAATCATGGGTCTGGGTACTAAAACCACCTCTATCTCTAACAATGTGGTCCTGGATAAGTTACTTCTGTGGCCCCATTTCATCATCTATAAAATGAAGGACTTGGCCTAGGCTGCTTCTCTAGAATCTTTCAGCAACACAAAGAAAAACTAAAATATAGGGTAGAATTATCTGATTTAACTGCCAAGAAGGAAAGTACACCCAGAGCTTAGAAAATAATTTTAAGCTAAAGTAAGGAGAATGTCAACAGTGACCTTTATCCATACCACTGGAGTTCAATGTGTTTCTGCTCTAGTGGTATGCAGAGATGGCATATTTATTCAATTCTTTCAGTTAGAAAGATTAAAATGCAAATGTATGTAAATTATGCACATTATAAATGAGAACAAGAAGGAAAAATAAAACTCTGATTGCTGGTTGGCTGGAGGAACATTAACAGAATCCTGAAATGAAACCCAAAAATCCATGCTCGGAGAACCACAGCCAAGATAAATCCCCACTCTCGCCCCTTCATTTCTTAAGTCACCACCTGGCTTCTCTACCATCAGTCAGTGCTCAATGCTCTTGGCTGCATTTACATTACATGTGTGTAGGAGGTACAGAGTCTCAATCCACAAAACTCAATTGTGACAAAATTCAACTTTATTTTCTATATATGATATATTACCTTACTTTCTATCTCAAACTTTCTACTCCATCTTTTGGCAAAACTTAAGTCAGACAGTTTTGGGTCAATGCAATCAAGTCAAAATTTTATTCTCTCAACCCTTACCAGGGGTTGCAACTGAGATCCGAAGGATGGAAGACTGTAATACTTAGCATCAAAACATGGAAAATGGCCTTCTGTCATGATCTCATAGGTCTACACTGACATCAGTGTTCTGATTCCCTCCAGTCACCTTTCCCCATTGGCATCTGCAGAGCCATGCACATCCCACCTAGTCCCTATTCAGTCACAGTCTCCATGCTGGCCATGCTGCTGCTTCCCTCATCCCAATGAGTGACTTTTCCAAGTCCTAGACTTCCTTCAATTATCTCTCTGGCTGTCTCAACAGGTACATGAAAATCGTTGGATGTTCTGCCCCGCCAATCTCAGACATAAGAAACCTAGGGGCTGTCTCAAGCCCTCTTTTTCTAGATACTGCATGTCGGCATCTCTATTCTGCTTTTGCCATACAGTGAGGGGTGCTAGAAACTCTATGACATGCTGGCTTCCCTAATCCTCACTTGGCATGAAACGCAATTCTCCCCTGCCTTTGGATCATATATTCTCTCACTCCTCTACTCCTCACCAGGACAAAGGTCCCTTCTCAGAGGTACTCATTGCTAAATCCCATGCTCTTTATTCCCTTCTGCATTGCTGTCTTCCTTTCAGCTTATAAGATCTTTATCTAGCTTAGGAAGCTAAGGGAAACAAAACCACAGAGGCTCTGCTTCTGGCAATAGCAAACCAATTCCTGTCAGACCAACCCAACCACAGGTAACCACATAAGCTATGAACAAAATATGAAAAATCACCATCAGAAAGCATCAAAGAATAACCAAAAGCAAGAGAAACTAGAGGGGAATCAACACAGTGAAAGGTAACAGTACTAGAAGTTAAGCCTTCTCATCTAAGGGCATGCCACAATTAAGATGGCTAAAATATGTACATAAACCTGCAGACTCACTCGCTAGAAGAACTGGAGGAAAGAGTTAGGGGCTAGCACAGCAGCTGGAAAGTTAAGAGGGAATCCCACAAAGGAAGGAGCTCAAACTTCTGCATATAAACTCTGTCCAAATCTCTATCTCACCTTTCAATTCTGCTTGCTTGGGGAAGATTCCAGGCAGCTCAGCTAAGGCTAAAAGAACCGGTCAGACATTTCAGCTGCTGCCATAGGAGAAACAGAATTTTGAGTTTTAATCCAGCCTAGTTAACTGCCTACTAAAACAAAAATCAATAATCTTCAGATGACAGTTGTAGAATAGTCAGAATCTGTATGTTGTATCATTCACAATGTCCAGAATGAAATCTAGAACTACCAGACAAATGAAGAGACCTTAATCAAGAGTGTAGGCAATCAATGCAGATGAAACTAAGATAATCCAGAAGCTAGAATTATCAGATAAGATCTTAAATCAACCACTGAGATGGTTAGGGTGGAAACTGACTGTTAAGAAGTATAAGACGGCTGGGCACCGTGGCTCATGCCTGTAATCCTACCAATTTGGGAGGTGGAGGCAGGTGGATTGCTTGAGCCCAGGAGTTTGAGACCAGCCTGGACAACATGGCAAAACCCTGTCTCTACAAAAAATACAAAATTAACCAGGTATGCACATCTATAGTCCCAGCTATTTGGGGGGCTAAGGCAGGATCACTTAAACCCAGAACGCCGAAGGTGCAGTGAGCTGATATCATGCCACTGTACTGCAGCCTGAGGGACAAAGAGAGATCCTGCCTCAAAAAAAAAAAAAAAAAAAAAAAAGAAGTATAAGAGAACTTTCTAGGTGATGGTAATATCCTAAACCTAAGTTACTATAAAAAAGGTAAACAAAATTGAACTCTAGTTAATTATATGCATGTTTTTAAGTGTTTGGGAGTGAAATGTAATCATATTGTCAACTTTGAAATCCATCATAAAATAAGATAGATAAATTGATAGATGTGGATTAAATAAATATAGTAATATGTTAATTGTAGAATCTAGAGAATTGATATACAATTCTATCAACATTTTTGCATATTTAAAATTTTATAATAAAATATTAGGGATAAAACTCTTCATCCTGTCTAGGAAGGTGAGAAAAAATCACTTTACTTCAAAATCCATTCCTTAGTCCAAAGCAATACTTCTAAAAGACCCCCCTAGCTCTTATGCCCCTCAAAAAATTAGAATTATAGTCTACTTTAGAATCTTTCATTTCTCTTTAAATTCCTACCTTAAGATATCTTCCTTGAAAAAAATGGATGGGTTTGGGTGCAAGAAAATGTGGAGGGGACTACTGTGCAATCAGCTGGGAGAACACAGATACTCCTCAACCTACAATGGGATTACATCCAATAAACCCACTGTAAATTAAAAATATCCTAAGTTGGAAAAGTACTTTGGACTTACACATACTTTCAATTTAAGTTAAGTCATAACTTAAATTGAAGTTAAGTCATAAACTAAGGAGTACACTTAATGCGCATTGCTTCCACAACATTGTAAAGTCAAAATATCATAGGTTGAATTATCATTAAGTCAGGAATACCTATATAGTAAATATTACACATAATTATCCAAAAACACATGCAGCAGGCATTTAGAATCAATACTGTATTTGACATTTATGTTCTCATAAAAGTCTTCTAAATATAATTCTGTCTTCCATTTAGCACCATCAGTCCTGAAGGTGGGCCAGAGGGAAATCTGACAGTAATTTAGTGGCCTATCTAGCACACTTTGCAACAGCTAAATTGAAGGTCAGAATACAGCATAATAAAAAAAGAACTCTGATCAGAAATTAGTTCATTTAAGTTCTAAATTCAGTAATATCACCAACTTATTATAGAACTGGGTGAGTCATTAGATTTTTATACATGGAATGTCTTCTGGGAAATCCATGCCAACATTATCAATTGCAGGCGAAATTTGAAAGTAAGGCCAGAGAAGTTAACACACAATCTAACACCACACAGCTTGCTTGACCGCCTGTGACTCCAGTTTCCTCATTTATCTATCTGTTCATTCATTAAGAACACTTGTTGAATTCCAACAATTGCAATTCATCAAGAATAAGACAATATCAGTACTTTGGATGAATTCACAATCTAGTGAGGGAGACAGAATTGTAAACAGATAATGACAATACAATTAAATCATTCACCCAATAGATGAACAAATGGCTACTGTGGAAGATTTTGGCAATTTCCCTACTGAAGCCTGAATTCCTATCCACCCTGATGCTTTTCCTTTTGAAAAAACACAGATAGGATTATTAGACTGCTCATTAGCTATTATTCTCTAAGCAAAGTCACTAAAATTGCAGTAAATTTTCTCAGAAAATGGCTCATGCATATTCAACAAAGGGATAGAACAGTATTATCAAAATATCCTTTACCTGAAGTCTTTGTTTAGGAATCCATGCATACTTTTTCTATTTCTATCAAAGTATTAAATAGAAAACTTCCCCCTCAACATCCAATACCATGTAATGGCATGGTGATTGGAGAGACCCATGGATCCACATTTCTGCCATGAAGAAAATAACTTAAGAAGTCAGAAACCCACTCTACCCCCACTGTGAAAGAGTAGCCCAGTTAGCCCTGCAGAGTTTCACCATTCAGCAAGGCACTCCTTCTCTAAGGCAGCCACATAGTTCTAGGGCCCAGGATAGTTCAGGCAGTGGACAATACTTTGATATTACTTGGCATAGGTTCCCATTGCTTAGAATTTCTGGTTCATTGAAATGAGAAGATTTAAGGTATAGTCTATCACAGAGAAGAGAGACAACCTCAGTATTCTGCAGACCAGAAAACAGTGGCACAGAAGCAGTGTGATGCTCTCTCTTCAGAAGGCATAAGGAGAGAGCAAATGAGAGGTCCACTAGGCTGGAAGTAAAGCAGTGAAGGAGAGGCTGTCAGCTAAGCTTCAGCAGTTCTGGGAGGGGGGCAGTGTGAGAATGCTATGAACAGAAGTCACGGGTCACCCAGAGTAGGAAACTATAGGACTGCTAGCAGAAACATTAGGAAACTGTGCCGTATTGGATATGCATAGCCCAGAAATTAAACCCAAATCAAGCCCATTTTGTAGTCAGAGAAACAATTACCTCCTAGGCCACCTTCAAGGAGCAAAAAAGAATAGATAAATCAAGTAACTACCTCTGATTATTGATACTCACCACCCCCCCCCAAAAATAGGGGCCCTCCCTAGTACGATAAAAAACAAAAGGCAGGGAGCAGCTAAAGGGGCTTCAGAAAGGAGTTACTGGTAGAAACAAAGAGTACATTTGCATAGCAGTGAGAGGTGACAACGTGCTAGCAGCGAGAGGTGACAATGTGCTAGCAGCCTTTGCTCACTCTCAGTGCCTCCTTGACCTTGGTGTCTCCTCTGGCCATGCTCAAGGAGCCCTTCAGACCACCGCTGCACTGTGGGGGCCCCTCTCTGGGGCTGGCCGAGGCTGGAGTCAGCTCCCTCTGCTCAGGGGGAGGTGTGGAGGGAAAGGTATGGACGGGAGCTGGGGTTGCACGGGCCAGCTCGGGTTCCAGGTGAGTGCAGACCCAGCAAGCCCCATACTCAGCACCGCCAGCCAAAGCCTGCTGGGCTTGATCGGGGGACGAGCTCTCTCTGGGCTGCTGGAGTGCCCAGGCTAGGTGCTGCAAAGTCCCTCCATGAGTACCAGTGAGAGGTGAAGCTGGCTAGGCTTCTGGGATGGGTGGGGACTTGGAGAACTTTTGTGTCTAGCTAAAGGATTATAAACACACCAATCAGCACTCTGTGTCTAGCTAAAGGTTTATAAACGCACCAATCAGTACTCTGTCAAAATGGACCAATCAGCTCTCTGTAAAACTGACCAATCAGCAGGATGTGGGTGGGGCCAGATAAGGGAATAAAAGCAGGCCACCCGAGCTAGCAGTGAAAACCAGCTTGGGTCCCCTTCCACACTGCGGAAGCTTTCTTCTTTCACTCTTTGCAGTAAATCTTGCTGCTGCTCACTCTTTGGGTCCACACCACCTTTATGAGCTGTAACACTCACCATGAAGGTCTGCAGCTTCACTCCTGAAGTCAGCAAGACCACAAACCCACCAGAAGGAAGAAATTCTGGACACATCTGAACATGTGAAGGAACAAACTCCGGATACATCATCTTTAAGAACTATAACACTCACCGTGAGGGTCCGCGGCTTCATTCTTGAAGTCAGCAAGACCAAGAACCCACCAATTCCAGACACATTTTGGTGACCCAGATGGGACTATTGCCTATTGCCAAGCAGTGAGATTATCATCTATCACCAAGCAGTGAGTACAACTGGACCCCTTTCACTTGCTATTCTGTACCATTTTTCCTTAGAATTTGGGGATTAAATATCAGGGACCTGTCGGCCAGTTAAAAGTGACTAGTGTGGCCACACGACTAAAGACATGGGTGTCAGGCTTTCTGGGAAAGGGCTCTCTAACAACCCCTGGCTCTTTGGAGTTGGGAGCGTTGGTTTGCCTGGAACTAGCTTCCGCTTTTCCTGTACTTCCAGGCTGAGCCGAGGGTTGAGAGAGAGGAAAGCCACTCAGCACCAGGGTCTGACAACAAGTTCGTTGACCCTGTGGCCATGAGCGGAACTCTCAAAGGCATGTCGCCCAAGCAAGACTCACCCATCTATCCTATCTATCCTAACCCTTGCTCCCTGGTTCCTAACACCTGCCAGACAAACTTCCTCTCACCTCTCTTCTCCGAGGCTAGTCCTGCTTCTAAAAAACCACTCGCTGTCTCTGGTGCTTTTCTAGTTTCTCCTATAAGAATGATTTCTAGTATAAACTTCAGGACTCTGTTACCTTCTTTTGGCACCTGGGCTCACCAATCAGAAAGACATAATTTTTGCCCAGAGCCCCATCATAGGAGGGACCATCTGGAATTTTAGGATCCCTCCCCAGACTAGAAGGCCCAACAAAAGCTATTCCTGAAGCTAGGATATGAGGAGCCTCAGAAATTGTAGCCTTCCTATTCATATAAATGAGGACAAAAAGTGTCACTCTTCCAACCCTGGAGATCCCTTCCGTCCCTCATGGTATGGCCCTCCACTTCACTTTTGGGGCATAACACCTTTATAGGACATGGATAAACTCTCAATACTAACAGGAGAATGCTTAGGACTCTAACAGTTTTCAAGAATGCGTCAGTAAGGGCCACTAAATCCGATTTTTCTTGGTCCTCCTTGTGGTCTAGGAGGACAGGAAAGGGTGCAGGTTTTCAAGAATGCATTGGTAAGCACCACTAAATCCAATTTTTCTTGGTCCTCTTTGTGGTCTAGGAGGACAGGCAAGGGTGCAGGTTTTTGAGAATGCATCAGTAAGGGCCACTAAATCCAACCTTCCTCGGTCCTCCTTGTAGTCTGGGAGGAAAACTAGTGTTTCTGCTGTTGCGTTTGTGAGCACAACTACTCTGATCAGCAGGGTCCAGGGACTGTTGTGGGTTCTTGGGAAGGGGTTGTTTCTGCTGCTGCATCAGTGAGCACAACTATTCTGAACAGCAGGGTCCAGGGACCGTTGCGGGTTCTTGGGCAGGGGGAGAAACAAAACAAACCAAAACTGTGGCTGGTTTTGTCTTTCAGATGGGAAACACTCAGGCATCAAAAGGCCCACCTGTGAAATGCATCCTAAGCCATTGGACCAATTTGACCCACAAACCCTGAAAAAGAGGCAGCCCTTTTTTTTTTTTTTTTTTTTGAGACGGAATCTCACTCTGTCACCCAGGTTGGAGTGCAGTGGTGCAATCTCCGCTCACTGCCAGCTCCACCTCCCGGGTTCAAGCCATTCTCCTGCCTCAGCCTCCTGAGCAGCTGGGACTACAGGTGCCCACCACCACACCTGGCTAATTTTTTGTATTTTTAGTAGAGACAGGGTTTCACCCTGTTAGCCAGGATGGTCTTGATCTCCTGACCTTGTGATCCACCTGCCTCAGCTTTGCAAAGTGCTAGGGTTACAGGTGTAAGCCACCACACCCAGCCAAGGCAGCCCATTTTTTTCTGCACTATGCCCTGGCTCCAATATTCTCTCTGTGATGGGGGAAAATGGCCACCTGAGGGAAGTATAAATTACAATACTATCATGCAGCTTCACCTTTTCTGTAAGAGGGAATGCAAATGGAGTGAAATACCTTATGTCCAAGCTTTCCTTTCATTGAGAGACAATACACAACGATGCAAAGCTTGCAATTTACATCCCACAGGAGGACCTTTCAGCTTACCCCCATATCCTAGCCTCCCTATAGCTCCCCTTCCTATTAATGATAATCCTCCTCTAATCTCCCCCACCCAGAGGGAAATAAGCAAAGAAATCTCCAAAGGACCAAAAAAAACCCTGGGCTATCAGTTATGTCCCCTTCAAGCTATAGGGGGAGGGGAATTTGGCCCAACCTGGGTACATGTCCCCTTCTCCCTCTCTGATTTAATGTAGATCAAGGCAGATCTGGGGAAGTTTTCAGATTATCCTGATAGGTACATAGATGTCCTACAGGGTCTAGGGCAAATCTTTGATATCACTTGGAGAGATGTCATGCTATTGTTAGATCAAACCCTGGCCTTTAAAGAAAAGAATGTGGCTTTAGCTGCAGCCTGAGAGTTTGGAAATACTTGGTATCTTAGTCAAGTAAATGATAGAATGACAGCTGAAGAAAGGGACAAATTCCCTACCTGTCAGCAAGCCGTTCCCAGTATGGATTCCCACTAGGACCTTGACTGAGATCACGGGGACTGGAGTCATAAACATCTGTTGACTGTGTTCTAGAAGGACTAAGGAGAATTAGGAAAAACCCCATGAATTATTCAGTGATGTCCACCATAACTCAGGGAAAGGAAGAAAATCCTTCTTCCTTCCTCAAGTAGCTATGAGAGGCCTTAAGAAAATATATTCCCCTGTCACCCAAATCATTCGACGGTCAATTGATTCTAAAAGATAAGTTTATTACCCAATCAGCCACAGATGTCAGGAGAAAGCTCCAAAAGCAAGCCCTGGGCCCTGAACAAAATATGGAGGCATTATTAAACCTGGCAACCTCAGTATTCTATAATAGGGACCAAGAGGAACAGGCCCAAAAGGAAAAGCAAGATCAGAGAAAGGCCACAGCCTTAGTCATGGCCCTCAGACAAACAAAACTTGGTGGTTCAGAGAGGAAAGAAAATGGAGCAGGCCAATGACCTGGTAGGGCTTGCTATCAGTGTGGTTTACAAGGACACTTTAAAAAGATTGTCCAGTGAGAAACAAGTCTTCCCCTTGTCCATGTCTGCTATGCTGAGGCAATCACTGGAAGGTGCACTGCCCCAGAAGACAAAGGTTCTCTGGGTCAGAAACCCCCAACCAGATGATCCAACAACAGGACTGAGGGTGCCTGGGGCAAGTGTCAGCTCATATCATCACTCTCACTGAGCCCCAGGTATGTTTAACCATTGAGGGCCAGGAAATTGACTTCCTCTTGGACACTAGCATTGCCTTCTCAGTGCTAATCTCCTGTCCTGGATGACTGTCCTCAAGGTCCATTACCATCTGAGGAATCCTGGGACAGCCTGTAACCAGGTATTTCTCCCACCTCCTCAGTTATAATTGGGACTTTGCTCTTTTCACATGCCTTTCTTGTTATGCCTGAAAGTCCCACACCCTTATTAGGGAGGGACATATTAGCCAAAGCTGGAGCTATTATCTACATGAATATGGGGAACAAGTTGCCCATTTGTTGTCCCTCTACTTGAAGAGGGAATCAACCCTGAAGTCTGGGCATTGGAAGGACAATTTGGAAGGACAAAAAATGCCCACCCACTCCAAATCAGGCTAAAAGACCCCACCATTTTTCCTTATCAAAGGAAATATCCCTTAAGGCCTGAAGCTCATAAAGGTTTACAGGATATTGTTAAACATTTAAAAGCTCAAGGCTTAGTAAGGAAATGCAGCAGTCCCTGCAACACCCCAATTCTAGGAGTACAAAAACCGAACCGTCAGTGGAGACTAGTGCAAGATCTTAGACTCATCAATGAGGCAGTAATTCCTCTATATCCAGTCATATCCAACCCCTATACCCTGCTCTCTCAAATACCAGAGGAAGCAGAATGGTTCACTGTTCTGGACCTCAGGAATGTCTTCTTCTGTATTCCCCTGCACTCTGACTCCCAGTTTCTCTTTGCCTTTGAGGATCCCACAGACCACACATCCCAAATTACATGGACGGTCTTGCCCCAAGGGTTTAGGGATAGCCCTCATCTGTTTGGTCAGGCATGGGTGCAAGATCTAGGCCACTCCTCAAGTCCAGGCACTCTGGTCCTTCAGTATGTGGATGACTTGCTTTTGGCTACCAGTTCAGAAGCCTCATGCCAGCAGGCTACTCTAGATCTCTTGAACTTTCTAGCTAATCAAGGGTACAAGTTGTCTAGGTCAAAGGCCCAGCTTTGCCTACAGCAGGTGAAATATCTAGGCCTAATCTTAGCCAGAGGGACCAGGGTCCTCAGAAAGGAATGAGTACAGCCTATACTGGCTTATCCTCACCCTAAGACATTAAAACAGTTGTGGGGGTTCCTTGGAATCACCAGCTCTTGACGACTATGGATCCCCGGATACAGCAAGATAGCCAGGACCTTCTATACTCTATTCAAGGAGACCCAGAGAGCAAATACTCATCTAGTAGAATGGGAGCCAGAGGCAGAAATAGCCTTCAAAACCATAAAGCAGGCCATAGTTCAAGTTCCAGCTTTAAGCCTTCCCACAGGACAAAACTTCTCTTTATACATCACAGAGAGAGCAGGGATAGCACTTGGAGTCTACTCAGATGCGTGGGACAACCACACAACCAGTGGCATACCTAAGTAAGGAAATTAATGTAGTAGCAAAAGGCTGGCCTCACTGTTTATGGGTAGTTGTGGTGGTGGCCGTCTTAGTGTCAGAGGCTATCAAGATAATTCAAGGAAAGGATCTCACTGTCTGGACTACTCATGATGTAAATAGCATACTAGGTGCCAAAGGAAGTTTATGGCTATCAGACAACTGCCTACTTAGATACCAGGCACTACTCCTTGAGGGACTGGTGCTTCAAATACGTACGTGTGTGGTCCTCAACCCTGCCACTTTTCTCCCAGAGGATGGGGAACCATTTGCACATGACTGCCAACAAATTATAGTCCAGACTTATGCCACCTGAGATGATCTCTTAGAAGTCCCCTTACCTATATGCTGACCTTAACCTATATACCGATGGAAGTTCATTTGTGGAGAATGGGATATGAAGGGCAGGTTATGACATAGTTAGTGATGTAACCATACTTGAAAGTAAGCCTCTTCCCCCAGGGACCAGCACCCAGTTAGCAGAACTAGTGGCACTTACCCGAGCCTTAGAACTGGGAAAGGGAAAAAGAATAAATGTGTATACAGATAGCAAGTATGCTTATCTAATCCTACATGCCCATGCTGCAATATGGAAAGAAAGAGAGTTCCTAACCTCTGGGGGAACCCCCATTAAATACCACAGGAAATTATAGAGTTATTGCACACAGTGCAAAAACCCAAGGAGGTGGCAGTCTTACACTGACAAAGCCATCGGAAAGGTGAAGGAGAAAAGGCAGAAGGAAACCATCAGGCAGATGCTGAGGCCAAAATTGCTGCCAGGTGGAACCCCCCATTAGAAATACCTACAGAAGGACCCTTGGTATGGAACAACCCCCTCCAAGAGATTAAGCCCCAGTATTTCCCAACTGAAGCATAGTGGGGACTTTCACGGGGACATAGTTTTCTCCCCTCGGAGTGGTTGGCGATGGAAGAAGGAAAGGTACTTATATCCAAAGCCAGCCAGTGGAAAATACTTAAAACCCTCCCCCAAACTTTTCATATGGGTATTGAAAACACTCATCAAATGGCCAAATCCCTACTTACAGGGCCAAATCTCCTCTGAACCATCCGACAGGCAGTCAAAACCTGTGAGGTGTGCCAAAGGAATAATCCCTTGGTCCATCATAAGGCCCCTTTGGTGGAACAAAGAATAGGTCACTAGCCTGGACAGGACTGGCAGTTAGACTTCACCCATATGCCTAAGTCAAAGGGATTTCAATACTTATTGGTCTGTGTTGATACCTTTACAAATTGGATAGAAACTTTCCCCTGCAAGACAGAGAAGGCTCAGGAAGTAATTAAAGAACTAATTCATGAAATAATTCCTAGATTTGGGCTTCCCCAAACCTTACAGAGCAACAGTGGTCCAGCTTTTAAAGCCACGATAACTCAGGGAATTTCCAGGGAGCTAGGGATACGATATCACCTTCACTGTTCCTGGAGGCCACAATCCTCAGGGAAGGTCGAGAAGGCAAATGAAACACTCAAGAGGCACTTAAGGAAACTAACACAAGAAACTCATCTCCCATGGCCTACTCTTTTGCCCACGGCCTTGTTGAGAATCTGAAATTCACCTCAAAAAATAGGGCTCAGTCCATATGAAATGCTGTATTGACGACCTTTTCTCACAAATGACCACCTACTTGATCAGGAAACGTCCAACCTGGCCAAAGATATAACTCCTTTGGCAAAATATCAACAAAACCTTAAAAATCTACCTGAGGGATCTCACAGAGAAAAGGGAACAGAGTTGTTTCAATGAGGAGATCTAGTGTTGGTCAAATCTCTCCCCTCTACCTCCCCATCTATGGACTCTTTGGGGGAAGGACCATACTAGGTAATCCTCTCTAATCCCACTATAGTTAAGGTGGCAGGAGTGGAATCTTGGATTCTCTACACCCAAGTTAAACTTTGGACATCCCCTGAGGAACCTGCAGGACCTCAGCTCAAGAGTCCCAAGAGCAGCCAGACCAGCCTCAATACACCTGCAAAGTGTTGGAAGAATTGCATCTCCTATTTCAGAAGGAAATCTCCCAGACTAAAAAGGCTCCTATCACTGATCCTGAGGAAAAACCCCTTCCTCCTTAAAAAAGATAAGTGAAAACAGCATAGTAACCATACTGTTTGTGACAGGACTATATACTGTAGCTCCTGCCAGGACAAAAATCCTAATCACATCAACCTTCTTTCTATCTTCCTTCCTTTTGACAGCAACTTACTCCTACCTTTGACTCAGACTCAATAAAATGATCTCGTCTTCCAAAGCACCCTCTTTACCTTCCTATTTGCTCTTTGCCTATGTATCCCTCCTGCTTCTTTGGATACCTCATACAATCACCCCTCCCCTTCCACTAGCTCCTAATTTCCTCTACAAGACTCTCAACCCACTCTCTGTTAAACCAGTCCAATCCTTCCCTGGCAAATGACTGTTGGCTTTGTATCTCTCTATCAACCTCTGATCACGTTGCCACTCCCATTCCTGCAAAAAAACTGGGTTTTTACCAATTTAACCTACCACCCTTATTATGAAGGAAAACACCCTTTCCAACTTCTAAATATGCAATCATTATCCAACTTCCCCATCTCTGATAGGACCAAGAATACCCTAACAGGACGTGCAATCCAACTTTTAAGTTCTTACATTTCCAACCTCACCTATTACACAAGCAATGAAAAGCCCATACATGGCCCTGTAACTACGAATACCATCTTAACGTTCCAAGCCCCTTTATGCATCCAATGCAACCTGTTATCATGCCTTCCCCTGGGGCACCTGCTGCCTCATCAGTGTAATTACACCCTACAACTTCAAGCCCCAACTGATCATAGTAACTTCCGAGTCACACAAACAGCTCCATTCAGATGGCTTGTCCACTTCTCAGGGCCCCCAAAAATTATCACCTCCTCCCTGCTTAACAAACAGTCCAGGTTTTGTAATGGCAAACATACTCCCTGCATGACCATTCACCCCTGGACCCCCTGCAGCAGTGTCCCCACCACTAGTGAATGCCTTCTCATCCCCTCTTTCAATCACTCTCTTGAATGGTTCCTAGTGGATACAAAACTTTTTTTTTCCAATGGGAAAATCAAACACAGGGAGCCACTCAGTTTGCTCCCAACACCCCTTTCCAGCTGCTCACTGGAGTTACCTTGGCAAGTAATCTAGGAGTATGGGAAAATGAATACAACAAATTCACACACTTTTTTAACATACACAACCAGTTCTGTCTACCCAGCCAACATATATTCTTATGTGGAACATTGACCTATATCTGCCTCCCCACTAACTGGACAGGCACCTGCACCTTAGTTTTTCTAA
This sequence comes from Homo sapiens, assembly GCF_000001405.40. Taxonomy (NCBI): domain Eukaryota; kingdom Metazoa; phylum Chordata; class Mammalia; order Primates; family Hominidae; genus Homo; species Homo sapiens. The sequence goes on from NC_000005.10 coordinate 114,998,378, forward strand.
GTCCCAACATTAACATTGCCCCAGGAAATCAGACCTTATCAGTACCCCTCAAAGCTCAAGTCCATCAGCGCAGAGCCATACAAGTAATACCCCTACTTATAGGGTTAGGAATGGCTACTGCTACAGGAACCAGAATAGCCAATTTATCTACTTCATTATCCTACTACCACACACTCTCAAAGGATTTTTCAGACAGTTTGCAAAAAATAATGAAATCTATCCTTACCCTACAATCCCAAATAGACTCTTTAGCAGCAGTGACTCTCCAAAACCTCTGAGGCCTAGACCTCCTCACTGCTGAGAAAGGAGGACTCTGCACCTTCTTAGGGGAAGAGTGTTGTTTTTACACTAACCAGTCAGGGATAGTATGAGATGCCACCCGGAGTTTACAGGAAAAGGCTTCTGAAATCAGACAATGCCTTTCAAACTCTTATACCAACCTCTGGAGTTGGGCAACATGGCTTCTCCCCTTTCTAGGTCCTGTGGCAGCCATCTTGCTGTTACTCGCCTTTGGACCCTGTATTTTTAACCTGCTTGTCAAATTTGTTTCCTCTAGAATTGAGGCCATCAAGCTACAGATAGTCTTACAAATGGAACTCCAAATGACCTCAACTAACAACTTCTACCGAGGACCCCTGGACCAACCCACTGGCTTAAAGAGTTCCCCTCTGGAGGACACTACAACTGCAGGGCCCCTTCTTCACCCCTATCCAGCAGGAAGTAGCTAGAGTGGTCATTGGCCAAATTCCCAAGAGCAGTTGGGTTGTCCTGTTTAGAGGGGGGATTGAGAGGTGAGAATGTGCTAGCAGCCCTCGCTTGCTCTCAGCATCTCCTCGGCCTTGGCATCTGCTCTGGCTATGCTCAAGGAGCCCTTCAGCCCACTGCTGCACTGTGGGGGCCCCTCTATGGGGCTGGCCAAGGCCAGAGCAGGCTCCCTCTGCTCACAGGGAGGTGTGGAGGGAGAGGTGCGGGTGGGAGCCGGGGCTGCATGCGGTGCTCACAGGCCGGTGCCAGTTCCAGGTGCGTGCATGCTTGGCAAGCCCCACACTCAGCGTGACTGGCGGGCACCTGCTGGGCTTGATCGGGGACAAGCTCCCTCTGGGCTGTTGGAGTGCCCAGGCTAATTGCTGCAAAGTCCCACGGCAAGTACCAGTGAGAGGTGAAGCTGGCTGGGCTTCTGGGATGGGTGGGGACTTGGAGAACTTTTGTGTCTAGCTAAAGGATTGTAAATGCACCAATCAGCACTCTGTATCTAGCTAAAGGTTTGTAAATGCACCAATCAGTACTCTGTCAAAACGGACCAATCAGCTCTCTGTAAAATGGACCAATCAGCTCTCTGTAAAATGGACCAATCAGCAGGATATGAGTGGGGCCAGATAAGGGAATAAAAGCAGGCCACCCGAGCTAGCAGCAGCAACCCGCTCGGGTCCCCTTCCATGCTGTGGAAGCTTTGTTCTTTCACTCTTCACAGTAAATCTTGCTGCTGCTCACTCTTTGGGTCCGTGCCACCATTATGAGCTGTAACACTCACTGCAAAGGTCTGCAGCTTCACTCCTGAAGTCAGTGAGACCACAAACCCACCAGAAGGAAGAAACTCCAGACACATCTGAACATCTGAAGGAACAAACTCCGGATACACCACCTTTAAGAAATGTTAACACTCACCGCAAGAGTCCGCAGCTTCATTCTTGAAGTCAGTGAGACCAAGAACCCACCAGTTCTGGACACAGTAGGGGGAAGGCAAAGGAAACAGAGAAAATAACTGGGGTGAGCAAGCAGTATAGAACAAAAGAGAGAAGATATCCCCTGCAGAGTTAAGGACTCAATACTAACTGCTTTAGAAAAATGCCATATTTAAAAGGTACCAAGGCAGAAAAGATGGGAAGGGAGAAGAGTGGGGAAGCCAAAAAAAGGGAAACCCTAAAAGATAAGCTCAATATGTTAAGTACAAAAGACTACAGAGAGGATCCTAGGAAATAGTCTAGAACCAGGGGGAAAAATGAAAGAAAGGAAAAGAAAGAAATCCTGGGTGAAAGGAACAGAGACAGGTAAAGAAAGTCCTGGCCAGGCACGGTGGCTCACGGGCCTGTAATCCCAGCACTTTGGGAGGCCGAGGCGGGTGGATCACCTGAGGTTGGGAGTTTGAGACCAGCCTGACCAACATGGAGAAACCCCATCTCTACTAAAAATATAAAATTAGCCGGGCGTGGTGGCGCATGACTGTAATCCCAGCTACTCGGGAGGATGAGGTAGGAGAATTGCTTGAACCTGGGAGGTGGAGGTTGCAGTGAGCCAAGATGGTGCCATTGCACTCCAGCCTGGGCAACAAGAGCGAAACTCCATCTCAAAAAAAAAAAAAAGTCCCAAAAGTCATAACTGGAGAAATGAGAAAATCGTCACGTGCTGATGGATATGAAAACTTGGGGATGTAGGGAGAGTTGCAAATGTATAGTATTTAAATACTCATTTGTGGTAAGTCTGTGAAAATTTAAAAAAATTATGGAAGTGAACAGGCTACCAAGAATATATGTATATTGTTATACCAACATAAATTATTGTTTTATGATTATATTTTACAACAATAATATAAATAAAACAGATCCATTATCCATAAAGTAATAGTTACCAAAAAGTAACTACAATGCAGAAACTTAAGAACAGCCTTTGTTGGCCTTCCAGCACTTAGCACTAAAGTGAGGCCATTGAGTTAGGGCTAGGCATGAGCTCATCTAGGAAGTGAGTAATTGAATGGCCCAGGGATAGAGTGCCCACCTATAGATGAGCAGCTGAAATTCACCTCTCATCCCCAATGGAGTAGCTGTTCAACTCAAGGATAACTCATGTTCTCCATGCCTCTTCTATTTCAATACTTCATCTAGGTTCCCAGGCACCCATGACACTAAATGCCAGACATCAATGATTTTCTCCCAAAATATGTTCTCTCTTTTTTCCTTTAGGTAATAGCTCCCCCAAAGTTTAGATTGGCATACAGCTAATCAGCTCAAGTGTATATTTCTCAGCCTCCCTTAAGGCTATATGTGGTATGTAAGTTAGTTTTGACTAATAGGATGAAAGAGAAAGTGGTATTTGCAACATATAGGTTATCCCCTCCACATTACTCCCCTTCCCACTAGCCAGAACATGGCTGTGACAGCAGAACCCGTGCATCCATCTTAGACAACATCTCAGCCCCAAATATTGTAAAGCCACCATATTGGTCTTGTACTGCTTATGTTCAGACTGTTACATGAGAAAAAGTAAGCTTTTATCTTCTTTAAGCCACTATTATTTCGGCCTTTCTTAACAGCCATACTAAAATGATAACCAAAATAAACAGTAGCTCTTGTGTAATAGCTATTAATTTTTCAATCCACACACTCAAATGTACAAGGAATGTAAAATAATTTTTCATTTTTTTAATTATTTTTCATAGCTTCATCTCTATTTCAAGCTCCCATCCAACTTGGGAGTGAAAAAAATCATCTAAGTAAGGTTTTCTCAGCCAATCAGGACTTCCTTCACTAATTTAGGATTTTCTCCTCTCCCTGGTCCTGAGAGTTTATACAATGTCAAGGTATGAGGGAGAGTTGTAAATCTGGTCATCATAAAGCTATGGTGGCATCTCCCAAGTTGTAAGTTGTTTAGGTATCTGGATTCCTCTGGTCCTCAGGTCTGCGGGAAATTTGTTGACAGGTCCACTCCTCCTAACCATGACCTCCTCCTGGTGTACTGGCTTTTTCTCAGCTATGTCCACACCACTGGCAGCTACACAGGAAAATGACACCTTGCTGTTCCCTCTACTCCATCCAGAATACATCATTCAGACTTGTGCCTCAGGCCTCTCTGCCCCGGCATCCCTTGTGGCTGTCCAATTCTTGTTTTCCTATGTTCTAATAGTACAGAAGGTTTGCACCCTCCCAGGGCAACGAAAAAAAGAAGTAGAGCATAGCCCCTTCTATTCTTGAATCCACAAACTTCTCTGGTGACTTTCATCACCCCCTCCACCCACACTTAACATTTTAAATTAAAAAGCCAAAAATATGTTAACTGCTGTGACAATTCATCTGAGAATAATGGAATACTATTATCTATATCTGGCAAAATGATAACCTTTCAGATTTTCAACAATACAGTTCACCAACCACCATTCAGTGGGATTAAATATATATTTATGCCTAGTCAGGCCTTCCTTCTAGACACCTAATATTGCAAATTATTCAATTATGTGTACATGTTGACATAGCCCCTATCAAACAGTACACTCTGGCTCTCCAAATGACCACGTAAATATCCTTAGATCCATGACAGTCATGCTTGGTTATGTGTATTTGTTGGGGGTAAAAAGAGTAGGAAATTTCCATTTATATTTTCATGACTTCATCAAAAAGTTCATCTTCTTTTCTACATGGATTAAGATCATAACTGTGATGTATTAGATGATACTAAAGAAAAAAGAAATAGAGCCAATCCGTACTTTGACCCCTCATTATGAGTGATATTTTCTTCTACTCTGCCTTGGCATCCCCACATAGTTATACCCTGAGCTATGCAATCACCAGTATCTGTTCTGCTTCTCAAATCCCAGTTCCAAACCTAACGTTCTGCAACTACAACCTCTTATTCTTTCAGAAGGCTTTCTTAAGAAAGCTTACTGACAAACTTTCTGACCTCTTCATGACCTCACACCACTTTCTTATTAACCGTTAGCTAATTATCCGTTAGCTTTCCCTTTGTTCTCTTCCATCATTGATTCTATGGCCCATCATTACAATCACTCCCTTGCCAAAATCCTCAACTCCCTGACTGTTCTCTTTCACCCTTGCCTGGGGAAAAACTCCAGTCCTCTGTGAGTTCTACCCCCTATCTTCTTGGTGCCTTTACCTGAGCATCCAAACATTGCCAGAGAAAGTTACCAACTAAACATATTTATTCATTCAGTCAATAAACATTTCTGGAACATCTACCATTTATCAGGCCCCATTCAGCTACCATGAAGACTGGTAAAAGAGACAGAAAAGACCCCTACTCTCTGGAGCCTAGATTCCAAAGTGCAGGTCTCACTTGAAATTTGTGAACACATATGTGCACTCAAGAAAGGCCAGCGATTCTGTGATATTTTTCTTATAGGGCTGTTTTCTCACTACATGATTTGATCATTTTATATCTTCTGCTTTCTTTCAAATCTCTCATGCTCCCTCCTCTATCCATATCTTCCCCCTGTGGTCTTGCCTCATTCTTCTTTGACAAAAAATAAACTAACAAGCTGCATGCCTCCTCATATATCTAATTTTGTCTTTCTTCCCGTTATAAAGTTTTCCTGCTTTTCTCACAAAACCAATCCCTTCACCTATGCTCTGGATCTAATTCTCTCTTGCCTTCTCAAGGGCTTTGCTTCTTCAGTTGTCTCTTTTCTAGAGGGACATCCTCACCATATACAAATATGCTCTCCTAAGGCCCATCTTTTGAAAGCCCTCCTTTTACCTTGACCTCATCTTAGTGAGACTTCTCAAAAGAGTTGCCTACATATACTATGTCAACTTACTTATATCTGTTCACTCTTATACCTAGTCTAATATGAGTCTGATACAGCATTACCATCCAACCCCATCACTCCACTGGAATGGCTCTTATAATCACCAACTGTCTCCATGGTGCCAAAATTAATACTCTCTCTGCTTTCACCTTACTCTACCGCTTGCCGGCATTCAGCCAGGTTGATAATTCTGCCTAAATACACTTTATCTCTTTGTGTCTATACTCCTTGAGATCTCTTCTTGTCTTGCTGGTTATTCCTTCTCTATCTCCTTTGCTACTCTTTACCTGAGTCCTAAAGTATGCTATTTCTCTAACGTTCTCTTCTCCAAAATTTCCTAGGTGATCTTCTCCTTTAATCTGGCTTTAAACACTATAATATATGTAATTCAGCAACTCTCAAATTTATATTTCAGCTCAGCCCTCTCCTTTGAGCTCTAGACTCACAAATTCAACTGCCAACTTGGCGTTTGATCCCTCAGCAAGTTCTGCCAATCCGAATAAATAGATCGACACGTAGGTTGATTGATTCAGTCTACTTTTCTCCATCTCCGCCACCTCCATCCCAAGGCCAAGTCACCTGAACCACTGCTACAATCTCCTCCCATCTCCATGCTGCCATTCTTAACTCCTCTCATCTAGTCTCCAGAGGCCAGAGCAATATCATGTTTCTTTTTCTGCTTAAATAAAATCTAAACTCCCTACCATAGCTTCAGGGCCCTTCATAATCTGGCTTGTCCCTTCTCCAACCTCCTCACCAGATGTTCTCTGTCCACAGTAGAATTTCTTCCATTCTACAAGGTTCTTTTGCATACTAGGGCCTTTGCACATCCTGTTCCTTCCTTCTGGAATGGCCTCCTCCTCCTCTCTTAGCTACTTTATTCCATTCTTTCTTAAGTATTCTTGTCCTCCACTCCAGGGCTATTATTTCCTATTTTAAACTCCCAATGCTTTCTTTTATAATACTTATCATAGTGTGCAATTATTATTCTTTTTTTTGAGACCAAGTCTCACTCTGTCACCCAGGCTGGAGTGCAGTGTTGCGATCTTGGCTCATTGCAACCTCTGCCTCCTTGGTTCAAGTGATTCTCCTGCCTCAGCCCCCTGAGTAACTGGAATTACAGGTGCCCGCCACCACATCCGGCTTATTTTTGCATTTTTAATAGAGATGGGGTTTCACTACGTTGGTCAGGTTGGTCTCAAGCTCCTGACCTCAGGTGATCCACCTGCCTCGGCCTCCCAAAGTACTGGGATTACAGGCATGAGCCACTGCACCCCGTTGCAATTATTTTCAATAATTTGGTTGTTTTCTTTACAGATTTTGCCCATATTTCCCATTCAGATGCTAATGCCATGCTAGCAGAGGCATATCTGCTTAGTTCCTCATAGTATTTCCAAAATATATCCCAGTACCTAACACCAACTCATAATTAAACATTTTCAGAATGAATAAAAAAGTGAATGAGTGGATAAAGTATAGGAGTCATAAGGTTGTATGTGCCATCTCCATAGCTATTAAAAATTCTTATATTGCTACAACCTAATGACTTATGAATCCTTGCTGTTGTTCTGTGTTCCTTTGCATGTAAGAGATTTTTATACAGTCATTGACATGAGCAACTCTCTAGGTTTTTAATTTTTATTGTGCCTAGAGCGTCACTGCTAAAATCCCCAATTAATATTTTGTTATAAGGAAATGATTTAGAACACTCAAAGTTCACTCTCAAGTTTCCAAGGTGAAATTTCCAACTATATAAGACTCATACACATCTCAGTGTGAAAGAAATTGGTATACCTTACTGGCATGTACAATAAAAGCAACCATTTACTGAACTCTTGCTATGTGTCCAGCACTGAACTAATGCTTCACAAGTGTAGCATATTTAGACTTCACAACAACCCAATAAGAGGGACCCAATAACTCTCTTTTTTAAAAGATGAGAAAACCAAGGCTTCAAGACTTGGCTAGTATGATCAAGTTTACCAACTGATAAGTGGTAAAAGCCATAGGTTTAATCATTCTGCTAGTCTTCCACTCCAGACCTGCAGAGACACAGCAGAGAGAAAGGTAGGGATAGAGTTCAATTTCAATTCAGATGATAGCAAATAATACAGAAAGAATAGGAGAACCCCAAACTCCACCTTATATCTTGCAATTATCCTTATCCTGTCTATTAACAAAAGTGGGTTTTCTACAGGCCCATTGCCTGTATTTTTATTTTTCGAAATTCACCTTAGTGATTGTTTGGCAAACCTCATAGCTCTCTTTGCACCAAAGACCCTAGGGAATTCTAATGTGGGTATTTTTAGGTCTTTACGTTACTCTTTTCTTTTCAAGAAGGCTTGAAAATTATAGGCTAGTGATGACTGTATTCCTGTAGCCAGAAATGTGTTCACTGGGTCATTTTCAAAAAAAAAAAAAAAACCATGGTGAACATGTGGTACCAAGAAGTAGGAAGCAGATTCACTCCCTATAAACTGTTTCTCTCAGCCCCAAACTGCACTCACAAGGAGGAAGCCTAGTGATTAGCAGGCACCAATGAGGCTAGAATTATAATCAATTTTAAGCAAATTCTCTTTGGCCCATATTTGACTGCCTAGAGAGCCATTTGTTATTTGCCAGAGCTCCCTCACCTTTCCATTATATTTGCATCAGAGCAGGCAGGCTAAGAGTTAAGTCAAACAATCAGGAATGATATAGACTTTGCTCCAGATCCTCAAACACAGAAGGGATGTCCTGACTACTACAAATGGTAAGTTAAACATAGATACAGAGGGGAGGTGGCCAGATTTGATTGTTGATTTCCTGCTTATTTTATTTACAAGTATTAATAGCAATAGTTAACGTTTATTGAGTGATTTTACCTGAGTGTACTTTCTCAAGTCTTTTGCATGTATTAGTTCATTTAATCTTCACAACTATCTGATGAGGTACTATTATTATCACCATTTTACTAATATGGAAACTGATATTCAAAGTGTGCAAATCATTTGCCCAAAGTTACTCAACCAGAAATTCATGACAGCAGAATTCTACCTGTGGGAGTGTAACTCCAGAGTTTGAATTTTTAACCCCTGCACCCACTTGCCACTCACAGATGTACAGATGCTCAACTTACAATAGATTATGTCCCAATAAGCCCACTGTATGTAGAAAATATCATAAGTCTAGATGCATTTAATACCCCTAACCCCTACCCTTGTGATGAAGTGGCTGCCTAGGAGCTGCAGTTCATTGCTGCTGCCCAGCATTGAGAGAGAGTATCATACAGCATATCACTAGCCCAGGAAAAGATCAAACTTAGAAACTTGAAATACAGTTTCTACTCAGTGTATATCTCTTTCACACCACTGTAAAACTGAAAAATTGTTAAGCCAAACCATTATAAGTCAGGGACCATCTATATAATCAAGTGTCTACAAATATTAACATACATGCCCTTAATTCCAATCACTGAGTCATTTTGAAAAGGCATTCTGAGCTCAGTTATGAAATTATAGACATTTGGAGTTAGAAAAGCTCCTAAAGAGGCATGTGGAAGATGGGGAAGCTTATCCTGTTTACTTCAGAAAAGTAAACTGAGATTAGCAGATAACGAAGATAGGGAAATAGATTTTTACCCAGCTAAAGGAAGAATGCTGTAGCAAACGTCACAGTGGTTTTGCAGGCCAGGCCTGGAAAGGGTACCTATCACTTCTGCTTTCATCCCATTGGAAAGGGCTTTGTTGCATGACCAAACCTGCCTGGAAGGGAGGCTGAGCAACACAGCAAGACTCACTTACTTTGGAAGAGGAAGAAGGCAGGTTTGTGCATAGACTGTTTCCTTTCAGCTCTGTAGCATTTCCCCTTACTTGTGGTTATATTCCAAGGTCATTGGGCGTCTCGGAGTACAGATGACCACACTAACAAAGAACTGAGGATTCTCAGAGAAGAGAATCTGAATATAATGCAAGCTTTTATGGATGCTGTGAAGGAGGAGATGATGAGTAACTATGGGATGCCAGACAGATGTTTCAGAGACTCCAGAGCGAGAAGTAGCACATCATTGTAGATATAATCCCTTAAAGAAAGAATAACCAACTTCCAAACTCAATGCTTGATACCCCAAAACCCCTAAACCTTAAGTTGTGCTTACATTTGTACTTTTCCTAAGTTCTTAACCAAAAATAGAGAAGACAATGGGTTAAAAATCTATTTCAGCTACTTGCCAGTGAAAAATAGCATCGTGCAGCCAGCCGATGGTTATTTTTGGAAAATCCACTCTCCTCTAAAGATGAAAACCAAATCAGATGGTTTTTCCTCTTGATCAGTTTTAATGTGCAGAAGTCTGGGAGGTGTGTCACAGTAATAGACTCTAATTTAGGACTGCATTAAAAATTCACAATTTAATAAGAAGTAGGGTTTGTCTCAGAAAGATTTGTACATTCTTTATCAAACTGGTCAATCTACCCTCTTCACTGCTCCTCAAAGACCAAAACCCTGACACGCAAGGGCTTTTTCTCTTGTTTCTCACTATGTATTTTCTCTTTCTCTCAGAATTATTAGAAGAGCATCAGGGCAGTCACACTTTTTCTGACCATAAACAAAATGAATAATAACACCCTCCGTTTTCCTAGGATGCTCCACACAACCAAGGACATGTCTTCTCCTTCACTGCATCTACAGCAGGGACTTCTTGTCTTCATCACTTATTCAGTCCTGTCTGATGAGAATGTCTCTTTGCAGGAAAAGAGCCTCAAGTCTGAGAGAAGAGCCTAAGTCAGGGCAGTGGTCGACTATTAAAAAAATTATGCTTCCTCCACAAAATGGAAAATTATTTGAAAAAATCATACTTTCAAAGAATTATTGACATTAAAAATAACCATTAATAGCGGCATTTATAAAATTTCCAGTCATAAAAATACTGAACTTTTGCTTTCTAATTTAAGGTGGAAAATGATAAATTTAGCATTCCTTCATCACTCATGGAGAACACTCATAAAGAGTCCTCAGTTTAAACATACCATGCTTTTGACTGTCCTTCCAAAGAAAGCAAGGCTGTGTTCCTGAAGCGGTTTCCTAGCACCCAATGGTTACTTGTTCTGTGAAAGTGGGAATCCACTCTGTTCCTGCTCATTTTTTGTCAATATAATTGTAACATAATGGGGAAAATACACAACTCATATATAGTGCTAACCAAGTAGGATTGATGATTTCACACAAGAAGAATTGTACCTGGCTTTATCAATAGCATTTTTACTCTATCTTTATTTGCCTATATTTTCACATGACCAAGTTCTAACCATAAGTTTTGCTCATGTGAAAATTTGGGAAAAATTGAAGGAAGGATCAAAACTATATTTGAAATATAAAGAATAAGAGCTCTAGTATTGCAGTTGTTTCTTAGTATCCACTGGGGATTGGCTCCAGGACCTCTTGTGGACACTAAAATCCATGGATGCTCAAGTCCCTGATATAAAATGGCATAGCGTTTGCATAAAATCTATGCACATCTCCCTGTTTATTTTGAATTCTCTCTAGATTACTTGTAATACCAAATAAAATGTAAATGTTATGCAAATAGTTGTTATACTGAATTGTTTAGGGAATAATATAATGCAACAAGAAAAAAGTCTGTACATGTTAAGTACAGATGCAATTTTTAAATATATTTTTGTTGTGAGGTTGGTTGACTCCATGGATGTGAAGCCCACAAATACAGAGGGCCGAGTTTATTCTAAAATGTCCATGAACTATTATGCAAAGAGTTTTATGTATACCACCATACTTGATTCACACCAACCCCTATTTTAGAAATGAGAAAGCCAAGTCACAAGTTCAGATATATTTTCCAAGGTCCTACATTTAGTAAATGGTGATGCTGGGATTTGAGCTAAGGGGCACTGACTCTAACACCCAAGCTGTTAACTCTGTAGTTCACTGCTTCATAATATTAGCGAAAGAAGGAAAAACAGCACACTGGGGAAAGCAATTGTCTTGTCTTCTCACAGGTCTATCCTCTCAAGAAAATAAAAGAAACTGGGGAATAAGCAAATCTAATTTTTACTTTGTAATTCTAGGTCACTATACCCAAAGACCACTTAAAATCTATTCATTGTCTGAAAAGCCTGGCTATCTTTATAAATTATACCTCAAAAAGAAAAATACTGATAGCTAATAAATGAACAGTTTAGCATGTAAAAATAAATTCAAAATAGTGTAATTTTGTAAGTTTTCACAGCACAGAAATGACTGCCTCTCTAGTCCTACCTTTATTGCAAAACAGGAAATGAGAAAACAAAATAGAAAATCAAGGCTATAAACTCCAACTCATTCCAACTGAAATAGTGCTTTAAAAAGAAAGTGGCAAAATAGGCCACAAACTCCAATTGGAAATAGCAAGTCTACTGCATTCTTGGAAAACATTCCCATTTTCAATGAAAAGACAAATTAACCATAAAATAAATATCAGCCCAATGGTTCAAACTTAGGAAGAAAAAAAATGGGCCAATGATCAATTAGCTCAAAATACATGTAATCCAAACTTCTATAACAAATGGAACAAACATGAGAATGATGCTGAAGAGCTGCAGGGCTGGGGCCCAGCATGATCCACCACACAGAGGGAGATGATGCACAGACCATGAAAGTAGACAGTGCAGGAGTCAAGAACAAGGAAAATAATCTGATAAAACTGGCCCGTTTCTTCTGATTTCACTGGATTTGTTCAGAAAACATGATTTTTTGAGATGCGGCACTGAATCAATCTGAAAGCCCTTAGAGATGAGTGTACTCTAAAGAGGTAAAGTTCACATCTCCCCATGGGAATAGGAGAAGTCAGGACAGAGGAAGACTGCCTCCTAGCCAGAAAGGTGGGTTGGGAGAAGAATCTGTGATGAATATTACCTAACATTCAGAGGTCTATGGGAGTATGATGGTAAGGGTGAAAGGAGGAGATGGTGTGTGCTAGATTCTCACCATCGTTCTGCACTGCAAGCCTGAAGGCATGAAAATCATCCATCACAGTGCAATAGGTAGCCACTAACAGCCATGTCCTCCTCTCCTGGGGCCAGAGGTTCTTCTAGAAAAAGGAGACATTAGCCAGGCAACAAAAGGTTTGGTTGAAAAAACAAAGCAAGGGCTCTTTCCACATCTGGACAGGCTGCTTCAGCTGTTTGCTAACTAAAGCCCTTTATAACAAAAATAAATGGAAGAGGAGTTTGTTCCTTTTCCATTGGAACCTGAAAAGATGGAAGCAGCCACTCTGGAACCTCAAAATACTCTTTTGGAGACTGAGGTGCCCTCTTTCCTTGCCACCTTCACTCAAGCACTCAGTCCTTCCTCAGACCTTGTTAGAATGCTTACTTTGTGCTACTATGCCAGGGACCTGGAGATGTCAAATAGCCACAGTTCATCCTGAAAAAAAAAATGTAAATCTGTTGGGAGTGCTAAGTCATCATCCAAATAGATACCCTATAACTCAAGATAAAATGTGCCAAATGTTTATGTAAAGGAGAAGGAAAGGATCATGACTTTTCAAGGAGAGCTCCAGTCTTTGTGGAGAGGAGCCTGATCCAGTTTCTGAAAGAAGAAGCATCTGAGCTGCATCTGGAAGGAGGAAGACAATTTCTACAAACAGAGACAGTTTAAAGAAAGGGTCAAGATAAGAAAAATTAAGGAATGGTTAGAGAATTGGAAGTGGTTTGCTTTGCCATAGGGTGATATAGCAGAAAGTGGTATATAAAGCTGGAAAGGTGAAATGGAGCACAAAAGTAGAGCTCCTAGAAATCAGTCCAAGAGAATTTCATGGGTAGACACTGAATGTTTTTAACTGCAGAACTGATACCACCAGAGCTCTGTATCATAAGACGTGTTTGGTGCCTTGGAGGGGTGAAGAATGCAAGTGAGAATCCTAATGCACCTGCTTGAGACAGTAAGAGCTGGACCTAAGAAACAGTAACAGGAATAAAGGGAGATGGCACTAGAAAGAGAGAAGGAAGAATCTACTAGACTAGATGACTCTCGTGGACTGATTACACTAATAACCTCAATTCTTTACCCCTCCTTATGTCCACATATTTGCCAGATGAAATTGCAATCACTCCCACTGAAAAGGTGGGGTCTGTTTACCCACCTCTTGAATATGAACTCGCCAACAGAAGGAGGCAGAAGAGAGTTTGCCAGGCTTCAAGGAGCGCTGCACATTTCTACTCAGGCTCTGCACCTTTGCCTTTGTCATGAAAACATACCTGGCTAGCATGCTGGAGCCAAGTCACCCATCATCTCGGTCAGCACAGCCTCAGGTGGGTAAGTGAGCCCAGCCAAAATCAGCAGAGCTACCCAGCCAGCCCATCTGACTCAGACTCAGGAGCAATAATAAAAAAGTGGTTGGTGCCACTAAGGTTTTGTGACTGTTGTGCACTTTATTGTGGCAATGGATAACTGACACTATAACTATTAAGAGAAAAGGAAGGAGGACATAGCTGGAGGACACTGACAGATAAAGAGGGCAGTTGAGTCCTGAAGGTATATGTGGAGTCAGAGGGTTTCTGCCCAGGACAGGAATGGTAACCAAGAGTGATGTAAGACCCAAAATCCCACTACTGGAACAGCGTCCTTTTAGACTGTTGACTAATAGGCTGAAGAGGTAAGTTCAAATATATTAATCTGGGGGTGGCAAACTATATCCTGTTTGCATTTGGCCAAATGCAGCCTGCCACCTGTTCCTATAAAGTTTTGTTGGAACACAGCCATGTTCATTGGAAAGTGCCCACTTTAGCACTGCAATGTAGTTGTGTAGTTATGACAGAGACTGTGTGGCCCATAAGCCCTAAAACTCTTACTATATGGTCCTATACAAAAAAAAAATTGCTAACTTGATATAAACAATTAAATTATTTTAACCTAATATTTTCCTTAATGTTTATCAGAAAATGTTTTCTATAAGAGAGACCACATTTTGCTTCAAATCATGCCCTTTTCTCTCTCTACTGTAGTGTTTACAGTGTAAGGATATCCTCGTGGCATTAAAAATTGGTGTGTTTCAAGGGGGTGATTAACAAATAACTGAAAGGATAAAAAGGTGATCCAACCATAATCCCAACAGAGTTAGTCTTCTTCTCACTTATCTCTCTTTCTCTTTGTTTCACTACTTTGGCGGCCATGTTGTTGAGTGTTGAGAAGAGCTAGTCTCACATCAGGCGTAGATAAGGTGAGAAAGTTTCAATGTAACTTTGAAAAAGAAGAAAGGAATAGAAAAGAATTTGATGCATTAATTATAGTATGGGATAAAATGCATCATAATAAATATTTATTTGAATTAAAAGTGAATATTGATAGTATGTACCATGTGTTTTATTAACTGACTTCTGATTTAAAAAAAAAAAAAAAAAAGCTTCGATGTCCATTTGGATTTTGTAATTATAAAAGAGTGTTCCAGATGGGGAGCTGGGGTTACGAGGCTTCCAAGTGACATAGATCTCTGCATAAAGATTTATGCCGGTTATGCTGCTTCAGGGGACATACACAAGAATTTCTGGAAAGTAAAGCCACAGTGGTCTGAGGTTTAAAAGAGGCTAAATGTCCTCCACTCATAAGAAGCAGAGCGGTACAGATTTAGAGTCAAACTCCAACTCTGTACCCACCAGCTATGTGAGCCATCAGTACCTTTGCACCTCAGTGTCCCCATTAAACACTGGAATGATAACACCTTTGGCCAACTTACCTTGTGGGGCATTTGTAAGAATCAAATTAGATAGCATATAAAATGTACATTATAAGAAATAAAGTGTTTTTTTACTTTGATATCTATATATAAATGTATAAGCATATAATATCAGGAATTACCTATGCATAGCAAAAACCTGAATACTGGAAGACGTTTATGGCATGGCCTTTTAATAAATAGAAGATTTCCTTCAGCACATTCCAACAGAAGGGAAAATGTACAAAATAATCTGAACCCTTAATAAGCTAGATTTCTAAAGCTCGTGACTAATTCATATGCAAATCATTGAAAACATCTGCTAGTTGTTTCAACTAAGTTTATGTTGATCACATTTCTAATTGTGGTTTCTTGGTGGGCCAGTTGACTCATACAAGTACATCAATAAACTGACCTCTATAGGAAGTAATTTGGAAATTATTTGGGAACTATTCTGTGATTGATGTCTCCAAAAGTTTCAAATTAGCCTTTAGAAATCTCCTGAGGTATTGATTGCTTTGTAATGTCATCTAAAACAGAGAATAGTGTTTGTTTATGCAAGAGTCTCTGGTTGTGACTGAGTAAAAATGATACCCAGGGCAGGTTTTTAAGCTCTTTGGTGAAAAGGATTCCTGGGATAGGGTTATATTAATGGATATATGTAGAACAACCCAGCCTTATAAAGCCAACCTTATGAAAAGTGCAGAGAATCAGGACGTCCTTGTGCAGCCATTAACTAGGAATGCGATGAGAAATTCACCATCTCTCTGGTCTCCATTTTCTTATCTATGAAATGGGACACCTGGATCCAGTTCTATCCCTAGACCTGGACAAAAGAGACCTTGTCTTGGGCCCCATTCTGTGTCTCCTTAGCTACAACTTCCCTTCCTTCCCCTCCAGCAGGTTAGAGAGACCACAGAGTCAAGGAAATCTGCCTACCTGAAGCTTTTATCCTTTCTAATCATGCTCTGGACCCCTGGGATCCTCAAATTCCCTGTACAAATGGCCACACTCCTACTTCCAGGGCCAGTGTAGACCTCTTCCCTGTGTCCATCCTCTCAATAAAAGTCTACATCCCATTATGTCCACCCTAGGTCTGAAGGGTGACCAAAGGACAGCTTTTGGCAGAGAGTATAGATGGGTTTGCATATGGAGGTTTGTAAATCTACATGTGTACCTGAAGGCCCCATGCAGTGCAGGACTAAGGGATGAGAAGGGGTAGGAGGGACTGCAGCCAGCCTCTCCCATGCCATCACATTCTGGTGTTAAACTTTAAGCAGTCAGAGAATTCCAGATTCAAATCTGGCCCTTCAAGTTGGTATGAAGTTGGTCTTGTCATAGTAGGTGGACAGAACACCTTATTTACAATTTGCCTGCCTGATTTATTACTTCTAAATATTAAGACAATTGGTACTTGGGCCTCCACTTATATTCTTGCCGTAGGCCCCAGAAATTTAGCAGTGTGCCTGCTCAAGGCCATACCTCCCTAATGTCCCTTCCAGCTCCAGGTTATTTCAGATAAAATAAAAATTCTCTAGGACTAGAAGTTTCTCTATTTAAATCTTCAATTTGTTCAAATGTTTCCTTGAACAAATTGCTTAACTTTTTTCTAAACATCACTTTCTCCATGTATAAAAAGAAAAAAATACCTTGCAAGGTAATCATGAGGATGAGATGACATAATTTATTGAAAATTCTGACACATAGTAAGTCCTCAATATATGCTTGCTCCTTGCAATGGATGAAAATGAGACTTAAGGAATAAAATGATTCAGCAGTCACAGGCCTTGGTAATTATCCAAATGAGTTGAAAACTTACCTTCATATAAAAACCTGCACACGGATGTTTATGGCAGCTTTGATCATAATTGCCAAAACTTGAAAGCAACCAAGACGTCCTTTGGGAGATGAGTAGACAAATAAGAATGAGCTTTCAAGTCATCAAAAGACAAGGAGGAAACTCAAATGCATATACCTAATTGCAAGAAGCCAATCTGGCTACATACTTATGATTCCAGACATATGATATTTTGGAAAAGGCAAAACCAAGATGACAATATAAAGATCAGTAGTCGCCAGGGGTTGGGGGAGGGAAGGATGGATAGATAAAGCACAAAAGATTTTTAGGGCAGTGAAACTATTCTATATGATACTACAGTTGACTCTTGAACAACATGGATTTGGACTGTATGGGTCCTCTTATCTGCAGATATTTTTCAGTAAATATAGTCAGCCCTTGTTTAAGCAGGTTCCACACTTGCAACTGATATGGTTTGGCTCTGTGTCCCCACCCAAATATGACCTTGAATTGTAATAATCCCCACGTGTCAAGCATGGGACCAGGTGGAGGTAATTGAATCATGGATCATGGGGGTGGTTTCCTCCATGCTGTTCTTGTGATAGTGGGTGAGTTCTCACGAGGTCTGATGGTTTTATAAGCATCTGGCAGTTCCCCTGCTGGCACTCATTCTCTCTCCTGCCACCCTGTGAAGAGGTGCCTTCCATATGATTGTAAGTTTCCTGAGGCTTCCCCAGCTATGTGGAACTGAGTCAATTAAACCCCTTTTCTTTATAAATTACCCAGTCTTGGGTATTTCTTCATAGCAGCATGAGAACAGACTAACACAGCAACCAAACAAGAATCAAAAATACTGTTGGTGGGATGCAAAACCCACAAGAGCAGACTTTTTGTATTTGAAGGTTCTGCACAGCTGACTGTGGGACTTGAGTATGCCTGGATCCTGGTATCCATGAGCAGTCCTAGAACCAATTCCCCAAGGACACTGAGGGAGACTGTACAATGACATGTCATCACACATTTGTCAAAACCCATAGAATGTGCAACAAGAGGGAAACTAATCTAAACTATGGACTTTGAGTGATGATGGTGTGTCACTGGAGGTCAGCAAATGTCCCACTCTGGTGGGGGAGTTGATAATGGAGAGTCTGTGCATGTGTGGGGAGAGGGGCATATAGGAGCTTTCTGTACTGTCTACTCAGTTTCGCTGTGAACCTAAAACTGCTCTAAAAAAAAGTCTTTTTCTAAAAAAAAGAGAGGTGAAGAAAGTAAATCCTATCATAATGCATACATGCTGCCCCTCATTTCTCCCTCAACAACAATGAGCTTCTGCTAACAGAGGAATTATTCCAAGGATCAATAATAACACTCTTATCTGAAATGAGGAACTTGAGCTCATCAAAAAAAGAAAGTTGTTCAAATTATGAGGCAGATGTTCTTTCCCAGCTGTGTGCAGATAATCTCACCAGCAGTGTCAGACATGGAGTTCCAGAAATACAAAGATGCTAAAACAGCAGTAACTCAGAGCAGAGTTTACAGCAAGGAATTTAACCCTTAGAGGAGAGGGAAGACTGTGCCCTTGCTGGCTATAGAGGCGTTTATCAGTTTTGAACTTGAGCTAGTAGGGTCAATATTTTTTCCAATAACTCTAGTGAGGGGTGTTTGCATACTATCTAAAATAATACGTGGTTTTATTTTTTAAAGTAATCATTATAGAGAATGCATTAGTTAGTCAGAGCTAATGAAATTGTGATCGTGCCAGAATCTCAGTGCCCCTCAGGAACTGAAGTGACTAATCCTCTGTGGAGAGCAGGCTGAACTTAGAGAAAATCCAATTAGGCCGGGCATGGTGGCTCAAGCCTGTAATCCATGCACTTTGGAAGGCCAACGTTGGTGGACTACCTGAGGTTAGGAGTTTGAGACCAACCTGGCCAACATGATGAAATCCCATCTCTATTAAAAATACAAAAAATTAGCTGGGCGTGGTGACGGGCACCTGTAATCCCAGGTACTCAGGAGGCCTGAAGCAGGAGAATCACTTGAACCTGGGAAGCAGAGGTCACGTGAGCTGTGATAGCACCACTGCACTGCAGTCTGAGCAACAAGAGCGAAACTCAGTCAAAAAAGAAAAAAGAAAGAAAGAAAGAAGAAAAGAGAAAACAGAATTTACCAGCCATTTCAGAGCTTTTTTCTGAGGAGAGGGTACTATGGAGTTTTCTGCCCTTCAAATCCTTCAAAACCGTGACATTCAAGGAGAACCCAATTTTCTCCAGATCTATTGCTTAGGATGGTAAGAAAAGAAATACTGTAACTACTGTGCAAAGCACCCAGTGACCTAGTACGTTTCTGTGACTAAGGGAATATCATATGAGTCCTAAACAAGCAGGCATAGAAAGGAGGCCATAACCTCCTTTCTTTTTTTGACTTCAGACTAAATGAAGACAGAATAAACAGGAGCTCAAAAAAGCCAACAAAGACACACCCAAGCATCTCAGATATAGATAAAAATTCAATTAAAGCAATACAGTGCTTCAAGGATGACCCAGGAAATCAACCTAAAATAAGGTGCTCACTTTCATTGGCAAAACTTCTCAGCCTTCCTGTAAAAAACAGTCATTGTGGCCAGATGCAGTGGCTCATGCCTGTAATCCCAGCACTTTGGGAGGGCAAGGTGGGCGGATCACATGAAGTCAGGAGTTTGAGACCAGCCTGACCAACATGGTGAAACCCTGTCTCTATTAAAATACAAAAAATTAGCCAGGCATGGTGTTGCACCCCTGTAATCCCAGCTATTCAGGAGGTTGAGGCCAGAGAATCACTTGAACCCGAAAGGCGGAGGTTGCAGTGAGCTGAGATCGTGCCACTGCCCTCCAGCCTGGACAACAGGGTAAGATATCATTGCTTTAATGATGCATCACTGAGCTGATCTAGTAGGGGTGCTTTTAAGGCTCTGAAGGAAGAAATGAAATTTTTGGCTGCTTAGAATGAGATTATTCCTCATGGGGAATAGGCCCTACATGTTAACACAGGATCTATAATAAACCATGTAAAAACCATATGTTAGCCTCCCTTCCCACTCAGCACTGGTCAAGCTTTTATTAATTGCCCATTTTCTGGCTCAGCAACTGAAGTGTAATACCAAAAATTTGGATGGGGTCCAGGAAAAGAAAACAATGAAAATGATTAGAAAATATTTCCCATGAGAAAATTATAAAGAAATGGGGCTTATTTAGCCCAGAAAAGAAAAAGCTCAAGAGAAACTTAATAATTTTCTTTAAATAGATAAAGGGCTAATGTAAGAGTGACATGAACATGATTATTTTTACTGATAGTTTAGAAGATTATATCCAGCAGAAAAAAAATAAGTTAGATATTAGGAGAACTTGCTAAGATCTTTGATCCATTAAAAATTATGGAAGATCAGGAAAAATATTTTAATAGGTATTTAAGAAATGAACCCTCTAGTGATACCCTACAGCTTAGGGGGAAGATACATGAGATGAGTTTCTAGGAGTTCAGTTTCTAAAATATTAAAATGATTTTAGGACAAATAGCTCAGTAATACCTCAGGTATATCTTCAATATCAGTCTGCTAATGAACCACTCATGTCCATAGGAATACCAAGGATTAAAAAAAGGTTCACCTCTTGCATAAATAGTGCAAATTAGAGTCAAGTAAATAAACAACACAAGTTTAGGCAAAGCAATTAAAAGTACTATCACTGTGGTGATTTATTAGTAATATCCCAAAAATGACACTCAAACATGATTTTTAAAATTCATCACTAGTCCTTAGCCAAGCTAAACCTCTACTTCAATCACATCCACTAGCTCTTTCCAATAGCTCAGAACATTTAAGAACCTTTAAAGTCAAAGATTTCTGCCTGACTTATTCTAGGTAAGATTTCCCCTTGACCTTGCTACCCCATCTAACCTGAGCTTATGCCTACTGACTCACTCCTTTCCATCTTCATCCCTCATCACAGTGGAAGTGCAAGAAAACAAATGCAAAAATCCTAAAAGCAGCTAAAGAGAAAAGACAGATTACCCACGAAGAAATGACAATTAGACTGAGTAAGACTTCTGCACGGCAACAACAGAAGGTATGGGCCAGTAGAAGAATATTCCAAAGCTATCGATCTATAATTGACTCAGCTAATTATAAAGGCATTTTTTAAATAAAATAAAACTGAACAAGTCTATCACCAATAGAATCTCACTAACATTTATCAACAATATGTTTTAAAAACATAATTGAACCTAGAAAAACCACAATGCAATAAGGAACTAAAAGTAAGCTGCTTCTCACCTAGCTAGTGGATTACACCAGGAGCATCTGTAAACTACCTGCACATGGAAAGACCCTGCCTAAGATTGGACTCAACAGGAGAAAAGTATAGGAGGGAGAAGAAGAGAGAGACTCAGCCTGGAGTCCTAGAGTAAGCCATTTCCCTTGGCATTTTTAGCCATATGAGGCAATAAATTATATATATATATATATATATTTATATTTTAAAACCAAAAGGAGAGAATGTGAAACAAAAATTATATGTATACTATGACAGAGTGATTTATAAAATGAAACATACAGGATAAAAATTGAAAAGAAATATAAATATAAAAATAATTTTGTTTGAGTCATGAATTAAAAAGTTTTTTTGTTGCTTGAGGACAATTGGAAAAGAAGAAAGGCAAAAGGAAGGGGAAGAGCAAGAGGAGGAGAAACAATCTAATATAAATATCCAAAATGAAAGAATGTAAATGTATAGTGGTGGTAAGGAAAAGAGAAGAATAGGCGGGGCATGGTCGCTCACGCCTATAATCCCAGCACTTTCGGAGACTGAGGTGGGCAGATGACCTGAGGTCAGGAGTTCAAGACCAGCCTGACCAACATGGTAAAATCCCGTCTCTACTAAAAATAAAAAAATTAGCCGGGCATGGTGGCATGCCTATAATCTCAGCTACTCAGGAGGCTGAGGCAGGAGAATTACTTGAACCCAGGAGGCGGAAGCTGCAGTGAGCTGAGATTGCACAATTGCACTCCAGCCTGGGCGACAGAGCAAGACTCTGTCTTCAAAAAAAAAAAAAAAAAAAAAAAGAGAAGAATAAAAGACAGCTCCAGCTTCTGGCTCCAGCAACAGAGGTGTTACATTAGTAGAGACGATGAGAACTAAAGGAGAAGTAGGTTTTGAAACCAAAAGTCAAAAGTTAAGATTTAAAAATGTAAAATCTTTCTGACTGGAAAAGTGAAATAAATGGAAATATAAGTCTATCTAAAGAAAGGCAAGAACTGAAGCTGGGGCTAGGTGTGGTGGCTCATGCCTCTAATTCCAGCATTTTGGGAGGCCGAGGTGGGTGGATCATTTGAGGTCAGGAGTTTGAGACCAGCCTGGCCAACATGGTGAAACCCTGCCTCTACTAAAAATACAAAAATTATCTGGGCGTGGTGGCAGGCACCTGTAGTCCCAGCTACTCAGGAGGTTGAGGCAGGAGAATCGTTTGAACCCAGGAGGTGGAGGGTGCAGTGAGCCAAGATCATGCCACTACCCTGCAGCCTGGGGAAGAGAGTCAGACTGACAAAAAAAAGACAGAAAGGAAGGAAGGAAGGAAGGAAGGAAGGAAAGAAGGAAGGAAGGAAGGGAGGGAGGGAGGGAGGGAGGGAGGGAGGAAGGAAGGAAGGAAGGAAGGAAGGAAGGAAGGAAGGAAGGAAGGAAACTGAAGCTGGAAAATTGAGAGTATTGTCAGTATTTGGAGTCACTACAAGGAGAGGGTTACAAAGGGATGGTTTGGGGATGATTCAAGTGCATTACATTTATTGTGCACTTTATTTCTATTATTATTACATTGTAATATATAATGAAGTAATTACACAACTCACCAAAATGTAGAATCAGTGGGAGCCCTGAGCCTGTTTCCCTGCAACTAGACAGCCCCATCTGGGGGTGATGGGAGACAGTGACAGATCATCAGGCATTAGATTCTCATAAACAGTATGCAACCTAGATCCCTCACATGTGCAGTTTACAATAGGGTTCATGCTCCTATAAGAATCTAATGCTGCTGCTGATTTGACAGGAGGCAGAGCTCAGGTGGTAATGTGAGCAATGGGGAGCAGCTGTAAATACAGATGAAGCTTTGCTCACCTGCCCACCACTCACCTCCTGCTATCTGGCCTGGTTCCTAGCAGGCCACAGACCAGTATTGGTCCATGGCCCAGAGATTAGAGACCCCTGGGTTAAACCAAGTGGGCCTAAAGCTGCTACAGTCCATTTCTAGAAGTCAAGTCTACAGGCTTTGGACAGTGGTTTTTCTTAATTCTCAGAGGCCCTGCTTACTTTTTTCTAAGTTTTAAGTATTCTTGAAAGGGCTAGGCTTCCACATATTACTTATGAACCCTTTATCTCCATTCAGATACAGACTCTAGTTGCTGATCCAAGTCTAGCAGCTCACATCATTTTGTGGTGTTGTCTCTTTCTGGGAGATACCAGAAAATGATGCCAAGAATTCCCACAGTTGCTATAGACCTTTCAGCTGGGTCCCCGGCATTGTCTTTATCCATGAGAACCCACACAGAATTACATAAAAACTTAGGATCTTTCAAACTTGAAGACACCATCAAAATACATTCCAGGAGTCGGTCAAGTCTTAAATTTAGTGACACATCATAAACCACCCTGAACTTGTCTCTATGACAAGCAGAGATCTGAATATTTGATCAGTGATTCTCCAAGTCTGGTGCCCAGAGCAGCAACAGCAACAATAGCATCGGCAACATCTGGGAAACTGTCGGAAGTGCACATTCTTGGCCCTTCCCCAGCCCTGCTGAATAGAAACTCAGGGAAGGGGCAGCCATCTGTGCTTTAACATGCCCCTCTCCCCAGGTGATTCTGATGCTCACTAAAATTTGAGAGTCACTGAATAAGATTTTGATAATACATAAGTAGATCATCCTGTAACAGAACCAAAGGCTGTGAAATGGGCTTGGAATGTTTAAGGAACATTTCTCAGAGAACAATTATATAACCAAGGGTATAATGCCTATTGTTAAGTTATTGTGTGATGAGAGAGCTGGGTGACTCCTTGGTGGAGATTTCAGACTTAAGGAACAATAATGTAGTACCATGGTAAAGAGATGAACAGTCACCACAATGGTAGGCATCTCACAAACCTCTCATTCCCTGGGAAAGGATGAGTAATGATTCTTCTTTCAGAAAGGGGAAGCTTTAAGCTTTAAAAAACAACAGTGGCTAATATTGCTAGTGTGAAATATAAAGAGTAAAAAGAAACAGCTCCAAAAAACACCAGCACTGACTGGTAATTCTGTTCTGTCTTGGTTGTTCCCTTTTGAAGGGTCACTGAGAGACACTTGTGTTTTTTACACCAAGGTTGACAGGAGCCACCAAAGAAGAATACTGAGTGATTAAAAAAAGAGGAATGAACTATTTCTTGCGGTCCTTCTGCATCACACCCACAGCACACAAGCTGAGCACAACAGTATCTCAAGGCTCAGAAAGGTCATCCAACAGGCTCCAACCTGATTCTCAAGGGGACCCAGGCTGATTAATGTGACCCATCTCCTGCTTTTAAAATGCACTGATTTTCTTTCTCTACTATTTCCACAAACTTTTAAAAGATATAATGAGTATAATAAATAATAAGCACATACGGCATAAAATATGAAATTACTTCTGCCAAACAGGAAAAGTATAACCTGTATTGATAAACTTGAGCTATTACAAAGAACCAAAAAGTAGACGAGAAAAAAGGGATAGTCTCTTGGGAAAGTATTAATTGTATGATACACTGGGTTGAGATATCCTGGTCACTCTTCATTTAAAAAATGCTCCACTCTCTAATTCTTTGTTTTGGAAAGTTAAAGAGGAAAGTCCATCCAATTTTACTGCATTTTTTTTTTACTTTTTCTTAACCTTTCAAAGACTGCTTGGCCTGCTTATACTCTTGGTCTTAGGCTAAATTAAGGCTAAAGAAACATAAAATATCTGTTCTTACTCCTAATCTCAGATGACTTTTTGTCACCAACCTTTATTCCTTACTCCAATCTTATCCACTCTTCCTGAATCTGCTGAAATTCTTTACTATAAGTGTAATCCAAAATTATCCCACCCCTGAATTTGAAGTAACCATTGTCTGCATAATTTATTTGACATTTAGTCATGTACTTGTTTTATCACATCTCTTCTCTCATTGATTTCCCTGTATTCTGGGGTATTATTTATACAATACCTTCAAGAACTCCAAACTGTTTATTATACAATTTTTGTCTCACCACGTTTGAACCTACCTACAGAATTGTTAGGCTTTGCCTACCTGCACAAATTCCAAATACTCTGACTGAAATAATTACTCATTTCATTCTAACTTGTCAGTTTAGTCTTTTGTTTTAAATCAAGCTTTCTGGGTTAACCTTTTGCCTCAGCTCCATTTAACACTGGACTAGGCACAGAGGACACAAAATGAATATAATAACAGATGCCAAAAAGCAGTTCACTGTCCACAGAAAAATGAATCTGTCTAAGCCAGCTCTGCTACAAAAATGCAGAAGTGGTAACAATGGACAGAGAAAATAAATAAATGTCAGTGCCTGGAAGCTCTCTATACAAAGTATGTCTGGCTGGGAGGAGAGGAGAAAGAAAGAGCAAGAAAAGACTAGGTGAAGGCTCTGAATGGAATGAGAAAAGGACCCTTATGATTATGGGTTGGTGCTGATTCCTATTAGAGCATAGCATAGTCAGAAGCTGAACATCACTAAGTTGAGCATCACTCGGTGTACTGAAGTCTCAAACAGCTACTCTCCCCTCTGAAAAACTAGTCCCTTGCTGTAGAGAACTCATGCTTGGATTACTGTGATAGCCTGTTAGCAGCTCCTCCTCTGCTTTCTATTTCTAGCAGTAATTGGTTCAAAATGCAGCTGCAACTCTAATTTCTAGTCCATCTCCCAAGCTGCTCACATGACTTTCATTTTCTAATAAACATTTTTCTCTTTTACTTTATGAAATGGGCTTAAGGCATTAATTTTTTCTATCCCAAGTCCTTCTATAATTTACCTGAAAATAATTAAATGACTCTATACTCATTCTACTGCTAAGCCCAAAGGTGAGATTCAGAAGTGGTTCCTGTAAAAGATTTGCATCTGGGTTTAGGGCTACATCCAGTTCTGAGTTTAAGGTTCTAACCAGTTCTACTTTGCCAAGTGGAAAGCAAAATCATCTAATACTGGGTGTCAAGAGTGTCTTGCAGCACTCTCAAATGCAACACCACATACCACACAGTAATATCATTTCCATCTCTCCCCATCCCCTGCTGCTATTATGTCCAGACCAAGACTATAAAGCAGAAGATTCCAAATAAACCATGCAGGAAATAGAAAGGATATGAACTTCAGAGTCAGGCCAATCTGGTTTTAAACTGAGCTATTGGATTCTCTCATTCTTTCATTAATACATTTATTCAGTAATTATTGAGCACCTGCTATATGCCAGGAAGTCAAATGGATGCTGGGCCAGAATGATGAGCAAGATGCCCTCCCTCCCTGCTTTTGGGGCAGGCAGGACAGGTGATCATTTCAAGAGAGCACAATGGGTGCCTTGATGTTGAAAAGCAGAGGGAGCTCTGAAAGCACAGAGAGCACTTGGTGGAATTGCAAAGAGGAAGGCTTCCCAGCCAACACCCTGCCTGGGTTGAGCATGAGAGGAAGAGTAGGCGCTGGACAGCAACTTAGGTGTAGAAGAATGTTCCAGGCATGGGGGGAAGAGGTACAGAGACTCCAAGGATGAGAGAGCACAGCAGGATGGGGAAATGCAAGAAGTCCAATGGGGCTAAAAAATGAAGAGTAGGAAAGGGTCTGGCAGAAAATGAGGTGGAAATAAGACCTTATTTGTTATCCTAATGTGTCTGGAAGAAACTGTGAAAACTGTGGATAGCTATTGAGCAGAAAAAGAAAAGACAGAGTCAGAGTTTTGTATTTAAAAGGCTCAGCTTCACAGGTGTATAGAGAAGAAATTGGAGGGAAAAAGAGACTCAGGAAAAAGAAGTCATTTGGGAGGTTGTTGCTATAAATGAGGTTACAAAGGTTAAGGATCTAAACTAAGGCTCTGCAGTAGGGACACAGAGGAGAAGATGTATGTGAGAGAGAGTTGGGAACTAGGATTGAAGAACCTGGAGACAAGTTGAAAGAGAGGAGTTAAAAAGTAGAAGGGAAGAATGACGCCAGGTTTCTGGCTCATGCAGTAGTGTTGTCCCTAAGAGGAACTCCTGAAGGCTGTGTCTATTTTGGACAATGAGCTCAATTTTGGATGTGTTAAGCTGGAGATGCCAGTGACACAACCAAATGCAGGAAGTCAATGGGCACTGGGCTAACTTGTCTGGAGCTCAGAACAGACATGTGGGCAGAGCACACAGATATGAGAATCATTAGCATATAACTGGTGAGTGAAGGCATGTGGCAGATAAAATTGCTCAAAGGAGGGTATATACAGAGAGAAAAGAGGAAAATATTAGTATTTAAGAAATGTCCAGAGGAAAAGGAGCTCACAAAAAATCCCATGAAGGAGCTTCTGGAGAACCATGAGGGGGAAGTGTTTCCTCCATAAAACGCAAATAACAATGTATGCCCTACAGGTTGTTACATGAGTTAGACAATGTATGGGTGTAAATCAAATATAATTTCCCTGAAGACCAAGTATGTAATGGACACTTGATGAATGGTAGGTTTTGTCATCATTAATATTACTGTTTATAGTAAAAATAATACACGAAATTTCCTTAGGTGTTAGGTAGATGTCTGGTTTTTATAACCCTTCTTAACACAGTTAGATCAACTCTGCACATCTGTAGCATAGCTTATAATTCTCAAGGGTGGAAACTTCCAAATGAAACATGCGGCTGGGCACAATAGCTCATACCTGTAATCCCAGCACTTTGGGAGGCCAAGGTGGGCAGATCACTTGAGGTCAGAAGTTTGAGACCAGCCTGGCCAACATGGTGAAACCCCATCTATACTAAAAATACAAAAGTTAGCCAGTGCATACCTGTAATCCCAGCTACTCAGCAGGCTGAGGCAGGAGAATCACTTGAACCCGGGAGGTGGAGGTTGCAGTGAGCCAAGATCGCACCACAGTACTCAGCCTGGGCAACAGACTGAGACCATCTTCCAGGCAGTTTATCTGAAACAAACCAATGGAAGCATAAACTTCTGAAATAAAAGTATGTAGTTTAATAAATAGGTTTACTCTTCTGTAACTGCATGTGGCAAGTTCTTGGAAATAGCAAGGTAAACACATAAGGTTGATAAAATTTGGGAAAAGGAAAAATGTAAAGGATATATTAGCCACCAGAGAAATTGTTAGAAGTAGCCAAGGAATTGTCTATAAATATGTGGCTGAGGGGTTTGGAAGCACCTTGTTTAATCTAAGATGCAGGGCACATAGCATTCAATAATCACTGGATGAATCCGTGAGTGTGAGAGTCTGGTATACCAAACCAACTGTTGGATCTCTCCACCTGGGCTTCCCATGGACATCTAACACTCAACCTATAAAGCACACCTTCTTGCCTTTCCCCTCAAATCTGCTCACTTTCCTACTTCCCCAAGTAGCTCAATGTCATTATCGAACCAGCCAGATGAAGACTCTGGGCTCTGCTCCCTCCCTCACTGCCAAATCACCACATCTCATCTGTATTAGTGAGAATTCTCTAGAGGGACAGAACTAATAGGAAAGATGTATATATGAAGGGGAGTTTATTAGGAGAATTGACTCCACGATCACAAGGCGAAGTCCCACAATAGGCCATCTGCAAGCTGAGGAACCAGGAAGCCAGTCCGAGTCCCAAAACCTTTAAGTATGGAAGCTGATAGTGGAGCCTCTGGTCTGTGGCCAAAGGCCTGAGAGCCCCTCACAAATCACTGGTGTAAGCCCAAGAGTCCAAAAGCTGAAGAACTTGCAATCTGATGCTCAAGGGCAGGAAACAACCAGCACAGGAGAAAGATGGAGGCCAGAAGCCTTAGCCAGTCTAGTCTTTCCACGTACCCTTGTCTGCTTTTATTCTGACCATGTTGCAGCTGATTAGATTGTTCCCACCTGGATTAAGAGTGGCTCTGCCTTTCCCAGTCCACTGACTCACATGTTAATCTCCTTTGGCAACATCCTCACAGACAAACCCAGGAACAATACTTTACAACCTTCAATCCAATCCAGTTGACACTCGATATTAACCATCACAACGTCCCTGCTACATCCCGATAGCACTCCATTCTCCACCTGAAGTCAGAATGGTCCCCCTCAAATCCCAGTATTTCCCACATTACTCCCCTGCTCAGTACCTCCAATAGCTCCCCATCACTGCAGGAAAAATTCCAGACTCTTTGATGGCATAAAAGACTCTCCACAGGCCAGGTGCAGTGGCTCAAACCTGTAATCCTAGCACTTTGGGAGGCCGAGGCAGGTGGATCACTTGAGGTCAGGAGTTCAAAACCAGCCTGGCCAACATGGTGAAACCTTGTCTCTACTAAAAATACAAAAAAATTAGCCAGGCATGGTGGCGGACACCTGTAATCCCAGCTACTTGGGAGGCTGAGGCAGTAGAATCACTTGAACCTGGGAGGCAGAGGTTGCAGTGAGCCAAGATCGTGCTATTGCACTCCAGCCTAAGCAACAGAGCAAGACTCCATCTCAAAAATAAATAAATAAATAAAATAACAAAGATAAATATTCGTATAAAATTTTTCAGCTTTGGGCATTAGAGTACTAACTTCACAATTCTTGCTATATTCTGTATCATTTGTGCCATTAATTTTTTCTCATCAACCAATTTTTTTACATTAATGAATTTATTGTAACAGAAAAGTAATAACACTCATGAAGTCTTGCATTCAAGATGTGAATTCTTTTTGAAAATAAATGCAGAATAGTAAGACAAAATATGTTCATCTCTCTACCACTTACTGTTAGCATTTCACATACCACACCTTGAGAGACTGTGTGAGGTTTGGTAGAGAAAACCAAATGTGAAGATCCCTTTGCCAAACTGGTAACAACTGAGATCTCTGTTGGTGAGGTGGGAATGGGATATTAGAAAGACATTTCTTCTTCTCCATTATAAATATCTGGGATATTTGGATTTTTATAATGAGCACATAGTACCTTTCTACTTAGGAATTAATGAATATTTATTCCAAGTTTTCTCTGTCTTAGATTATCTGTCAGAGAAACAAATATCACACTAACTAGACCAAAGAAGATGTGAAGGAACTGCAAATGAATCACTTTTTAAATGAGGCCCATGCTGTGCTCTAGCTGCAAGGTGATCGCTGTCATCTAAATGTCAAAGGCAGGATTGATCTGTGATCGTGAACGACACAATGAGTCTGTGTGCATGGGCAATTTGGCAAGTGACTGCCATGCTGCTTCCCACAGCACCAGCACTTATTCCAGTTCCTGGCCCAGAAGTCACTGGATAAAATAGACTCCTGTCACCAACGGTGGGGATCTGCTGTCAACCTAAGACTGCAGCTCTAGAGGGAATAAAGGCATTCACTGCTGCCCCTGGAAGATCATAATCTTGAATGCTCAGGTTGGTAAAATCAGGGCCTGTGCCAATTTAGAGGTAGAGAAGAAGGGATGAATGGAACAGGAGGAGTGGAAGGCATGGTGGATTGAGTTTGCGCAGCACCTTGCCACCCTTTATGCTATGATCCCTTCACAGAGGAACCCAGAGATCAGCATTCTCCATTCATGCAGCTCTTCTTCCCTCCCTAGGCAGATGACTCTGCTCCATTTGCTATATCTCCAACCTGAAATCGTGTAGTAAATAGCAGTGACAATGCAGCGGGAAGGGATGTGTCTGTTTATCTAACTCTATCTGTTGGCATCCAGAAATCTTACTCTACAGTGCATGCCGCCAATAATTGTTATTATGTAAAGGCAACATTCTGGATCAAATTTCCCTGGTAGATGAGTGCAGCTGAAAAATACATAATCCAAATTTGTTTCCACCTTGATTAAACTTTCCTTTACTTACACAATGAGAGACCCACAAGAAGTCAGTACGATTCTGGCAAGTGACCAAAGATGAATGTGTAAGCATCGCAAACACTGCCAAACACCTAGAAAACACTGGCAATTACACAATCAAACAGAGATGCTAAAAGAAATTTTAATAATTGTTATATAACATACTGTGCAGCTATTCCATGAAATCTACCTCTGTATAATAATTATTAAAGTATCTAAGTCTTGAAATGTATGATAAGAATATAGTAGTTTTTTGGGTATAATTTCCATAAAAATGCATAAGTGAAACAAATTACTAAAATAAGAAACAGGAGGTGTTCTATACATACTGTTGTCATCATATGAAATTACTCTATTAACTAAATTAACCTGACATTGTCACCCTGAAAAGCAAAATCAAGACAAAACTAATTCTTCTCAAATTTAATAAACAAATAAAACGTTGGCCTCTCTCTGACTTACTATAGCACAAGAAGGCAACCTTCAGCTTCCAGCTACCTCTGGTACTCAGCTGCATTGCTCTGGACAGGAAAGTAATTCTAAAGACAGGAAGGCAAATCCTACATTTGTGCTCAGGGTTACAAAAATGATACCTGACTTCAAAAAATCCCAAGCCCAAATTTACAGAATCTGAAACTTTGTGGATGGAGGCCAAGCAATCTGGGTTTTAACAAGTTCTCCAGATGATTCTGATCCATATTAAGGTTTGCCATAAGGAAAGTAGTCCAAGGCTTATCTCTGTTCTCCTCCCAGTGTCCTTTGTAGCTCCCTACCTAGTCCCTAATCATCCCCAAGGAGATGATGCGGATTCGTCAGACATGAGAACACTAGGTGGGCCATGTTTACCAGTAGGTGGGGGTCATTTTGCATTAAAAGGTCAGTTCCCAGACATAGTTCTCTGCCTTCTGTCTCTTCCACCCATGAATCCAGAGTGGCGAGTTTTCTTAACAAAATGAGTCCTGCAATCAGCATTCCCTTTTAGATGTTTTCTCTCCAGAAGACAGAGATCTTGGCTAAACCAAGTAAAGGCCTATGCACTAAACTAAAGTAAAGGCCTATGCACTAATAATATTATTTAATTCCCTTTTACAAAAATTACTAAATAAGTATATTTTTTCAAAATGAAACAAAACTTATTGTATGCTTATATTAGAAGTATCTTTCCAAATTTTTCTAGAAATATTCAAAAAAATTGACTTTTTCTCTCTTTATCCCAGCACATATTTAGTCTTCCCATACAGTACCTTAGCCTGGCCCTGCAGAGAAAAACCAAGGTTATCAAGCAGTCTCTACCAGTTCCGCTGGATGCACATAGCATGGATTCCTTCTCCAGCACAGGCCATGTGTGTGTTGGATGGTCCTTTCCTGATGGTAAGTTTGAAGATTCAGGAGTGAACTTCAGGACACAAAACAGAAGATGCGCACAAGCTTTGGAAAGATGAGCTTCAGGAGGTCCTGCTCAGCTTCTCAGCAGTTGGTACTTGGGTCCAAAGCTACAGCAAACAATAAGGTAGTACTTTCCCTCCTACTCATGGACAATTGTCTCCTTGTGTATTATATTTATTTTTCTCAAAAACTAAATGGAAGCAGCAGTTGATTATGGACATTCTTGTGTTCCAATTCCTCCATCACTTCTAACAAACAAGTAGTAAACCTGATGCTCTGGACACCTAACAGAAATGTAAAAAAATATGGGACACAGTACATGCAAAAGAGCTTTGACTCTTTTAGAAGAAAGCTGCTACCTAAACCCAAGGGATCCTCCTGATAACCCATACTGGGAATTACAGTTTTCACAATGTCAAAGATATAGAACTAGTGACTTCTACACACCCACTCTTCACAATAACAGTAAGCAGTGATGTGTTCTTCCTCCCTACAAAAGTACTTCATCATTATGTTATTTATTCTAGCTCCTGGAAGGATACACACCTCCCTCAGCTTCTTGGCTTCCTACTGGCCATGATGTTCACTGTGTACACAGTCAAAAAGAACTCCTGAAAGCCACTGGAACACTCATCTATAGGTACTCCACTAAGCAACTTTCTAAGTCTCTCTGATCAAGCCACTGCTACCATGTGCGCAATGATGCCGCAGCAAGGATAGGCCAGTCATAGGAGTGTGTCCAGTATGCCTGCTGGCATTTCTTCCATTCCAAGCCCTTCTTGACCCTCACAGAGGGGACACAGGCTCTGAAGACAGAGAGGTGACTGATATGTTTACAAGAATTGTTTGTGAGCCAGGAGGCTCTTGGATTTCTTCACTGCTTTAGCTGAAAGATTCTGCAGAAAGATTATTTCAGGGCACTCACTGCCATCTGGGGTTACGTAATAGCAATCATCCAAATAAGTGATTATTTACATTTTTATGCAAAATCATCAAAGCCCAATTCCTGGTCTGAGAGAGGGAAGGGGACGGAAGGATTTGAAGTTTCTGTCTTCGGTAGCTGACAGCTTATTATTAACAAAGGCAAGATGTCAAAGATTTGATTTTGTGTCACCCCTTTCACTGACTTCATACCCAAGCAAATGCATTTGGCAACCTCGAATCAGAGCACTAGGACACCTGCCTGCCATTTCCAGTTCAGGAAATGGAGTTATAGTCTAAGTCTGGATGAGCCTGAGCTCATTTCAGAGGGGAAGGTAGCAAGCTGGAAAGGACACTTGCCTGCAGTTAGCTCAGATTTACAGTGTTTATTGGAAATAAATGCTCACAGTCTAGTGTGTTTAGGTGTGTAAGCAGAGGTGGCTCCTAGGCAGAGTAGGACAGCAGACATCTGTCCAGGATAGGCATTAGGCTAATTGGGATAGGGAGTGGGGTGACAAGGAAGGGCTGCAGTTCTCTGACAAGCTCATAGTCAGTGAGGCACAGAGCTCCTATGTCTAGAGGCACTTGAGGCTGCCATGGGGCCATCTTCACACTTGCATATTCAGCTGGAAGAATTTTCATAAGTAATCAATGATCCCTGTCTCCACTGATGTACTTGTATGTAGAATGCCATAAATTATGTTCTCTTCCAGATTTTCTGATCAGTCAGAAATGTGGTTACTCCTAGTCATTTCCCTGGCTTTATAGCATAAAGAAAAAGAGTTTTCAGGAATTGGAATCTTATTTACATATAAAATGGAATTTGTCAGAGGAAAAAACTTGGAGATCTTAGCTGTCCACAAGATCAATAAGTGCCAAATATATGATGGAGTTACAAAACATAAAATAACTAAAGGAATCTTGAAGCGCATTCTCATTTCCAGAAGGATAATGTATGAAATATCAGTGGTGATATTTCCATTTTTCTGGCACTTTGTTCTTTTCCAAGTGCCTCATTTTAAAAGAGTCACTACATCAGTTAGGATGCCTTTGAGAAAGGAGAAAGGAAAAAACCCAGTCAGGCAGGCAGTTAGGGTGGGTCCTCAGTTGAATCCTCTCAAACAAAAGAACAGCCTACAGGCAGAGATAAGGGAACTTGTACAGGGGGGCTTGATGTACAGATAAGAAAGGCTACACAGGTGACTTGCCCAGACATGCCCACAATGGAAAATTCCATCCTCACACATGCACAATAAGAGGAACAAAGCAATATGGAATAACTCAAGCTAAGGACACACATGCACATAAGGAGTATGGGGTGGAACTACCCGAAATTCGCACCTTATGCAAATGAGATGCCCAGCACTCATTGGTTTCCTATAAAAGCCTTTGCATTCAACTGTAAAAATGGCAAGCCTATTCCAGGTCCCGTCTCTGCAGTGGAGAGCTTTCTCTCTTTCTTTCACTTATTAAACTTCTGCTCTAACCTCACCCTTGGTGTTTCTGTATTCTTGCTTTCCTCCGCCATGAGATTTCAGGTGGCACCCCAGACAACAAGGTCATTTCACCTTCAGCCACTGGTAACTGAAAACTCTAACTAAAATTACCAAAGATGACAACGATATGTGATAAGTTATAAAAAAATAAATAAACAGTTCGGAAATCTGACACACTGATTTCTGCGATTCACTTGGCTTTGTTCCTCCCCATGTGTTTGCTTCATCCTCCAGCTTGTAGCCAGATAGCTATGAGCATTCTGGGCTCCACATCCAGACACAGTAAAGTCCACAGGCAGAAAGGTATCACCTTTCCAGGTGTCTCCTACTTAGGAGTGAGGAAACATCTCCCAGAAGCCTCCCCTCCCCCTAGAAATCTCTTCTTGCATCTTACTAACCAGAACTGGTTTTCAACACCATACCTAAAGCAGCCACTGGCAAAAGGACTGAGATTGCCAATACTTTCAAAGACTAACCAGAAGCCACTGCAAGGTCTAGAAGTGCTGATGGCTTCCTGAAGGACATGGACATGTGAAAGCGGGATGGATGTCTCAGAAAATGCAGGACTCTGTTAGGAAGAAGAAGGCAGAAAACAGCTATTGCACAGACTACTAGCAGTACCTGCTGAAGGCATTCATCAACTGTACTACATGCAAGGGAGGACAATAGAAATATGTTATAAGTGACACATCTCTTTTTCAATTCAGAACACACTTCAAAGGTAAGGTTTGCAACTAAAGGTCTCAGAAAGATGAGAATCCGCTCATCAGATACTGCTTAGCAGAGGATAAGAGCAGAGACCTTCAGGCCTGGTCAAAGCATGTGCAGCTCCTGCCACCATGAGGACCTGCAGCGCAATGACCTCCGAGGCAGCAAGGATGAGCCCTGCGGCTTTTCCCCTTCAAGACCTCAAGACATATCCTGTGAAGGTTCTTACCAATTAAATCATATAAAAGCAATGGTTGGAAAAACAGGAGTTGTGTAGCTCAAAGAAAGAAGAAAATGGGGCCCAGTTTCTGCCTTCTAGACTCTAAAATACTGCCCTGGCCACACCTAGTGTCTTATGCCTGTAATTCCAACAATTTGGAAAGCAGAGGCAGGAGGATTGCTTTAAGCCGGGAGGTAAGAGACCAGCCTAGACAACATGATAAGACCCTGTCTCTACAAAAAATAAAAATTAAAAACTAACATGCAACTGTAGTCCTAGCTACTTGGGAGGCTGAAGCAGGAGGATCGCTTGAGTCCAGGAGTTCAAGGCTGAAGTGAGTTATGATCATGCAACTGCACTCCAGCCTGAGTTACAGAGCAAAACCCTATCTCAAAAAAATAAAAATAATAAAATAAAATATTGGACTGTCTTGTATAGTTCTGGAGGCAAAAACCAGATACTGTGAGTAGAAGTTTCAGGGAAAGGACTTTCAGCTCAATATAAAGTTGAGGTTTAGAATTCTCCAATAACAGATGGAACTCAAGTGTAAAGCAGAGAGGTCCCTGTTATTAAAGGAGCTCAAGTATGTCTAGTGGCAAGGAAGCTTTTTAATAACAATATGACAGGACTGACAGTGCTAGTAACTTGTAATGCTGAATGAATACTTGGATGATTGCCATATATAACATGCATTTACTTAACTTTCTCAAATCTGAAAGAGTTGTTTTTATTAAAAGTTATAACCAGGAATCTCCTCTCCATTAATGAAGTTAGGGCATGAGTTTATTTCCGCTGTATGAATAAGGTACAAAGTAATGGCCAAACCAAACTCATCTTCCCCCAAAGTCAGCACCTGCTCTTGACCTATCTCATCCACCATTCTTGTCACCCAGGAGTAAGGCCTTAGAATCAGAGCTCCTTTCCTCTTCCTCCTGACCTTCTTCCAATACACCTCTCATATTCATCACTTCTGACTGCCCCCCATGCTGGTTCAGAGGATAATTATTTATCCTTTGAACTTTTGCAGTAACCTCCTAACTTGTTTCTCTGGCCCAAATGCACAAAGCAAACTGCAGCAACATGAACTTCCCAAACTGCGGCTCCAATGACATTACTCACCTGCTCAAAAACTCTATCAGATGAGGACAGCCAAACCTCCAGAAAGACACATTATCTGAGCATAGCAGACAGGGTCTAGCTAAAGTACCACTCCCACCCTTAAAGGAAGGAAGGGTCTTCAAAATGTCTGTCCAGCAGGATTTCAGAAGTGTTAAAAACCAGTGACTGATCTAAGCCTGCATTCTTCCCTCTTCCAAGTGGAATTATAAAATGGCCTACAACTAAAGGGAACAAATATCTTGTCT
Source organism: Homo sapiens (assembly GCF_000001405.40). NCBI lineage: Eukaryota > Metazoa > Chordata > Mammalia > Primates > Hominidae > Homo > Homo sapiens. The sequence continues at coordinate 115,035,516 of NC_000005.10, forward strand.
CTTTAATTCATAGCAAAGAGGAATCAATGTGAACTAATATAAACTTGTAAATTACCAGAAACTACCAGACTTTGAGCTGGATGGAGTGACTGGCCTTATCTTTGGACTGTGTCTCTTGGGGAGATATGTTCTGTTCTATTGTTAAAAGAAAGGCATACAGAGCAGAGACAATTTCATATATTGACCAAAGCTCAGTTTATGTCCCTTTTCCTGAGCAAAAAGGAAGACCACACTTCCCAGCCTCCTTTGCAGTTGGTTGGGGCAATAAAACTGGAGTTTATGCAATAGAATGTTTGCAGAAGTCAAATAAGACATTTCTAACTCTGACTCTTAAAAATATATTGCATGAAACAATTCAAAAGTTATCGGAAGACAAGAAACAACTAAGATCAGAGCAGAACTGAAGGAGATAGAGATGTGAAAAATCCTTCAAAAAAATCAATGAATCCAGGAGCTGGTTTTTTGAAAAGATTAAGAAAATAGATAGACCACTAACCAGATTAATAAAGAAGAAAAGAGAGAAGAATCAAATAGACACAGTAAAAAATGATATAGGGAATATCACCACTGATCCCACAGTGTCAAGACCAGCTCAGTTGTGGAAACCCTAATCCAGTGGCACTAGAGGAATTAAAGACACACACACAGAAATATAGAGTGTGGAGTGGGAAATCAGGGAACTGACAGCCTCCAGAGCTGAGAGCCATGAACAGAGTTTTACCCACATATTTATTGACAGCAAGCCAGTGATAAGCATTGTTTCTAAAGATTATAGATTAACTAATATGGGAAACAAAGGGATGGGTTTTGGCTAGTTATCTGCAGCAGGAAAATGTCCTTAAGACACAGATCATTCATGCTATTGCTTGTGGCTTAGGAATGCCTTAAGCAATTTTCCGTCCTGGGTAGGCCAGGTGTTCCTTGCCCTCATTCTGGTAAACCCACAACCTTTAGCATGGGCATCATGGCCATCACAAACATGTCACAGTGCTGCAGAGATTTTGTTTATGGCCAGTTTTGGGGCCAGCTTGTGGCCAGATATGGAGGCCTGTTCCCAACATGTTCCCCCTTTTTGTTTTTGCAAGATGATAAAAGCAAAGGTGGCTTTATCACTACTTCTCGCAGGAGTCAGGATCTGCATCTGCAGACTATACAAAGACAAACAACACAGATTAAAAGTACAATCATCATTGAAATCATAGAGCCTCCAAGTGTTTTTATCCATTTTAATGGGTTAACTGCTGCTAATCCATCTGCAGCTCCTTCAAGCACTCCAGTTCCTGGCATTAAGGTCAGGTGTGCCTGGGGTGCTTTAAGTATTTGTTCTTTTAATTTTGCAATATCAAAAGACAAGTTTGTAGAGTATCCTTCTAGATGCTTTTTTTTGCTTTCCCAAATTTTGATCTTATTAAGAGCCATTAATAATTTCCACAAATCCTTATGTTTAGCTCCTACAGCGGGCCATATCATTTGAGGTTGACGTGCCACTAAACCGCCATGTTTCCAGATAATAGGAACTTTTGCCATATTTCTTACCATTTCTACCATCTGACCATTTTGTTCAGACCAGCTGAATGTAGTGTGGCTGTGGCACACAGACTGAGAGGTGCAATTCAAGCTAAACATCCCCTTAGGGGACCAATCAATAATGATTCCATAGGAATCATTGCACAGCACCTCTGCCTGTTCTGCAATGCAATTTTCCTGAACAAGTACATTCATTATTTCTGGCCAGGTCCAATTCTGTTTACAAATAGGTTTTTAAGGATGGTATCTCTCAATTGTAGGAGTAGATTTATTATGGTAAATACTGACATCAGAAAGCATGTGTCACTGTGTCACAGAGTGATTACATCCAGGCATTATTGCCAGCCAAGATTGATAAATATGCCCAACAAGTATAATTGTTCTCTGTGTCAGCCCTTGTTGAAGGAATACTCATGGCAATGGTGATCATTGCTATCATAGCTATCATTAAATTACTCTTTGTGACTGGTTATCCCACTTTCCTCAGGTTTTCTTCTGCCATCTGTGACAGCTTCTTGATCTTTCCCCAGGTAGTTGGTTGTGTTTGATGGGTGTTGCTCATGAGATTTTGGGTCCTCCTCAGCATCAGTCTTGACATGGCTACAACTGGGGGGTCCTTGGGATCCTCCCAGAATCTCTTCCTTGGCGTCTGGCTCATGATGAGGTTTCAGGTGTCTTGATGGTATCCAAATTGGCTGCTGCTGTTGGCCTGGAGAAACACAAGCATAACCTCTACTCCAAGTTATTATTTTACCTATTTCCCAACTTTTTGTTATCAGATCTCTCTACCAAACCAGTTGTTCTGCTTCTGTCTTTGGAGCTGGTTTCTGTAGATGCTGTTCAGCTGCTGATAGCATCTGGCCTTTAGGCAGGCTAAAAAAATTTAAAGTAAATAATGCTAGATTCAATTGCATATAGGGTGTCCCATAGTCCCTGCTTTCCCCTTTTTGCTTTTGCAATTGTCATTTCAGGGAGAGATTCATTCGTTCTACAATGGCTTTTCCTTGAGAATTATATGGGATACCAGTGATATGTTTAATATTCCATATAGAGAAAAATGTAGCTAAAGCTTGGCTAGTATAGCCTGGGGCATTATCTGTTTTAATAGAAGATGGAAGGCCCATCACCACAAAACACTGCAAAAGGTGACATTTAACACAGACAGAAGACTCTCCTGATTTTCATGTAGCCCAGACAAAGTGAGAGAAGGTTTCCACATATACATGTACATAAGCTAGTCTCCCAAATGAGAAAATATATGTCACATCCATTTGCCAAAGAGAATTAGGTTCCAATCCTTAAGGATTAACTCCTCCTATAAAAGATGAGGAATGCACCATTTGGCAAGTTAGGCACTGCTGGATAATAGCTTTAGCTTCTTTCTAGGTAATGCTGTATCTGCATTTGAGACCAGAGGCATTAACATGGGTTAAACTGTGAAAGTGTCTAGTAGCAACTAGGCAATCAGCCATTTGATTCCCTTCAGTCAAAGGTCCTGGAAGAAGTGTATGAGCCCTAATGTGAGTAATGTAAAAAGGGTGCATTCTACTCCTAACTGCTGTTTGCAATTGGGTAAATAAAGTCATCAGTTGTTCATCTGTGTGGAATCATAAATGAGCATTTTCAATTAATTATGTAGAATTAACAACATATGAAGAATCAGAAATCACATTAATAGGCATATCAAAAGCAGTCAATACCTCAATTACAGCTACAAGCTCTGCTTTGTGAGATGAGGTACAGGGCATCTGAAAAACTTTACTTTTTGACCCAGAATAAGAGGCTTTACCATTGCAAGACCCATCTGTGAAGACATTCTCAGCACCTTCAATTGGTTTAAATTTAGTTATTTTAGGGAGAATCCAATTAGTTCATTTCAAAATTTGAAACAGTTTTGTTTTAGGAAAAGGATTATTGAGAATACCCACAAAGTCAGACAAATGGGTTTGCCAAGTAAGACTATTTATAAAAGCTTGCTCTATTTGTGCCTTCGTGAGAGGGACAGTAATTTTTCCAGGATCATATCCATGTAATTTAACAAACCGAGTTCTCCCATTTCCTATCATAGTAGCTATTTGATCCAAATAAGGAGTCAAAGCCCACGAATTAGTATGTGGAAGGAAAAGCCACTCTACAAGATCTTGCTCTTGAACAATAACAGCAGTAGGTGAATGCTGAGTTGAAAAAATTAGCAAATCTAGAGTCTTCTCTGGATCTATTCTATTTATTTTAGCTTTATGGACTTGCTTTTCAATCAGCAGTAATTCTGCCTCAGCCTTTGTTAATTGTCAAGGGCTAGTGAGACTAAGATCTCCTCTAAGGATAGAAAATAGATTACCCATGGCATAGGTAGGAATGCCTAGGGCAGGTCGTATCCAATTAATGTCCCCTAGTAATTTTTGAAAGTCATTTAATGTTTTCAATTGATCCCTACATATGGTTACTTTCTGTGGCCCTATTGTAGTGTCATTTACTAAGGTTCCCAAGTAGGAATAAGAAGTAGTAGTCTGAATTTTGTCAGGAGCTACAATTAAACCAGTGCAAGAAATAAAATTTTGCAAGTGTTCATAACATTGGAGTAATATTTCTCGAGTGGGGGTAGCACAAAGTATATCATCCATATAATGAATAATGTAACACTGTGAAAATTTTTTATGAGGAGGTTCAATTGTTTGCCCTACATAAGTCTGGCAAATTGTTGGACTGTTTAACATGCCTTGTGCCAACACTTTCCAATGAAAATGCTTAGCAGGCTGCAGGTTGTTTACTGCAGGAATTGTAAATGCAAACCATTCACAATCTTGCTCAGCTAGGGGAATAGTAAAGAAACAGTCTTTTAAATCTATGACTATTAAAGGCCAATTTTTTGGAATCATAGCAGAAGAATGCAGTCCTGGCTGCAATGCTCCCATAGGTTGTATAACTGAATTAACAGCTGTGAGGTCGGTCAACATTCTCCATTTACCTAATCTTTTCTTAATACCAAGACTGGAGAATTCCAAGGGGAAAATGTTGGCACTATGTGTCCTTTTTCTAATTGTTCAGTAACTAAGTCCTCTAAAGCCTCCAGTTTCTCTTTACTTAGCAGCCATTGTTCTATCCAAATTGACTTATCTGTTAACCATTTTAAAAGTATAGGTTCTGGAGGCTTAACAATGGCTGCCATCAAAAATGATATGTTAAACCTTGGCGGGAACTTTGTCTTTCCCCTTGAAGTGGTTCCTTAAAACCTTGCAAATTTTTTCCTAGTCCCATAACAGGGACATACCCCATTTCATGCATCATATGTTGACTCTGAGGGCTGTATAATTGCCCTGGAATTAGAACTTGTGCTCCACATTGTTGTGATAAATCTCTTCCCCATAAATTTATAGGTACAGAAGTTACAATTGGTTGAATAGTCCCAGGTTGTACATCAGGTCCTTCCCAATGCAAAATATAACTACTTTGATATACTTCAGGGGCTTTACCAACTCCAACTATGTTAAATTGAGTGGGTTGAATTGGCCACATGGACAGCCAGTGCTGTAGAGAAATGATTGAAATGTCCACTCCTGTATCTATCAAACCTTTAAATTTTTTTCACTGAATAGTTATTTCACAGGTAGGACATTTATCAGTAATTTGATTCACCCAGTAAGCTGTTTTGCCTTGCTTATTTGTGCTTCCAAATCCTCCTGTTCATTTAGTTTTACTTTTCCCTATTTCCACATATGGCACAATCAGGAGCTGTTCTATACACTCTCCTGGCTCTGCTTTCCAGGGAACAGAAGGAGATATAACAATTTGAATTTCCCCATTGTAATCTGAATCAATGACTCCTGTTTGTACTTTCACTCCTTTTAAACTAGACCTACCTAGAAGTAATCCTACCATTCCCACTGGCAAGGGTCCACAGACCCCTGTTGGAACTTTTTGTGGGGGTTCCCCAGGCAGAAGGCTCACAGCTTTTGGGCAGCATAAATCTACTCTGGCACTACCAGCTGTGGCAGGGCACAGGTATTGTACAGGGGTGAGGGAATGGCCTGAGCTGGAAATGCCCCGGTTTGGAATGGGGCCTGGGATGGGCCCCTCATGGTGTTTCCCAAAATTGGGTTCCCATCTTTATCAAACTTAGAGTGATATTGATTAGCCCAATGTTTTCCTTTTTTATATTTTGGGCATAGACCTGGTTTATACTGATTGATAGCCTGTTTAAACTCTTTAAGTATTTTAAAAGGAAAAGGCTCAAATGTAGCTATAACATTCCCCTGTTGATCAGGTGGGTGTATCCTAACAGGAAACTGCCAAGCCTCTATATCACCCTCTTGTCTAACTTGCTGAATTCCTGCCTGAATAGAACTGAGAACAGTCACTTGAGGCACTGCTCAAAAGTCACTCAGGCAACTACTTTTTGCCCAGTGTCCTCCAGAAAAGAAAGATCTGGAGGGTCAGGCCACTCTTTTTCTTCAAAATAATGAGGGGGTGCAGAAGGGTAGGAATGAACCTCTTCCTCTTTTGCCACTTTAGCTTTAGCTGGCAAACATACCTTCTCTGTCACCTCTTCTGCTACTTTGTTATACTTTCCTTCTTCCTAACATTAGTGTGAAAAGGTTCCAAGGTGGAACGAACCAGAGCCCACACTTGTCCCATTGTTACCCTTATGCTTCCGAGCTCCCCATCTTACTCACCATGGGGATTGCTTAAGAGTACTTGGGTGTCCTCCAGCTTAGTTCCATGTTTACCCACGTTCGAGCCCCATCTATGGGCATCACTTGCTGAGACCAGCTCAGTCATGGGGAACCTAACCCAGCAGCGCTGGAGGAATTAAAGACACACACACAGAAATATAGAGTGTGCAGTGGGAAATCAGAGAGCTGACAGCCTCCAGAGCTGAGATCCATGAACAGAGTTTTACCCACATATTTATTAACAGCAAGCCAGTGATAAGCATTGTTTCTATAGATTATAGATTAACTAAAATGGGAAACAAAGGGATGGGCTTTGGCTAGTTATCTGCAGCAGGAACATGTCCTTAAGGCACAGATCACTCTTGTTATTGTTTGTGGCTTAGGAATGCCTTAAGCAGTTTTCCACCCTGGGTGGGCCAGGCGTTCCTCACCCTCATTCCGGTAAACCCACAACTTTTATCATGGGCGTCATGGCCATCACGAACATGTCACAGTGCTGCAGAGATTTTGTTTATGGCCAGTTTTGGGGCCAGTTTATGGCCAGATTTGGGGGCCTGTTCCCAACACCACAGAAATGCAAACTGCCATCAGAGAATACTATAAACACCTCTACACAAATAAACTAGAAAATCTAGAAGAAATGGATAAATTCACGGACACATACGCCCTCCCAACATTAAACCACGGAGAAGTCAAATCCCTGAATAGACCAATAACAAATTCTGAAATTGAGGCAGTAATTAACAGCCTACCAACCAAAAAAAAAGCCCAGGACCAAACAAATTCACAGCCGAAATCTACCAGAGGTACAAAGATGAGCTGGTTGCATTCCTTCTGAAACTATTCCAAAAAACAGAAAAAGAGGGACTCCTCCCTAATTCATTTTATTAGGCTAGCATCATCCTGACAACAAAACCTGGCAGAGGCACAACAGAAAAAGAAAATTTCAGGCCAATATCCCTAATGAACATTGATCTGAAATTCCTCAATAAAATACTGGCAACCAAATCCAGCAGCATATCAAAAAGCTTATCCTCCATGATCAAGTCAGCTTCATCCCTGGGATGCAAGCCTGGTTCAACAGATGCAAATCAATAAATTTAATTCATCACATAAACAGGACCAATGACAAAACCAAATGATTATCTCAATAGATGCAGAAAAAGGCCTTTGAGAAAATTCAACATCCCTTCATGCTAAAAACTCTCAATAAACTAGGTATTGATGGAACATATCTCGAAATAATAAGACCTATTTATGACAAACCCACACCCAATATCACACTGAACAGACAAAAGCTGGAAGCATTCCCTTTGAAAACTGGCATAAGACAAGGATGCCCTCTCTCATCACTCCTATTCAAGATAATATTGGAAGTTCTGGCCAGGGCAATCAGGCAAGAGAAAGAAATAAAGTGTATTCAAATAGGAAGAGAGGAAGTCAAATTGTCTCTGTTTGCAGATGACATGATTGTATATTTGGAAAACCCCATCTTCTCAGCCCAAAATCTCCTTAAGCTGACAAGCAACTTCAGCAAAGTCTCAGGATACAAAATCAGTGTGCAAAAATCATAAGCATTCCAATATACCAACAATAGACAGAGAGCCAAATCATGAGTGAACTCCCATTCACAATTGCTACAAAGAGAATGAAATACCTAGGAATACAACTTACAAGGGATGGGAAGGACCTCTTCAATGAGAACTACAAATCACTGCTGAAGGAAATAAGAGAGGACACAAACAAATGGAAAAACATTCCATACTCATTCCATGCTCATGAAAATGGCTATACTGCCCAAAGGAATTTGTAGATTCATTGCTATCCCCATCAAGCTACCATCAACTTTCTTCACGCAATTGGAAAAAAACTACTTTAAATTTCATATGGAACCAAAAAAGAACCCAGATAGCCAAGACAATCATAAGCAAAAAGAACAAACATAGAGGCATCATGTTACCTCACTTCAAACTATACTACAAGGCTGCAGTAACCAAAACAGCATGGTACTAGTGCCAAAACAGAGATACAGACCAATGGAACAGAACAGAGGCCTCAGAAATAATGCCACACATCCACAACCATCTGATCTTTGACAAACCTGACAAAAACAAGAAATGGGGAAAGGATTCCCTATTTAATAAATGGTGTTTGGAAAACTGGCCAGCCATATGCAGAAAACTGAAACTGGACCTCTTCCTTACAATTTATACAAAAATTAACTCAAGACGGATTAAAGACTTAAATGTAAGGCCTAAAATCATAACCCTAGAAGAAAACCTAGGCAATACCATTCAGGATATAGACATGGGCAAAGACTACATAACTAAAACACCAAAAGCAATGGCAACAAATGCCAAAATTGACAAATGGGATCTAATTAAACTAAAGAGTTTCTGCAAAGCAAAAGAAACTCTCATCAGAGTGAACGGGCAATCTACAGAATGGGAGAACATTTTTGCAATCTATCCATCTGACAAAGGGCTAATATCCAGAATCCATAAAAAATTTAAACAAATTTACAAGAAAAAAAACAACTCCAATAAAAAGTGAGCAAAGGATATGAACAGACACTTCTCAAAAGAAGACATTCTTGCAGCCAACAAACATATGAGAAAAAGCTCATCATTGCAGGTCACTAGAGAAATGCAAATCAAAACCACAATGAGATACCATCTCACGCCATTTAGAATGGCAATCACTAAAAAGTCAGGAAACAACAGATGCTGGAGAAGATGTAGAGGAATAGGAATGCTCTTACATTGCTGGTGGATGCGTAAATTAGTTCAATCATTGTGGAAGACAGTGTGGTGATTCCTCAAGGATCTAGAACCAGGAATGCCATTTGACCCAGCAATCCCATCACTGGGTATATGCCCAAAGGATTAGAAATAATTTTACTATAAAGACACATGCACACTTATGTTTATTGCAGCACTGTTCACGATAGTAAAGACCTGAAACCAACCCAAATGCCCATCAATGTTAGACTGGTTTAAGAAAATGTGGCACATATATACCATGGAATCCTATGCAGCCATAAAAAAAGGATGAGTTCATGTACTTTGCAGGGACATGGATGAAGCTGGAAACCATCATTCTCAGCAAACTAACACAGGAATAGAAAACCAAACACCACATGTCCTCACTCCTAAGTGGAAGTTGGCCAATGAGAACACATGGACACAGGGAGGGGAACAACACACACTGGGGCCTGTCAAGGGGTGGGGGTCTAGGGGAGGGATAGCGTTAGGAGAAATACCTAATGTAGATGACAGGTTGATGGGTGTGGCAAACCACCATGGCTTGTGTATACCTATGTAACAAACCTACACATTCTGCACACCCAGAACTTAAAGTATAATAATCATAATAAAACATTTTGCATGATTCTCTACTCCCCTCTTCCCTGTATATAGCAACCCTAAGACTGTTCCAGCCAGTAAAGCAACAGGATGGTGGGGCCTCATCAGATGGATTCTGAGTGACTATAAGGAACAGGAGTGCCTCCTCCCATTCAGCCGATTGGGCACCTACTGTACTTTAGAAATAAACCTTTTTAAATTTTTTTTAATTTTTTTATTTTTTTTGAGACAGGGTCTCACTCTGATGTTCAGCTTGGAGTACAGTAGCATGATCATGGCTCATTGCAGCCTCAGCCTCCCAAGTTCAAGCCATCCTCCCTCCTCAGCCTCCTTAGTAGCTGGGACCACAGGTGCACACCATCATGCCCAGCAAATTATCTTTTAATTTTTTGTAGAGACAGGGTCTCACTATGTTGCCCAGGTCTTGAAACCCTCACCTCAAGCCATCCTCCCACCTAAACCTTCCAAAGTGCTGGGATTACAGGTATGAGCCACCATGTCCCTCTAGAAAGAAACCTTTTGACATTTGACAATAATTGACATTTCAGGGTCAGTATAGTTTGTGTGCTGTCTAATCCACACAGTAACCTCAGCTGGATGTCTCAGAAAGCACACTTTTGGTCAAAAAAAAAAAAGGTCCAAAGAAAGAGTGTGGTTGAAATTATTCAAATCCATCCAAACTTTAAGCTTTTTCTTACTTTACCAAATGTGGAAAACACGGAGGGAGGTACATTTTTCCTTAAATATCTGGGGATGTTTTTACTTTGTTGACAACTAAAAAATGTAGTTCATCTGTTAAAAGAAAATTTTTTTAAGTAGTTGAACTTTAAAACTGCCAGGTAGAAACCTGAAACGAGGAGACTAGTCCCCATGTTAGGTTGTCTTCAATTTGGGGTTTAAAGTAATATATACTTAATATTTATAAAATATTCAATATAGTTATCGGAAGTAGGACATCTTATTAACCTAAAAGATGAATATAGCTTGAATAATAGCATCAATCTGTTCTCCAAGAAAGAGCATTGTTATATATCTAAGTAAATACTAAAACTTAAAGGCTTATACCTTTATAAAGGCCTATACCTTTCTTATACTTGTGTTGAGTAACCCCCTGGGTGAAACGAAATACACTCACATGCTGTTCTTACATTTTCTTGGGATTAACAACAACAAAGGAAAAAGCTACCAAATCTAATATGTCAAATCTTACATTAAAGCTTAGGGCAATAGTTGTAATATGTGACAGCACAAATTCCACTCTGCTCATGTGTGGTTCAGGGAAGGTGTGGCTAAAGCCTCGTTGTGTTGCCCCTTGGAATCTTAAACCCTTGTGCTCCCAGAATTATACCATTTTTATTCCAATATCAAATAATTTCTAACTTTCAAGTTGACAGACTTCATTTATATTAGGTTGGTGCAAAAGTAATTGTGGCATTTGCCATTAAAATTTGCAAAAACCACAATTATTTTTGCTTGGACCTATATAAGGCAAAGGCTAACGAAAAGTAAGCAAGATTTGAAACAAGAAAAAGAAAAACAGATTTAAGAAGAGAGCCACAAGAATAAAGAGAAAAGTAGGAGTCAAAAAAAAAAAAAAAAGACAGAGAGAGGCAGGGGAAGGTGGTGATGACAGCCACCCAACTTCTGCCTCCCTCAAGTTATACCAGACAAGGAAACAATGAACAGCTGAGAAAGGCCATGAGAACCAGCTGTGCAGGAACATAACCTGAGTCTAACAGCATATGAAAAATTACCTGATGACTGTTTATTTACATTTGGCTTGTCTCATTTTATCATTTCATTTTTAAAGTAAGGGATCTCTAACCCTGACAACCAGGAGCCCCGCAGGTATCATTTACTCTATAAGGAGACCTCCATCCTATCCGGTTCTACTTCAAGTCTGTTCCTTGCTTATCTCACCCTTAGGGTCAAAAGAAGTCAAATATTCTTCAGCCTCCTCTTCATTATCTTGATGAACTGAGCATTTCAACACAACTTCTAAAAACTCTAAGTACTAAGTTCTACAAGATTACCTCCCTTCTCTTTGCAAAGCCTATTACCAAGCACCAAACAGTAACATTTATAAATCCACATACTATTATTGCTTCTATTCTAATATAATTGACATCCTCCCTCTCTGTATCAGAATCTATCATTCTCCCTGAACAATCTTATTCAAGCCCTTTCACTATTGTCTTTAGATGGATGACTTCCAAGTCTATATCTGTAACGCAGATCTTTCTTCTAAATGCCAGCCCATATTTTCAGCTATTTATTTGGCATCTCCCTGAGCCACTTTGTTTCACTCCAATTCCCTGGGAAAAAGACTCTGAGTTGGAGATTTGAAAGTGAATGGTTCACTGGAGATGCCCTTAGGAACAGCACCCGTAAAGGAGTAGAGGCAGCAAGACTGGGCAAATAGAGAGGCTGAAGTGTGATGCACCATGATAAAAGGCTGTCAGTCCCACAAGGAGCTGGGAGGACCCTTCATTTCTGCCCCAGATTGTGGTAAGGGGGCTCAAATTTTGTACCCCGAGATCCACCTGCCTTTAGCTGTAGGCTGCACCCAGGGAAGGGACAAAATCTTAAGTAAAGCATCTCCCCTCAGCCTAGGGCAATTCCCAGGGAGGAATTTTGTTGTGAGCTATCACAGCCAACTGCCCCGGCAGTGGGGAGAAGAGTACCTAGCAGCCTTACCTCTGTTTGATGATCCGAGTAAATTCCTACTGCCATTTAGTGACTTCTTTCCTTACCTCATGCCATCTTGGCAAGAGGAGCCTGGGATAACTAAGTGGCAGCCACAGCTTGAAGTTTAATACAGACTGTTATGTTTCCTGGTGGAAGCGTGCCTTTCTGGGCACCAGGACTTCTAAACCCATGGAGCCCAGAGTTGCCAGGACAAGAAGCATAAATTCCCCAAATGGGCCACTTGGAGTAATGGTAAAAGGAACCACTTCTACTTCTACCCCTTGATTCCCAGACTCATATATTCTGCCTGCGAGGGATATAGCATTACATATTGGTTGTTGATTTAGGATGCATATTGCATCCTACAGGATGACGCCCATTCTGTGAGGTATTATCTTCAAGCTGGTGCCACAGCTGTGCCTTTGAAAGACCTTTCTGTTGCTCTCTTCAGCTGAAGCTTCTAGGTGGACTGATGTTAGGACCAGAGTAGCAGTACGTGGGTCCCTGGGTCATGGGCCTCCTGCTGCACTTCCTTTGCTGTAAAATAGGACTGAGTACCGTAAAATAGGACTGAGTGACGCATCACTCAGCTATATATTCAAAACTGCACTCATCACCATTCCTGTCCCTACTCTTAATCCACTCCAAATACTGTTTTTCTGCATTAATAAGTATGCTGCCATGCTGCTCTCATGGGTCATGCCCAGGGAGGCAGTGCCACTACTGGAGGCAGCCTTGAACCAACATCTTCCCAGGCACGTGGTTCCATCACTCCAGAACACATCCAAAGCATCCTCCTAGAGCAGTGATTCTACTCCAGGATAAGTAGCTTTTAATCACATTACTATACAGAAAGAACAACTATGTTATACAGTAGAACAAGAAATCTGATGAATTTTAAAAATAGACAATTTCAAATAAATATATTTATGACAGCTGATCAAAACTAAGAGCCCTGAATCCCAGGAAAATGTGTGCACTGTCCTTTATTCTTTTATATTACTTGATAGAAAGAACTGGTCAGGGAATGAGCACTGAAGTAGGAATCAGGAGATCTGAAATCTAGAATTGGATCTGTCATTCTTAGAGAGAGAATGTTGTTAAGACATTTGGCAACTTAAGTTCTCCATTTCCTCATCTACTATTCAATGTCTCCTCTTGGATGCCTCAAAGACATCTCAAATTCAACATGTCCCAAAGTTACCTCATGATCTTTCCCACAATCCAGTCCTTTTCCAATATTTCTTATCCCTACAAATGGCAGTATTGTACATTCAAGTGCTCAGGTCAAAAATCTAGGAATTATCTTTGACACCTACTTCTTAACTGCTATATTAAATCTACAACCAAGCCCTACTGGTTTTACTCCCTAAATGGCTCTAGGAGCCATCCACTGCCATACACCACCATGGCCACCACCCTCAGCCCAGCTTCTTCTCATCTGGACTGTCTCAGTATCCTCCCAACTGCTCCACCTGAATTTACTCTGCCTCTGCCCCATTCTCCTGGGATGCTGAGCATTTAGCCCAAATGTCCCACAGACACACACACACCTGCCCATTTCTCCCCAAGACAACCAGAATAACCCTTTTGAAAACAAACCTCATCCTGCCACCACCACCTCCTTGTTTAACACAGTCTATGGGGCAGATGGGGCCCGGCCTCTGCCCCCTTCCCAGTTTTGTCCAACTTCAGGCTCATATGCTCTCTCCAGCCACAATGCCTTTCTTCACACCCTCACATCCCTTGCTCATTCCCTCCAAAGAGCCTTTGCACACACTTTTCCTCTCTGTTAGGACCTCTTTTTCCCAGCTCCTCACCTAGTACACATCGACTTATCTGCCACTCTTTCAGACAAGCCCCCACATACCCTACTTGTGGCTAAATATTGGATTGATAGAGTATTCTGAAAAGGAAGCCTTAAATTCTTTATTGGACCATGTGGGAAATTAAAAAACAACTAATAGCTATTTTGGCCACATGCCTGCCAACTCCATCAGCACCTCCAAAGGAAAGGAGGATGGCTTTTGAAAGGGAGTAGGATGGGTTAGGGGACATCCCCCATGCATCTGCTTTCAGGTGCCCCCAAGGCCTGTGTCTTAGTCCACTGGGGCTGATATAACAAAATACTGTAAACCAGGTGGCTTATAAGCAACAGAAATTTATTTCTCATAGTTCTGGAAGCTGCAAGTCTGAGATCAGAGTACAGCATGACTGAGTTCTGGCGAGGGCCTTCTTCTAGGTTGTAGACCAAAACTTCTCATTGCAAGGGGCAAGGCAATTCTCTTGGGCCTCTTTTATAAGAGCGTGAATCTCAATCATGAAGGCTCTACACTCTTGACCAGTCACCTACCAAAGTCCCCGCCTCCTAATACCATGACCCTGGGGTTAGCATTTTAACATATGAATGTCTGGGGGACACAAACATTAGATCTACAGCTGCCTGCTTTCTTGTCTCTGCAAGGCTGAGCAAAAGAGTGTATCTGGCACTGCTTCCAAGCAATGAACTGAAGAAACATCTTTCCCTTCTAAGAAATTTCAAACCAATTCTTTAAAAAATGTATCCTGAAAAAGAGGTATCCTCTTTCCCCCTCCTCTTACTCTTTCTCAGACTCCCACTTCATATTGGTTACCACCTGAGGCACTCGGAGAAGCCAAGACCACCCCATCACTTCAAAGGGATGGAGAATTAACTTCATCCATGATAATGTCTTCCAAGACCAAGGATTACATTAAGAAAGCTCAGAAAAGGGAGGTACCCCAAGAATTAGGAGATTCAAGGTCCCCATGATACTTTTCTCCTAACAAAACTAGAAATGTAAGTGTTGGCAAATGATTGGGGTGCAGAGCCCCTAGTATGTGTATCTTGGGTGATTCCTGCCTTTGGGAAATGCTTCTCTGTTAATGGGCTGAATTATGCCCCCAAAATGCTCATGTTGAAATCCTAATCCTAAATACCTCAGAATGTGACCGTATTTGAAGATAAGGTCTTTAAAGAGGTAATTAAGGTAAAATGAGGACACTAGGCTAGGCCCTAATCCATCATGTTGAATGTCCTTATAAGAGGAGGTCAGTGCACAGGCATATGCAGAGGGAAGACCCTGTGAAGACACAGGAAGAAGACAGCCATCTACAAGCCAAGGAGAGAGGCCTCAGAAGAAACCAACCCTGCCAACACTTTGATCTTGGACTTACAGCTTCGAGAACTGTGAGAAAATCAATTTCTGTTGTTTAAGTCACCAATCTGTAGCACTCTGTTATGGCAGCCAGCCATAGCAAACATCCTCCCTAAACAAAAATCCAAAAGTCACATCCAAAAATAACAGTGAGCAGTTTCTGAGCTCCTGCCCTGTGCCAGGGTCTGCCCTTTGCCACATCATCTCATTTAACTCTAGTAAGAACCGTCATCACACACGAAAGGGAACCTGAGAATTTCATGGATTTGTCAAATCCACCATGCTCCAAAGCCTCTGCTTTTTTTGTTACATACCATGACTTCCCATGGAAAACTTGCCCAATATTTCTGGGATTCTCCTGGATTATCTGGATTTTTGCTTAAAGTGTGAGTGTTATAAAAAGCAAAGGCTTCTTTGCTCAATTCTCCCTGGAAGCTGAAGAGTGGCTCTCGGCCCCAGCTGGTAAAAAGCACCAGAAGGATCTACCAGGATGGCAGCGGAAGGAGGGAGAAAGGAGGATGGATGAAGGTCTTGCCTACAGGAGAGTTCTGTGATCTAGATAATCTCCCCTAACCCTCCCTCTATCCTGTTCTTCCAAAACCAGGCCCTCAATGAATGGACAGTGAGAGGGCCCGCAAAGCCATCAGGGGAGTAAGATACTAGATAAAGCTGATCATCTAGAGGCTTGCCTATGTCCATCCATGTCCTTCTGAATTTGCTTGGGAAAATAATAACTGCTTTAAAGCATGGAGTGTTAGAGTCATACAAGCCTGAGTCTGAATACTGGTTCTGCTCCTTCTATCTGTGAGAATGTGGGCAAACTATTTAAATTCTTTAAAACTGCAATTTCCTCTTTCATAAAAAAAATTGCAATTATAATAACTTACTATTATACGGATGTTGTAAGGATTAAGTGAGATAGTATGTGCAAAGCACTTACAAAATGCTTGGTATAGAGTAGGCCTTAAATAGTATATATTATTAGAATTAATTTAATAAGAATATGTGATTCTATTTGGGGTCTGTCTACAACCCTTAGCATTATTTCTTACCTTAGTTACAATCTTGTAGTGAACACTGTCGGTGCTCCTTCTGGAGCTCTCACATTCCTTTTACTTTACACAGCAGAGCACCCCTCCTCTGGCTTCAGTGCTCTTTGCCCTCAACAGTCTGTGCCTGTGCCTCTCTTAGAAGGTGGCTACAGCTACTGGAGCCAAAGGTGCTCAGGGAGGCTCTTTGTGATGGATGAGTGGTACAATACTATGAGAGTACAGCTCCCTTGCTTTGAGTGGGGACAAACTCTGCAGCATCAGGTACATGCCAGTGAGCCCCTGTGGAATCAAGCTGAGGATGAAATGTCACATTGTTTGACCCCTTCCCACTCCCTGTCCTGCCTCTTCAACTCCTCACCAGTTTTCTCCTGGGATCACTTCCTTAATAAACCTCTTGCACATGGACCCCTGTCTCAGGGTCTGCTTCTGGGCAAGAGAGCCCAGGAAGGACCTCGCCCTCCTGGGTGCTGGAGGAAGAATGACAGCCTTCTCAAAGGTCTAATTCTGGGGTCCTAGAGTTTAGCCTCTCTGGCTTCAGCCCCTCAAAGGTCTAGCTCTGGGGTCCTGGAGTTTAGCCCCTTGGGCTTCAGCCCCTCAAAGGTCTAGCTCTGGGGTCCTGGAGTTTAGCCCCTCTGGCTTCAGGATGTTAGTCGTTCGGTCCTCAATTCAGAGATTAAAAGGACATTCAGAGATTAAAAGCACTCTCTTCTGGAATCATCCCATCTGAAATTTGAGAAATAGGTGCTCTTACCCTTTTAACTTCTTCTGAGCCTTAGCTCTGCTATCTCTGAAATTTTAAACTAACAGTTCTCACAGGAGTTCATGGGGATGCCTGCAAGAGTATCTTAAACAAAATGTTAAGTTCATATATTTTTCTTCTACAACATAACCTTCTCCAGCTTAGCCCATTGTTGTCAAAGATGCTACAACAAACCCTGGCCAGTGTGCGGTTGGCTGGAACACAGGAGCAGGAGGCAGGAGGCAGTCATGCCATGGAAATGGCACAGGTGTAGAATGAGGGTGTCCATTGTCATGGGCACTGCAGCCACCAAATGGGCCATTGTTTCTTCCCACAAATTCAACAAATGCGCATGGAACACATCTATGCACCAAGCACTCTGCTACCTGCAATAGTAAGTGAAGCTGATGCAACTTTTGCTCTCATGGAATTGCAGACATGATAACCAAACAAATAAGTACGTACTTATCAACCAGGCTAAATGGCAAGGAGGAAGCTTGTGGTGTGAGGAGGACATACAATAGGGGATCTGACCTGTAGAGAGTGGAGTAAATGGATGTATGCAGAGAAAGCTAAAAGAAGAAGGGTGGGAGGAAAGGAGAAAAGAGCTCAGGCTGAAGGAACCATGTGCAAAGATTCTGAGGCCAAGAAAGCATGAAACTTTAGAGGAATTAAAAGGAAGTCGACAGGGCTGGAGCACAAAGTCAAGTGAATATGGTGGGAAACAGTGCTGGAAGTGACCTGGAGCCAGGGCACACAGAGCCAAAGACGCCAGGCACCTTCCTTGCCACCACTTCCTGCCTGACTGGACCCCTGCCATCCCTAGGAGGCATGGCCCACCTCCAGGCTGGAAGGTCAGCCTGGACTTAAAACCTAATTCTCTCTGCTTGGGCCTATCCTCACTTCAACCACATTCAATTTCTGGTATTCACTGAGATTGCATTTTATTATAAATTAGAAATACAGAGCAAAGTGCACAGTGCTGTAATGGTGGAAGTGCAGATCGTAAACAAGGAGGGCAGAGAACATTAGCACAAGTAGTAGTCAAACCATAGGCAGACATTTTCTACTGATAACAATTAGCAGTCCACGTCGAGAAGCTAAGAATCGTGTCCCTTCCTCTCCTAGGATAAATTACATAAAAGTTCTTGAAAGACACTACTTCTCCTTTGCTGGTAAACCTAGATCAGAACACCACTAGACAGAGACCTCTGAGCATCTGATTTTTTTTTTAATTTCTTGAGTGGCTTTCAGTATTAGGGCTAAAATAAATACAGAGCTTTGCCAACAATAACTAAAATAAATGTGAAGGACTCTTTTTTACAGTGAATGACATCTGCAGTTATGAAGGAAGTTCAAGGGAAAGAGCCTCCAAGGCAGTCCCTCAGAGATGAAAAGAGAGGGGAAGGAAAAGTAACCCTGCTTAGCCTGAGCAAGGCTTCTGAGCTCCAATTCGACCTTGTGGAGTTCACACATGGGCACCGAGGGCCAGCCTCTTCAGCACATATTGATATTAATAGTCCTCATATATTAAGCCCCAACTGTATGCCACACAGCACTTGAAATGCTTTACCTGCATGCTGTCATTTAATTTTCACCATAACCCCATGAGGTAGTTACTTTCATGACTCCTGTATCACAACTGAGGAAACCAGGGCTCAGAGAGATCAAATAAATTGTTCAAGGTTACACAGCTAGAAAGAGCAGTCACTGAAACTCAGGATTACCTGCCCCCCAAAGCTCATGCTTTTTATCTCTGTCATCAGCCCTTCAAGGACAGGGAACATGTCTTGTTTGTTTGTCCAGCCTACCACTGCAGAGGAATGTCAGTAAACAACAATGAACTGAAATGATCCAACCCAAGTTGGCTCCAGTTTCCCACCTGCTGGCTCATGAAAATAAGCAGAGGAGAAGGGAACACAAGGCCTCCTCTGTTTGAAGGGTGAGTAGGTCTATGCCAAGGGGCCCCAGACTCTGGTAGAACAGAAAAAAAGCTTTGAGGGTAGGATCAGTTTCCAGCTGTCATACCTGCACAGTGAGTGGCATTCCTAAAGGCCAGGGCAGAAATTGTGACACCATAAAGGGAAGAACGAGAGTCTCTCTATGCAAAGTCTTAGCACCCCTACTTCTGTATTGTCTGAGCCCATAAAGGAGCTGAGCTAAGGAGGGGTAGAGCTCAGGGGCCTATAACTCCAGTTATGACTACTTATTGCCAGAGCTGCATTCTCCTGGAGATGCACAGCATCAGTATATTAGTACGTTCTTAGGCTGCTAATAAAGACATACTCCAGACTGGGTAATTTATAAAGAAAAAGAGATTTAATGAATTCACAGTTCCACATGGCTGTGAAGGTCTTACAATCATGGCAGAAGGCAAAGGAGGAGCAAAGGCACGTCTTACATGGCAGCAGGCAAGAGACTGTGTAGGGGAACTCCCCTTTATAAAACCATCAGATCTCATCAGACTTACTATCATGAGAACCACTCGGGAAAGTCCCGCCTCATTATTCAATTACCTGCCACCAGGTCCCTCCCATGACAAGTGGGAATTACAGGAGCTACAATTCAAGATGAGATTTGGGTGGGTGCACACCTAAACCATATCAGTCGGGTAGCACAGATGGGGCCCTGAAAGACCAAGGGAGACACAGCAGTGGCAGCAGAAAGAACTCTTCTCAGAGTAGGAAGAACTCAACAGATACCTATGAAGGAGTGAACAGAAGCAAACAAGACGTTGTATCCTGGATATGTCTGCCTCGAAAGAGCTCACAAAGTTGATTATTTAAATTATTTTGGCCTATAGCAGGAATTTTGGCCAAGTTTCTAGACCAGAATTGGGCTCATAAAATGACAGCATTTTTAGGAAACTGTGAGAAAAGAAGACTGAGGTCTTCCCCTTCCTCTTTGGTCACTCAACCAAGTCAGTGCGAGAAATGTGCTGAGAAGCCCGTTCTTGGGATGTCTCCTCCAGACCCTCCACCTCACAGTTTCCACCTTGCCTAAGCATAGGGTAACCTGGGGAACTTGTTTGAAAAATATGGACTCCTAGGCCTCACTCTACATTTACTGAATATGAGTTTTCAGGGTCTTGGGCATGTATGTTTTTAGCAAAGACTGTAGGTCCTTTAGGAACAGATGAGTCTGGGAAACACAGCAACAGTCCAGGCTCTTCCTGCAATGGCCTTTCTGACATGGCAGACACACCAGTGTAACAGTTTTGAAAGCCATTTCCAAGTTTGAATGAATGTTTAATGGTTTCAGATTTTTTTAAGTAAAAATAAAATACAATGGGAAAATCATCTTTGAGAGAAGAATAGGAATTAAATTTAAATGGGACAGTTAGCAATTATTTTCAAAAGCCACATGATTTTGAACAAAACCGCCAGCACAGCAGAAGCTAATGGCTTGTTCCCTTGCCTTAAACGTCCTAATAAATGTGCTAATAGAGAAGACTTATTTGGAATTTATATAAAGGTAAAAGAACAAGTTCACTTCAGACCTGGCTATATTTTTTGAGACTGTGCTTTTTCAGGAACTTCAGACTTAAAATGAGGAAAAGTAAGTGTATCCTCTGGATAAGTCACTGAGAAAGGTCTTGATCCCAATCTACCTTGAAGAAGACTGCATCATCCCAGTCCTGACTAGGTGGTGGATATGAGAGTGCTCTCTTTATTTGTACTTGCTGGCCTGCAGGAGGCTGAATGGGGGTGTGGTTGGAAACACGGGCTTTGGAAACAGGAAGATCTGGGTGGGCTCAAGTCCTGCTTCTACTATTATGTGTCCTTGGACACACAATTTAAACTCTCTGGGTCTTGACTTCATCACCCATAAAACAGAGTAATCATGAAACCTCGTTTGTAGGGTTATTGTATGAAATGAGTAAAGGAAGCACAACATCTGCATATAATCAATACTCCATAAAAGTTAGCCACTTCTATTTCTATTTGAATTGTGAATGTTACTCACAACGTTACTCAGCTTTTTAATTAGCACTTGCCTTGCCTGGTCACTTCCTGCTAAACCATTTTTTATTTCTGGTTTCCAAATTTGCTTGCTGTATACGTAACATCTGAATTTTCACCCAGAGCAAAGAGTATTATCCACTTTGGCAGCAAAACTTCTTTAAAAAATCTATCCCCAAACAGTAAGTTGCTCTAAGTTGTCCTCATGATAAATAAGTGCCCCTTAAGAGAAATGGCCTGAATTTTTCTATATTTTAACTATGCTGCAAAGTCAGCTCTTACTAATGTATGTATATATATCACAACAAGAGTCTCTCATTCTCCACTTAGCCAAGTCTTACTTTTACCTTAAAGACTCCTCCATATGGCCTGTCTTCCCAGTGGACTCTACCTATGATGGGGCTGTGCTTCGATGATGACCTAAATTCTGTGCTCATTCATTCATTCAATAAAGGTTTGCCAAATACCTACTATGTGCTAGGCAACAACATTATTTTTGTCTGTATTTTTTATCTGACACTTTTCCTGTGATTTTGTATTACTATTATTATTATTATTATTATTAATTATTATTATTATTATTATTATTCCTGCTCCACACTGAATTGTAACTCCTTTACCATCTGAGGCCATGCTGAATTCTTCTCTAAATCTTCAGTGCCCAGCAAGTGCTTTCTACACATCAGACTTTTGGGAAAAGTTTTCCTGTTGCCATCCTGCTGATTCTTACCCAAGTGTGGCAGTTTCCCTCATGGTGGAGAAGATATGGTGATGAACCAGCTTGCTTGGGCTTGCTGGTCTGTTATATGACCTTGAGTAAATTACTTTGTGACTTATTGAGATCCTCTCAAGCCTCAAGACTTGACAAAACTTAAATCCGCATAGCTGTAAAGCTTAGTTACACCATCGTGGGCCTCAATTTTCTCTCTGGGTATCCCAGCATAGCAGAAAGCCATGGGACAGATAGACCTGTGGATACTCATGGAATGGTTTCTACATTTTCCCAGAGATGTCATATGTTTCATTTCATTTTATCTTAAAATTTAAGAACATTCTACTTCCTGATAAATCTCTCTACCTCCTAGCTCATCCTTCTTCCTCTCTTCCTTCAGTGAAAGACAAAAACAGATTAAGACCAACTCGACTCAAATCAGCATCATTTTCAGCATTCATTCCCTGAAGAACAATGAACTCAGTAGTTGACTAGCCACAAAGAAAATTAAAAAAATAAAAAGACCTTCTGCTAGCTTTTGAATGTGTTTGCTCTTGCTTTTCTAGTTCTTTTAATTGTGATGATAGGGTGTCAATTTTGGATCTTTCCTGCTTTCTCTTGTGGGCATTTAGTGCTATAAATTTTCCTCTACACACTGCTTTGAATGTGTCCCAGAGATTCTAGTATGTTGTGTCTTTGTTCTCGTTGGTTTCAAAGAACATCTGTATTTCTGCCTTCATTTCGTTATGTACCCAGTAGTCATTCAGGAGCAGGTTGTTCAGTTTCCATGTAGTTGAGTGGTTTTGAGTGAGTTTCTTAATCCTGAGTTCTAGTGTGATTGCACTGTGGTCTGAGAGACAGTTTGTTATAATTTCTGTTCTTTTACATTTGCTGGGGAGAGCTTTACTTCTAACTATGCGGTCAATTTTGGAATAGGTGTGGTATGGTACTGAAAAAAAATGTATATTCTGTTGATTTGGGGTGGAGAGTTCTGTAGATGTCTATTAGGTCCGCTTGGTGCAGAGCTGAGTTCAATTCCTGGACATCCTTGTTAACTTTCTGTCTTGTTGATCTGTCTAATGTTGACAGTGGGGTGTTAAAGTCTCCCATTATTATTGTGTGGGAGTCTAAGTCTCTTTGTAGGTCTTTAAGGGCTTGCTTTGTGAATCTGGGTTCTCCTGTATTGGGTGCATATATATTTAGGATAGTTAGCTCTTCTTGTTGAATTGATTCCTTTACCTTTATGTAATGGCCTTCTTTGTCTGTTTTGATCTTTGTTGGTTTAAAGTCTGTTTTATCAGAGACTAGGATTGCAACCCCTGCCTTTTTTTGTTTTCCATTTGCTTGGTAGGTCTTCCTCCATCCTTTTATTTTGAGCCTATGTGTGTCTCTGCACGTGAGATGCATTTCCTGAATACAGCACACTGATGGGTCTTGACTCTTTATCCAATTTGCCAGTCTGTGTCTTTTAATTGGAGCAATGAGTCCATTTACATTTAAAGTTAATATTGTTATGTGTGAATTTGTTCCTGTCATGACGTTAGCTGGTTATTTTGCTCGTTAGTTGATGCAGTTTCTTCCTAGTCTTGATGGTCTTTACATTTTGGCATGATTTTGGAGCGGCTGGTACTGGTTGTTCCTTTCCATGTTTGATGCTTCCTTCAGGAGCTCTTTTAGGGCAGGCCTGGTGGTGACAAAATCTCTCAGCATTTGCTTGTCTGTAAAGGATTCTATTTCTCCTTCACTTATGAAGCTTAGTTTGGCTGGATATGAAATTCTGGGTTGAAAATTTTTTTCTTTAAGAATGCTGAATATTGGCCCCCACTCTCTTCTGGCTTGTAGAGTTTCTGCCAAGAGATCTGCTGTTAGTCTGATGGGCTTCCCTTTGTGGGTAACCCAACCTTTCTCTCTGGCTGCCCTTAACATTTTTTCCTTCAAAATCAGAGCAGAACTGAAGGAAATAGAGACACAAAAAACTCTTCAAAAAATTAATGAATCCAGGAGCTGGTTTTTTCAAAGGATCAACAAAATTGATAGACTGCTAGCAAGACTAATAAAGAAAAAAAGAGAGAAGAATCAAATAGATGCAATAAAAATTGATAAAGGGGATATCACCACTGATCCCACAGAAATACAAACTACCATCAGAGAATACTACAAACACCTCTACGCAAATAAACTAGAAAATCTAGAAGAAATGGATAAATTCCTGGACACATACACTCCCCCAAGACTAAACCAGGAAGAAGTTGAATCTCTGAATAGACCAATAACAGGATCTGAAATTGTGGCAATAATCAATAGCTTACCAACCAAAAAGAGTCCAGGACCAGACGGATTCACAGCCGAATTCTACCAGAGGTACAAGGAGGAACTGGTACCATTCCTTCTGAAACTATTCCAATCAATAGAAAAAGAGGGAATCCTCCCTAACTCATTTTATGAGGCCAGCATCATCCTGATACCAAAGACGGGCAGAGACACAACCAAAAAGGAGAATTTTAGACCAATATCCTTGATGAACATTGATGCAAAAATCCTCAATAAAATACTGGCAAACTGACTCCAGCAGCACATCAAAAAGCTTATACACCTTGATCAAGTGGGCTTCATCCCTGGGATGCAAGGCTGGTTCAATATACGCAAATCAATAAATGTAATCCAGTATATAAACAGAACCAAAGACAAAAACCACATGATTATCTCAATAGATGCAGAAAAGGCCTTGACAAAATTCAACAACCTTCATGCTAAAAACGCTCAATAAATTAGGTATTGATGGGACGTATCTCAAAATAATAAGAGCTATCTATGACAAACCCACAGCCAATATCATACTGAATGGGCAAAAACGGGAAGCATTCCCTTTGAAAACTGGCACAAGACAGGGATGCCCTCTCTCACCACTCCTATTCAACATAGTGTTGGAAGTTCTGGCCAGGGCAATTAGGCAGAGAAGGAAATAAAGGGTATTCAATTAGGAAAAGAGGAAGTCAAATTGTCCCTGTTTGCAGATGACATGATTGCATATCTAGAAAACCCCATTGTCTCAGCCCAAAATCTCCTTAAGCTGATGAGCAACTTCAGCAAAGTCTCAGGATACAAAGTCAATGTACAAAAATCACAAGCATTCTTATACACCAATAACAGACAAACAGAGAGCCAAATCATGAGTGAACTCCCATTCACAATTGCTTCAAAGAGAATAAAATACCTAGGAATCCAACTTACAAGGGACGTGAAGGACCTCTTCAAGGAGAACTACAAACCACTGCTCAATGAAATAAAATAGGATACAAACAAATGGAAGAACATTCCATGCTCATGGGTAGGAAGAATCAATATCATGAAAATGGCCATACTGCCCAAGGTAATTTATAGTTCAATGCCATCCCCATCAAGCTACCAATGACTTTCTTCACAGAATT
This sequence comes from Homo sapiens, assembly GCF_000001405.40. NCBI lineage: Eukaryota > Metazoa > Chordata > Mammalia > Primates > Hominidae > Homo > Homo sapiens. The sequence goes on from NC_000005.10 coordinate 115,060,835, forward strand.
GGAAAAAACTACTTTAAACTTCATATGGAACCAAAAAAGAGCCCACATCGCCAAGTCAATCCTAAGCCAAAAGAACAAAGCCGGAGGCATCACGCTACCTGACTTCAAACTATACTACAAGGCTACAGTAACCAAAACAGCATGGTACTGGTACCAAAACAGAGATATAGATCAATGGAACAGAACAGAGCCCTCAGAAATAACGTCGCATATCTACAACTATCTGATCTTTGACACACCTGAGAAAAACAAGCAATGGGGAAAGGATTCCCTATTTAATAAATGGTGCTGGGAAAACTGCCTAGCCATATGTAGAAAGCTGAAACTGGATCCCTTCCTTACACCTTATACAAAAATCAATTCAAGATGGATTAAAGACTTAAACATTAGACCTAAAACCATAAAAACCCTAGAAGAAAACCTAGGCATTACCATTCAGGACATAGGCATGGGCAAGGACTTCATGTCTAAAACACCAAAAGCAATGGCAACAAAAGCCAAAATTGACAAATGGGATCTAATTAAATTAAAGAGCTTCTGCACAGCAAAAGAAACTACCATCAGAGTGAACAGGCAACCTACAAAATGGGAGAAAATTTTTGCAACCTACTCATCTGACAAAGGGCTAATATCCAGAATCTACAATGAACTCAAACAAATTTACAAGAAAAAAACAAACAACCCCATCAAAAAGTGGGCAAAGGATATGAACAGACACTTCTCAAAAGAAGACATTTATGCAGCCAAAAGACACATGAAAAAATGCTCACCATCACTGGCCATCAGAGAAATGCAAATCAAAACCACTATGAGATACCATCTCACACCAGTTAGAATGGCGATCATTAAAAAGTCAGGAAACAACAGGTGCTGGAGAGGATGTGGAGAAATAGGAACACTTTTACACTGTTGGTAGGACTGTAAACTAGTTCAACCATTGTGGAAGTTAATGTGGCGATTCCTCAGGGATCTAGAACTAGAAATACCATTTGACCCAGCCATCCCATTACTGGGCATATACCCAAAGGACTATAAATCATGCTGCTATAAAGACACATGCACACGTATGTTTATTGCGGCACTATTCACAATAGCAAAGACTTGGAACCAACCCAAATGTCCAACAATGATAGACTGGATTAAGAAAATGTAGCACATATACACCATGGAATACTATGCAGCCATAAAAAATGATGAGTTCATGTCCTTTGTAGGGACATGGATGAAACTGGAAATCATCATTCTCAGTAAACTATCGCAAGGACAAAAAACCAAACAGCACATGTTCTCACTCATAGATGGGAATTGAACAATGAGAACACATGGACACAGGAAGGGGAACATCACACTCTGGGGACTGTTGTGGGGTGGGGGGAGGGGGGAGGGATAGCATTAGGAGATATACCTAAGGCTAAATGATGAGTTAACGGGTGCAGCACACCAGCATGGCACATGTATACATATGTAACTAACCTGCACATTGTGCACATGTACCCTAAAACTTAAAGTATAATAATAATAATAAAAATAAAATAAAAAGACCAATATCTGCCCTGAAACAGACTGAAATTTTTCTGCTCGTCTGATTTGTTTTACTTTTTATCCAGATGGTTTGGCATCACAGAGACACAATCTATACTCTGTTTATATTATTTGCCTTCAAAAGTAATTTGCGCAAGATAAAATAAAAATTTTTTAACATAATTCATAACTCTTAGGTAATGGGAGTTTCATGAAGACATATTTGTTACCTAGATTTGGCATCAAAAATTCTATTTGAGTATGACATTTGAACCCTTCCATCAACATTCCTAGGCCCCTAAAATACAAAAGCCCCTTTGTGTTTTCTTCTTCACTCACAGGTATGTTCCAATGATGTTATGAGTTTGGGTATCAATTGCTATAAAGTTGCCTGAATCATGTGGCCTAATTGGAGACCTATTCAGCTCCAATGAGGCTACAAACTCAGTCTCTTCGGAGCTCTCCACACTGCTATGAGGGCACACTGTTAGATACCCCTAACCTATCTCACAGCCCTGCCCTTGGAAACCACTGGTACTGAGGCAGCGATAGGAAGGTCATGGGTGGATCTCTACAAAGTCAGCACCATGACCGGAGAAGCAAAGTACAAGTTGTGCTCGAGGTGGGTGGAAAGCATCTTCAGACTCCAAGTATAGCACACTTTGCTTTCATAAAATATTAGTGGGATGTTCTCGGGCAACTAACAATGTGTCTGATTCCCAACCTAATCTGCCCAAAAGGGCAGTGATGAAAAAGCCTGGCAATTAGCTTGGGCATACAAAATGCAAAAAGGCCACAGGAAGGTTATAGTTCTTCAACCTGCTGGTTGTTTTCATGTTGCAAGGAACATGAACTTCCATTTCTGTTTCTACCCAAAGTGAGCCGCACACTCCAGTTCCTGCCACTGGAGCCATCTTGTTCCTTCATAGCGTCTTTCTACTTCTCTTCTTATTATAATTAATGTACTTTTATCTTGCCTGGAAGTGAAATTTAAAATGTGATTTTAAAGCTATAAGCTAGGTCCATCATCTGTCCTTAAATTTAATAACTGGGATCCACAAGCAAAAACTGCAAGGAAAAAAATAGCAAAAATCAATAATAGCAATTGCCCTATAGTTAAGAGTCTGGACTTTTCACTAGTTTTCTTTGTTGGGAACAATGCTGGTTAGGCTGGCTGTTTTGGTGCCATTTGGCAAATTCACTTTTCCAGGACCCAAATCAACTCCCTGAACTGAGAATTAGATCCTTCATTTGGTGAAAGGAAGCATGCAACTCTTATAAAATCAAAGTCATTTGAAACTTTGCCACTCCCTATTAAAAAACTTAAAAAAAAAAAAACCCTGTTGGCTCAAGGAGTGAAGAAGTGATGTCTTACAGAAAATAATTCATTTCTTTACTTTTCTTACATAACATCCTCCTCTCTCCCTTCTTTCTCCTCCCACAATCCCCTCCCTGACACTTCAGTTTGCCATTCCCATGCACAAAGGACCCAGAGTCCCTTAAAACAGAATGGATGTTCATGAAGAAAGAGAATCCATCGGGCCATGTGAGGGTGGACAATCAAACTCAATTCTTCAGTCAGCAAGATCAGATAACTTTACTCATTTCCTTGACCAGCACAGATCGGTGACACATGATGAATATAGCTAAAAGGAAGAAGCCACTTTAATCCAAATAAGAGTAATTTCATGAGTGTTCAGAATCATGCAGGCTTCAGCATTGCTTTTCTTACCTTTTTCTCTGAGTGGCAAATAAATTCTGTCAAGGGAAATGAAATTAAATTAGTCCTCTCTGGGAGAAAAGAGACAGTTATACTTTTCCAGTGAGGAAGTACTGTTAAATATATATATTATATATTTGTATATATTTATAATATATATATATCCTTAATCATAGTATATCAGTAAATAATTGGAAAACAGTTACTGAAAGTTTGTAGACAAATAAGAGGGAACATTTTTGAAGCCAAACCTAAATAACACAGAACTGCTTTTTAGAGGTTTTCAGGGAAAAATATTTTTCTTCTCAAATATTATCAGGTGGAGAACACTTAAAACCAAACCAAATAGCACTAAACTGCTTCCCAGAGGTTTTTGTGGAAAAATATTTTTCTTCTCAAATATTATCAGAAGGAAAATCCAACTGCCACACTAGAAAAATCCCAGTTGGTTACAGCAATCCAGTTTCCCATCAGCAAGCTTTTGTTGGCCTCAAAGCACTGTATTGGCAGACCAAACGGTAGTGCTGCAGTGAAAGCAGATCCAAAAGCTAAGAACACTAACTACAAATTGTTCCTTCCCTTCTTAGTCTCTTTAGAAGGAAATAAGCTCAAAGGCAAACCAGTGTCCCCCTCATAACCTGAGATTTCTCCTAACTTCCGTGTATGAAGGAGCAATACCATGGCTCAGAGCATGACTTCCATAATCAGACAGAACTGCATTCCACTGCTTCCTCTTCCTAGCAAGTGACTGAGCCTCATTTTCCTCTTCAGGCAAATTAAGCTGTCATCTACTTCACAGTATTGTAAGATGTAAGATTAGGCCGAGTGTGGTGGCTCACGCCTGTAATCCCAGCACTTTGGGAGGCCGAGGCGGGCGGATCATGAGGCCAGGAGATCAAGACCATCATGGCCAATGTGGTGAAACCTGGACTCTACTAAAAATACAAAAATTAGCCAGGCATGGTGGTGTGTGCCTGTAGTCCTGGCTACTTGGGAGGCTGAGGCAGAAGAATCACTTAAACCCAGGAGGCGGAGGTTGCAGTGAGCCAAGATCGTGTCACTGCACTCCAGCCTGGTGACAGAGCGAGACGTGGACTCAAAAAAAAAAAAAAGATGTAAGATTAATGCACCCAAATGACTTAGTCCAGTCTCTAAGTAAATTCTCAATAATACTAGAAATACTTATTAATAGTTATAGAAATAGTTATTTTTATTAATAAATTGGTCATAAGGCTTATGGTTAAGATTCCGAATTTTTATATTTTGTTTTTATTTTTAATTTTTTTTTGTAGAGATGAGGTCTTACTATGTTTCTCAGGCTGGTTTCAAACTCCTGGCCTCAAGCAATCCTTCCATCTCAGCCTCAAAAACGCTAGAATTACATACATGAGCCACTGCACCTGGCTTAAGATTCTATAAATCTTGATATTATTGTGAAAATTATGATGTTGGTTAACAAGATCATGTGTCCTAGAATTTCCAGTAAAATCTCTATTTCAAATATCCTATGATCATGCATACAAAGTGTTGTTTTAGTAACCAGGGTATTCATTGATCATCACTGTAGGTTGTTTGAAATGGAGAAACTTTGGGGAGAGGAAGTGGAAAGAGGGACGAACTCAGAGAATACAGGATTTATTGAACATGAACCCCTAACTGGGGTTCCTGAACTCCTTAGAGATTAATATGAGCAATCTTTTTGTAAATGAAAAATCTTAATAGACATCAGCCACACAGATACAAAGACGCAAAAATATGACCAGCATATTCAACAAGTATATTTAATGCTTTTTGCCATTTAACTGCATATTTAGAGAAGTTCAAAGACATGAAAAAAGAAATGAGAAACACTTTCATAAATATAGCTTGTCATTGAAGTTGTGGTAGCAAAGAGAGTAACAGAAAGGTGTTTGGTGCTGGAAAACCTGGAAACCAACATTTCAGATCAAGTCCTAATGGCTTCAAGGGATTCTACACCAAAGCTAGGCAGGCAGTTACCTAGGAGTAGTCAAGCCTATCAGAAACTTGTCATTTGAGTTTTTGATCCAAGGAACAAAGGAAATGCCACTCTCATAAATCCTCCCCAAGCTCCTCTTACATGAAATCAGCAATTGCCTTCTTTTCAAATCAGAAATACTGTAAATGTGGGCTAGCCACAGTGGCTCATGCCTCCCAACACTTTGGGAGGCCAAGGTGGGCAGATCACAAAGACAAGAGTTCGAGACCAGCCTGGCCAATATGGTGAAACCACGTCTCTACTAAAAATACAAAAAAAATTAGCCAGGCATTGTGGTGCACGCCTGTAATCTCAGATACTTGGGAGGCTGAGGCAGGAGAATTGCTTGACGCCAGGAGGTAGAGGTTGCAATGAGCTGAGATCATGCCACTGTACTCCAACCTGGGCAACAGAGTAAAACTCTGTCTCAAAAAAAAAAAAAAAATACTGTTAAATGTGAAGGGACATTTTCACAGAATTGGTTTGATTAGATCACATTTTTAAAATAAATAGAAAATGTAAAATTGTGTATTTTAACTGAGGGTGCTAGACTTTGTATAAATAAATAACACAACTGACATATCTTGAATGGGATGGTGGTTCTGGCAGTTACTTTTAATAAGGCCTTGGTTCACCTCCCATGCTGTTATCTTTATGTCTCCCTCTGATCAAACTTCACACCTTTGTTGTCTGCATTCAGGAGGCTCTTGAGGCTGTGGAATAGAGCTTACCTCTGTGGGGCATAACTGGCTGGTGTCGGAAGTAGGCTACCTATCTGTTCTATCCAGCAGAGCTTCAACAAAAAACTTGGAAGGAGAAGACCACAGGTGCCCCTTACACACACATAAGCTTACAGGTTTACCATAATTGTCTGCTCTCAATTGAACAGCGCTAACGAGTTGAACCACAGTAACATTCAAAGTGTGAGATTTAAAAATCAGAATGTCTATATTCTAACTCAGTGATTTAAAAGCTGGCCACGACACTCAACACACTTGGACACAAAACAAATTCCATCCACTGACATATTCAAAACTTCCCACTGTGAAGGCTGGTGTGTGGGTCTAAGGGGTGATGCTGTTCATCCCAGAAGAGACGGTTTGAGTGGGAAGCTGAGAAGGAGGAGGAATAAAGGCCCTGCCCTCTTCCTAGGGTCTGCCCTCCACTACGTATCATCATTTTATTTAAAAGTATATCTGGGAATGTCCTGAGCATTTATTTGATTCCTAAATGAGGCTAAATATGTGCTAGAAAATAACTGCTGATAGAAATAAAACAAAAATAAACAGTGAATATCAAAGAATGTGTACCTCCATATAAGCTAAACAGCATTTTTAGTGCTACCTTCAAGGTATTCTGTGCTCAGGCTGTCTGCATTCATCAACCTAGGTGATGTACCTGGTGTGCTACTGAGAGGTGCTCTGAGTATTCCCATCCATCACAAGCAAAAAGAAAAGATACTGTGCTGTCTATAGGAAGATGTGACCTACCCTCCTAGGGCAGGACAGGCATTTGGAGTGTTTCCTTCCCACTTATAACTAAAGATTATATTTATGAGAAGTCTCATAATCTGTATTTATAAAGATTTCCCCTCGTGACCAAAAATTAGATTTATGAGATGCCTCTCCTTTTTCCTTTTTCTTTTTATTATCCTTTATTAAATGAATAATTATACTAGAAGGTACCATTTGTTAACCACCTCATTGGTTCCAGGAACAGTAATATGCCCTTTTCATTTAACTTTGAAAACAACCCTTGAACTAAGTGCTATTATTATAAGAATTAAAGAAAGAGGAGAGAAACAAGAAGGGTGGCTCAACAGTCAACAGGTTTATTTCCAACCATGGAGGGACTTCTGACAGAGTTAGTCAGAAGCTGCACTTTCTTATAGACTAAGAGTTTTTAAGGATTCAGGGAGGGAGAGTTTATCAGAGGCTTGGACTGCTTCTGTGTTTCTTTGTTGTGCTTATCTGGGAGGGAGAGTTGTGTGTCTGTTCCCATACCTCTTTCTGCAGCTGCAGGCATATCCCCCGAGTTTGCCTTTAGTTTCCCTATCTTAGTGCACCTGAAGGGAAAGGTTTGTCTGAGATGATGGTGCTCCTGCTCTGTCAATTATCACATCTGGAAGATGAGAATCAAAGGCTCAGAGATGTTATGTAGGGTGCCCCAGGTCACAATCCTATGAGGTGGCAGAGCTGGAATTCAAGCCCAAGTCACTCCAACTTCAAAACCTATGCCCTTAACCATCTCACTAGACATCTGCCAAGAACCAAACCAGCAGGCCCAGGGCAGATGGGATTATGGCAGCTGGGATCAGGGACACACCAGATACAGCCCTTCCTGCCCAGTCATGCCCAGTTCATGCATCCACAGTACCATGCTTCTCTCTGTCTCCTACTTCTGGCTTAGCTAAGCTGCCTTCATTGACCACAGTCCCTGGCTTTGACTTGGTGAACTTGAGAGGAGAAGTCTTCTTCCAATCGAAGGTTTTTCTCCATTGAAGGGTTCGTGGTCTCACAAGCTTCAAGGAATGAAGCCGTGGACCGCAGCGGCAAGTATCACAGCTCAATTAGAGAAACGCGGGGACCCAAAGAGTATGCAGTGGCAAGATTTATTAAAGAGAAAGCGAAAGTAAAGCTCACACACGGTGGACGGGACCCATAAGGGTTGCCGTTTCTGGCTTGGGTGTCTTATGCTTATATCCCCTTATGACCCCTCCTCTTCTCCTTTTTCTGTCCTATAGAATTAGCTATTTCTATCCGCTTGTGGGTTGGCGGGCCTGATTGGTTAAAAACATCAAGCTGCAGCTAGAGCTTAAACTCCCTATGTGATTGGTTCAAGTTTCAATCCCTTAGCTTACAGCTGTGACTCATTTTGGCTGAGGGGAAAGTCGCCTTTGATTGGTTGAACTTTCAATCCCTTAGCTTGCAGCTATGACTCATTTTGGCTTAGGGGAAAGTCCCCTTAGGGAAGTCCCTGTTGACCCAGGAAGCCAACTTAGCCACTTAGTCCCTCAAACTGACTCCAATCTCTGTTTTTTTTTATTTTTTACCACATTTTCTATTTGGGGGGGTCTGCACTATCCTAAGTCCTTGCCTCTGATTTGAGCCCAGTCAACCCTTCCACAGTTCCATTAGTCTGGAACTCCATCAACCCAATCAACCCTCTCTTTTGTAGATCTGTCTGGAACCCCATGTCATGAACCGGATGCCTAGAACAGTTAACATGCGTGAGCTAATAACATTTTCATAATAAAGGTTTATTAGTGTATGTTTATATATGTGTTAGGCATAAATATGCAGGTATCTTTTTTTAAAATTAATACTAAGATGACCCTCTATCTAGCCTGAGGAGATTCCCACAAGTAAACCCTTTGTTTCTTTCAGGGAATTCTTCACAGTCCCACACAATAACCCTGCAAGATCAAAACCAACTCCACACAACCCTCAAGTTCTTGCTGTTTTTCCCAGGCCTAGCTTGCCACCTACTGGCAAGAAACAGGAGCAAGAATCCAGGAGCAAAGACAGAAAAGGAATGACAAGAATTGAACACGATGCCTCTGCTAAATATTCTAGCCCTTAGTTTCTAGTTTTAGATCTCTCAAGGCCCAGATCTGCCAGACACCTACAGAAAGACTGGAAGCAGTCAAAGGAGGCTTTCTCCTCTAAGGCACTGTTAAGATCTGTTTCTTCTTGAAAACAGAGTATGAACAAATCAATGGTCTTTATGCCCCTCATTGGCAGAAGATCTCCTTCTGTTAAGAAACTACAGGATGAATAAGTTCTGGAGACCTAGTGTACAGCATAGTGACTATAGTTAATAATACTGTTTTGTATACTTGAAATTTGCTAAATGAGTAGATCTCAAGTGTTCTTACCACACACACACCAGTGAGGTGATGGATATGTTAATTAGCTCAATTGTGGTAATCTTTTCACAAGGTATGGGTGTATCAGATATCACCTTGTACACCTTAAATATATACAGTTTTTATTTGTCAATCATACCTCAATAAAGCTGGGAGAATAGAAGAGTTTGGGATTTTTTAAGAAATAAAAAGAAGAAAATGCACAAAAAGAATAGCATCAGAGAGAAGGAGAAAATTTGAACTTCCCAGAGAAAATTCCTAAAGACAGCCAAGGAGGAACTTCCCAGCTCAGTCTATCAGCAGACATCATCAAGAACACAGGGCCCACAGCAGTAGGGCTGTGGACAAAGTGCACAATAAAGCATCTTCTTTCTCTTTCCCTGGATCTTGAATCTGTGAGCCCAATTGAACAAACACCAATCAAATGTAAAAGCCTAAACTAAACCCTTACGTTAACATTTTTACTGACCTGCAAACTGAAAGGTTTTCTAAAAAACGATATTTGCCTAGCTCATATAAAATTATAAATTTCTAAAAATATTAAACATATCAAAAGCATGTCATGCAAATTTGATTTCAATGTCTTATATCCACATCCTCACATCATAAACATCTCACAAATAGCAATCCCTTCCAAAATGACTCTTTTTTAAGCTTTAATTTTGTGCCCCAGCGTTCTGTACATCTTGAGAAAAGATGACAATAAGGAAGAAAAACTGACCAGTCCTTCTCATTTTCCTTCCTTCTCACTTGTCAGAAACTAGAAAAAAAATGCCTCATGGGTTTTAGAAAAATTTCAGATTGTATGACCTCTTCTCTGTTTAAAGTGCAGATGAATTTCAAGTTAATCATAACACATTGACCACACATAATCATTTCCTTCCCCTCCTGACACTCAAAATGACAACAACAAAATAAAAAATATATTACTCACAAGGACAAAGAGAATGTGAGAGGACACAACAGCAGGCAAGGGATTTAAACTCATTTGCAGAAACTTGAGTAAGGGTAGACTTTACAGAGTGATGGCATTTTTACCTCACTGCCCACAGACAGCGGTGCTGCTAAGAAGCATGTGAAACAGGTCCCTGAGATCCTGTTCATCTAAAGGCATCTGACATCAAAGGCAGGGGTAGGGCGTGCGGCTAGAGAAAAAAGAATTGGTTGAAGGTCTAGAGATAGAGTAGTTGGAACCCAGGTATAACCCATTGCTACAGAGCCAGAAATGAAATCTACAACCAATGACTTTGTAGGGAAAACAATGCCTTCTCTGACAATATATCACCCTTAAAGGAGAGCATCTGACAGTTTGATGCTTGGCAGGGAAGACAAGGGCATGAGCAGAAGTAGGGGGAGTTGATCAACAGCCCAGTATTTTATAATTCTCTTGCTCCTGCCATCCAGAAGCAATTACAATTCAGCTTTACTCACCTTTCTCTAGCTTAAACCAATGAAAAAACTCCTGCCTGAGGAAAATGCTCAGATTTGCAAACCACTCAGCAGTAGCAAACAAGACAATTCACAAAGACACTCAGAGCTTAGAAGAGAAATATGTACGTAGCATTGACCACTTTCTTCTGCTAGTTTCAGAACTCATCTTTAAGACATTTATTCCCTACAGAGGGGCAAGGTTTTGGTTTTGATGAACCTCCATATCTCACCCACCAAAAACATGCTTTCTAGCAAAATACTACATGTAATACATTCCCATTAAGACCAAACAAATCAAGCATATAGAGCACCTTACTATGGAATTTTACATGCACACCGAAGCACTTATCTCCAAATCATCTAATAACACCGCCAACTAATTTCCTTAGTATCCTGACCTGAGAAAAATCTCAATATTATGGGTATTTCTGGGAATTTGGGGAACATAGTGAAATTTAGTTTCCATACTATAGGTGTCCAAGAAACATTTTGGTTCTGCTGTTTCTACTGTAACATGACCTGTGCCTCTAACTCCCTTCTGAGGCAAGACTGTTTATTCATTATTAAAAGCAGTAGGAGTTTGTAGAAATACAGAAGTATAAAGCAGATGCTATGGGTGACCTGTGCTTATGACCTCAGCCCACCCTGCTGCTGACTTCTGGCATCCCTATGCCTCAGGAGGTCATCTGGCCATAGGAGTGTGTCTGCCTATTGTGTACAACAGGCCAAAGGGCCAAGGAGTTAATGACCCAATGAAGGAGGAGAGTTGGCAGATAAATACCCTAAGCTTCCTGCCCCTCAATGGGACAATTACAGCTATGTCCCAAATACCATGTCAGCAGGATGGAGGTCTGGTTGTCTATCATTCATTGATGGTTTTCCTTGCCTTACTACCCCACTATCTCATAGTACTTCTGGCCACCACCTCTCAAATAAACAACTTATTATATGGAGTCTCCCAAAAAGCCCAGTGGGAGACAAAACATCACAGCAACACAAACCGTTATTCACCATTTGAGAAGCACGTTCTAACATGTTGCTAGAGACTAAATGGTGGACTGCAGAAAAATCACGAGACCACGTGACCAGGGCTACCCATTCAGAAGCTGGGTATGGCCAGATCACTAAATGCCAAGGTCAGGCAGCCACAACATAAATGCCCAGCACAAGGGAAATGCTACTGATACAGCTCCATTGTCTGGAGAAACACCCAGGGTCCTTGGTGACAAGAACACATGTGGAGTGGATGAAACAGCAGAAAGTTTAATAGGCAAGAAAGAAGAAAACAGCACTCCCATACAGAGGGAGGAGGGCTCTGAACAAAAACTCCATGTGTTGCAGAAAGCAGTCAGTTATATTGGGAGGCTGGAGGAAGTAGTGTCTGATTTACATAGGGCCCAGGGGATTGGTTTGACCAGGTGTGTCATTCACATAGCCTGTGAAAGAACTGGCCCTCCCACCCCGGCCTTTTAATATGCAAATGTGGCTACCTGACAGGTCACCATGATGTCCTGCACATGTGGCCTATACTTGGCTGGTCACCATGATGTCCTGCATACGTGGCAACATAGAAAAAGTGGAGGGAACCACCATATTGTGTGTACCTGGCTTTTAGCCACCAGCATTTGCATATCAATGCTTGCAGATCTGGTTTTTCAGGCTGCTTTCTGTTAGAAAAGAAATGTTTTGGGGACTGTTTTTATTACACAAAAAGCCTTACCAAGGACTCTTTTACTCTCTCTAGCTGCCTAAAATAATTTCTTAATAATTCCTGTAATATTTTCTCCCTCAGGAGATGTCAGCCTAACTGCTGTTAGGGGGTTTGGAACGGCAACTCTTTCTGGCTACTTCCTGCTGAAAAGGGGCATCAAGTGGAAAACAACAGCTAGGGTTCCTCCTGGGGTTGATCTAAGGGTCCTCAAAAGAATGGCTTTTCCATGCATGGTTCTGTTTGCAGCACCACTTGGAGTCTGATTGCTTCTAGGCAGGAGGAAACAATTTGAGTATGCAAGGTCCAAATATTAATACAAGACATGTAAGCAAGAGGCGGCTTAATAAAGGAGCTAACCAATTCCATGAAGAAGACTGGAATTCATTAAAGAGGGATTGTAGCCACCCAGGGCTGAAGCCCGCATTGTCTCTTAGCCTGTCAATGATTTCGATGTGATCTTTAAGTACCTGTAGGTTTTCCTCTACTTGACTAGAGGTGTTAATCCAGAAGCAGCATGTTTCATTTAAAAGTGCACAGGTACCTCCTACTTCAGCTGTAAGAACATCTAAGGCTTGTCTATTTGGTACTACTGCTGAAGCTAAAGCATCTACAGATTACTGTTGTGACTCTATGGCTCCTACAGTTGCCTTCCAACCTTGTTGCATCATAATAGAAATATTAAGTACCAATCTTTTAAGGAGAGGAATGCCAGCAAACCAGAATAGACTTCTGGCTATAGAATTTCCCACACATCATTTTTCTAAGATGGGATTGTGATGTGCATGCCCTCCCCAGTCTTCCCTTTCAGCTAGATCTTCATATGAGGGCACAGAAATGATAGATCTTTGTCCAGTGTATTCAAGATAGTGCAGTTTCTAGAAAAGAACCTAAGATAGGGATGTCCCCAGATGATGCTGCCATCTCAGTAGAATTTAAAAATAATAGGTCATTTAGAGGGAACTTCATAGCAATAAATGCCCACAGGAGAAAGCAGCAAAGATCTAAAAATGACACCCTAACATCACAATTAAAAAAACTAGAGAAGCAAAAGCAAACAAATTCAAAAGCTAGCAGAAGATAAAAACTAACTAAGACCAGAGCAGAAGTGAAGGAGCTAGAGACACGGAACATCTTTTTGAAAAGATTAACAAAATAGAAACATGGCTAGCCAGATTAATAAAGAAGAAAAGAGAAAAGAATCAAATAGACACAATAAAAATAATAAAGGGGATATCACCACTGATCCCACAGAAATACAAACTACCATCAGAGAATACTATAAAAACCTCTGTGCAAATAAACTAGAAAATCTAGAAGAAATGGATAAATTCCTGGACACATACACACTCCCAAGACCAACCCAGGAAGAAGTCAAATCCCTGAATAGGCCAATAACAAGTTCTGAAATTGAGGCCGTAATTAATAGCCTACCAACCAAAAAAAAAGCCCGTTACCAAACAAATTCACAGCTGAAATCCACCAGAGGTACAAAGAGGAGCTGGTATCATTCCTTCTGAAACTATATCAAACAATAGAAAAAGAGTGATTCCTCCCTACCTCATTTTATGAGGCCAGCATCATCCTGATACCAAAACCTGCCAGAGACACAACAAAAAAAGAAAATCTCAGGCCAAGATCCCTGATGAACATTGATGTGAAAATCCTCAATAAAATACTGGCAAACCAAATCCAGCAGCCCATCAAAAAGTGTATCCATCATGATCAAGTCAGCTACATCCCTGGTATGCAAGGCTGGTTTAACAGATGCAAATAAATAAATGTAATCCATCACATAAACAGAACCAATGACAAAAAACACATGATTATTTCAATAGATGCAGAAAAGGCCTTCGATAAAATTCAACACCCCTTCATGCTAAAAATTCTCAATATACTAGGTATTGATGGAACATAACTCAAAATAATAAGAGCTACTTATGACAAACCTACACCCAACATCAAACTGAATGGGCAAAAGCTGGAAGCATTCCCTTTGAAAACTGGCACCAGACAAGGGTGCCTTCTCTCACCACTCCTATTCAGCATAGTATTAGAAGTTCTGGCCAGGGCAATCAGGCAAGAGAAAGAATAAAGGCATTCAAATAGGAAGAGAGGAAGTCAAATTGTCTCTGTTTGCAGATGACATGATTTTATTTTTAGAAAACCCCGTCTTCTCAGCCCAAAATCTCCTTAAGCTGATAAGCAACTTCAGCAAAGTCTCAGGATATAAAGTCAATGTGTAAAAATCACAAGCTTTCCTATACACCAATAATAAACAGAGAGCCAGATCGAGTGAACTCCCATTCACGACTGCTACAAAGAGAATAAAATACCTAGGAATACAACTTACAAGGGATGTGAAGGACCTCTTCAATAAGAACTACAAACCACTGATCAAGGAAATAAGAGAGGACATAAACAAATGGAAAAATATTCCATGCTCATGGATAGGAAGAATCAATATCATGAAAATGGCCATACTGCCCAAAGGAATTTATAGATTCAATGCTATCCCCATCAAGCTACCAGTGACTTTCTTCACAGAACTGGAAAAAAATACTTTAAATTTCATATGGAACCAAAAAAAAGAGACCATATAGCCAAGACAATCCTAAGAAAAAAGAACAAAGCTGGAGGCATCATGCTACTTTACTTCAAACTATACTACAAGTCTACAGTAACCAAAGCAGCATGGTACTGGTACCAAAACAGATATATAGACCAATGGAACAGAACAGAGGCCACAGAAATGATGCTACACATTTACAACCATCTGATCTTTGACAAACCTGACAAAAACAAGCAATGGGGAAAGGATTCCCTATTTAATAAATAGTGTTGGGAAAACTGGCTAGCCATATGCAGGAAACTGAAGCTGGATCCCTTCCTTACACCTTATACAAAAATTAATTCAAGATAGATTAAAGACTTAAATGTCAGACCTAAAACCATAAAAACCCTAGAAGCAAACCTAGGCAATACCATTCAGGACATAGGCATGGGCAAGGACTTCATGACTAAAACACCAAAAGCAATGGCAACACAAGCCAAAATTGACAAATGGGATCTAATTAAACTAAAGAGCTTCTGCACAGCCAAAGAAACTACCATCAGAGTGAACAGGCAACCTACGGAATGGGAGAACATATTTGCAAACTATCCATCTGACAAAGGGCTAATATCCAGAATCTACAAAGAACTTAAACAAACTTACAAGAAAAAAAAAAATCAACTCCATCAAAAAGTGGGCAAAGGCTATGAACAGACACTTCTCAATAGAAGACATTTATGTAGCCAACAAACATATGAAAAAAAGTTCATCATTACTGGTCATTAGAGAAATGCAAATCAAAACCACAATGAGATACCATCTCACGCCAGTTAGAATGACGATCAATAGAAAGTCGGGAAACAACAGATGCTGGAGAGGATGTGGAGAAATAGGAACACTTTTACACTGTTGGTGGGAGTGTCAATTAGTTCAACCATTGTGGAAGACAGTGTGGCAATTCCTCAAGGATTTAGAACCAGAAATACCATTTGACCCAGCAATGCCAAACACCCTAAGGATTATAAAGACACATGCACACGTGTTTATTGCAGCACTGTTCACAATAGCAAAGACTTGGAATCAACCCAAATGACCATCAATGATAAACTGGATAAAGAAAATATGGGACATATACACCATAGAATACTACGCAGCCATAAAAAATGATGAGCTCATGTCCTTTGCAGGGACATAGATGAAGCTGGAAACCATCATTCTTAGCAAACTAACACAGGAACAGAAAACCAAACACCACATGTTCCCACTCATAAGTGGGAGTTGAACAATAAGAACACATGGACACAAGGAGGGGAACATCACACACCAGGGCCTGTTGGGGGGTGGGGGTCTAGGGGAGGGATAGCATTAGGAGAAATACCTAATGTAGATGAGGGGTTGCTGGGTGCAGCAAACCACCATAGCACGTGTATACCCAGGTAGCAAACCTGCACATTCTGCACATGTATCCCAGAACTTAAAGTGTAATAAAAAAAATAAAATAATTCGGGAACTACTGTTACTATAGTACATATTCTCTTCCAAGGCCTTGGGAGGATTAAGTGTAGTCAGGAGCCACAAAGAAAATATAGCCCTGTTCTTTGAAGGGATGGTTCTAAGTTGTGGCTTGTGAGAGACACCAGCAGTTTTTTCTCATATCTTAAAAGTTTCCCCTCTTTACATATAATAGAGGCATCCTTGGATATGGCTAAGATATCAATATTCAGGATAGTCATTTACGATGCCATTTGGAACTGGACATGCCAAGTGAGAAGCGTCCACCTGACAAATGGAGTTTCAAAAATTTACAGACATAATATGCCCTGGCCAATATCTAAGATGATCCTTGTGGCAAGGGCTGTCAGTCCAGATATCTCCGCTTTGCCCACAAATTTGTAGGTTGCTACTATCAGCAAACATCATACAAGGGTCTGGAAGTCCATGAAGGGGCAAGTTTGGAAAGGCCCATGTGTTGTTCTTTACATTATAGTCAAGGTGCTCAGTTAGAGTGTGCCATTTCTATTGGGACTTCCAACCAGAGGAGAGGCTAGATTCTGAAAGCCCCCTACTAGGGCTTCTGATCCTTTTAGATCACCTTTACTGCACTTTCCTCACCAAATCTTTGAACTATCAGCAATTACAAGTATGATTTTACAATATTTGAGATCTCCCAAGTATGGTCCTTCCCTGCTGCTTTTAAAGCAGAGGGAGGTGGCTGGGTGTGGTGGCTCACACTTGTAATCCCAGCACTTTGGGAAGCTGAGGAAGGTGGGTCACCTGAGGTCAGGAGTTCGAGACCAGTCTGGCCAACATGGTGAAACCTCATCTCTACTAAAAATACAAAAATTAGCCTGGTGTGGTGGTGGGCACTTGTAATCCCAGCTATTCAGAAGGCTGGGGCAGGAGAATCGCTTGAACCCAGGAGGTGGAGGTTGCAGTGAGCTGAGATCATGCCACTGCAGTCCAGCCTGGGCAACAGGAGTGAAACTCCGTCTAAAAAATAAAATAAATTAATAAAATTAAAGCAGAGGGAGGCATTTGCTATTATCTGGTCAACTTTTCCCAGCCTGAGAGTGTGAAGCTTATCTTGGGGGAGAGTGTTCTTTGGCACTGGGGGCAGACTGTTTTTCTGAGAGGAGTTAGTTGCCCAGCTGAAAGTGCTCACATACCATGTTCCTACTGCAAATAGTAGAGTGAGTATAACAATTCCCACAAGGATGGCATAGTAAGTAATTTCCATCTAAAATTGTTATTTGCCAAGTTATGGAATTTCTCTTTAGAGTTCTATGAAGTTACAGATGTAATTCCATGGATAATTAAAAATGTCCTTGCAAATATGCCTCAAAAAGAAATTCTAATATTTGGCAGTGAATCTTGAAAGGAAAGGTAGAAATGACAAAAAATATTTGGTGAGGTAGGGGTGGAAATGAGTAAGATGAGTAGTTCTCACTCAGTGACTTCTCTTTTATCATTTTCAGCTTAAGGCCCCCTATTTCTTCACATTGATATTCAGGATGTTCCTGTGGGCTGTCAGGGGTTGTTCCCTCAGCTCTCCAGGCTTTGACTCAAGTGCAATGCATCCAGGAGTCTATTCCTGTAAATTTTATTGCCGAGGGGGTTGAAAGAAGAACAATGTAAGGCACTTCCCAGCTTGGGCTTAAGGAAGCAGAGAGAGAAGGGAGAGACTTTACCAGTACCAAATCTCCTGGGTTAAATAGAGGTGATCCTGTTTCCTGGGGTTGGACTTTTGCTAATTGCGCTAATTCCTGTTGGAGATGAGCCAGAGAGGTTACATGCTTAACTAACTCAGAGGTTTCCTGATCTAATAGAAAATCATTGGTAAGGAAAGCCTGTCCATACAGCATCTCAAAAGGGCTAAGACCTACTTTTGAAGGGGTATTTCTTATTTGTAGTAAGGCCTTAGGAAGAAGAGTGGCCCAAGGAAGGTGAATTTCTTGGGATAATTTTCTGAGGTGTCTCTTGATAATATCATTATTTTTCTCTACCTTTCCTGCAGACTGGGGTCTCCAAGCACAACGTAGATGATATTCTATGTCTAGTGCTTTTGAGACCCCTTGTGTGACAGCTGCCTTAAACACGGAGCCATTGTCACTTTGAAGGTACTTAGGTAGGCCAAAGCAAGGAGTTATTTCATTAACTAACACTTTTATTACCTCAGAGGCTTTTTCTATGCAGCATGCAAATGCTTCTACTCAATTAGTGAAAGTATCTACCTATACCAAGAGGTATTGAATGCCCTTCATCTTTGGCATGTGGGTGAAGTCTATCTGCCAGTCTTCCCATGGATAACTTCCTATTCTTCGGGTTTGAGGAGGAAGGAGTCGCCTATTCCGGGGATTATTTTGAAACAGAATTCACCAGCATTAACAACTTGTTTGAATGTTTCTAGTAGGTTCTCTCCTGAAAACAATCTCTGGGCACATTGATAAGTTTTATCCTTTCCCAAGTGAAAAGTTTGGTGAAGGATTTTAAGGACTTTCCATTGGCTGGAGGCTGGCAAGAAGAGTTTGCCATTCTCTGACTATAGACATCCTGAGGGCTGAAAAGTATACCCTCGAGCACTGGCCCATTCTATTTCTGTAGGGAAGTACTGAAGTTTAATTTCTCTTATGGAGCCTCCCCAGATTAGAGAGGTTTGAAGTGTGTTGATGTCCTGAGACTTCCTTGCCACTGACTTACTTGCCTCATCAGCTAATCTATTTCTTTCAGCTACTTCATCTGTTCCCTTTTGATGTCCCCTATGATACATCACAGCTATTTCTCATGGAAGGAAGACTGAGGATAATAACCTATTAATTTCCTAGTGATATTTTATAGGAGATCCATTAGTGGTAAGAAAATGTCTTTCCTTCCAAATGGCAGCGTGAGCATGGAGAACCAGGAAAGCATACTTGGAGTCAGTGTAAATGTTAACTACCTTTCCTTTGCTTAATTCAAGTGCTCTTTTAAGGGCTATTAGCTCAGCTAATTGAGGGCTTACGCCTGGAGAGAGAGAAGCACTTTCAGTGATGTCATTTAGAGTGACTACTGCATATCCTGCCCTGCAGATTCTCTGTTCTATAAAAGACCTCCCATCTGTGAAGAGGGTCCAGAGTGGGTTCTCTAGGGGAGTTTCCCTGAGATATTTCCTGGCTGCATAGGTCTGTATTATGACCTGTTCACAGTCATGTTCAGGTTCCCCAGTTTCTTTGGGGAGGAAGATGGCTGGATTTAGGTGAGAACAAGTTTTTAATGTGATGTCAGAACCCTTTAACAGCAGGGCCTGATATTTATTTAATGAGTCAGCTATCTGTTAGCCAAAGGCTTCCCCTACAGTACAGTAGTCCTGCCATGTTTTGTAGGGTATAAACAGTTAAATCATTTTCCAGGGTTAATTTGGATGCTTCTGGGACCAGTAGGGCCACTGAGGCAACATTTCAGAGGCATGCTGGTCATCCTTTAGCCACCAAATCAAGTTCCTTACTTAGATAACCCGCTGGTTGTTGAGTTTGTCCTCAGGCCTGTGTTAAAATTCCCAGGGCCATTCCCTTACTTTTTGATACATACAGATTGAAGGTCTTTCCTACAGGAAGGCTGAGAGTTGGTGCCTTAAGCAAGGTTTGTTTTAGCTGGTCAAAGGCCTTTTGACCATTAGGTTCCCAGGTTAAAAGATGAGTTTTAGCTCACTGAGTTTCTTTTATGAGGTTTTATAACAAACGAGCTATTTCACCATACCCAGGTATCCATAGTCTACAAAATCCTGTAATGCCCAAAAATCCTCATAGTTGCTTGAGGGTTTTGGGGAGGCGGAAGCAAAAAATAGGCTGAATCCTTTCTTCCCCTAAGGCTCTGGTCCCCTCTAACGGCACTAAACCTAGGTACTTCACTGAGGTTTTGCAAAGCTGGGCCTTGAATTTTGAAACCTTACATCATCTGCTAGTTAAGAAGTTAAGAAGAGCTTCAGTGCCTTCCTGAGATGCTTCCTCAGTTGGGAAACAGAACAGAATATCATAAATGTACTGCAAAACCATAACTTGAGAGTGGGAAAACTCAGAGAGATCTTTCGACAGTGCTTGTCCAAACAGATGAGGACTATCTCAAACTGCCTGAGGCAGCACCATCCATGTTAACTTGGCAGTTTGGCCGGAGGGATTTTTGAAGGCAAACAGGTATTGAAAATCAGGATATAATGGTATGCAGAAAAAGACATCCTTTAAATCTAGCACTGTAAACCATTTAGTTCCCTCAGGTATTTCAGTTAACAGGTGTAGGGATTAGGGACCACTGGATGGATTGGAACTACAGCTTCATTAATAAAGCAGAGGTCCTGAACTAGTCTCCATCCCCCATTGGGTTTCTGTACTCCTAACGTTGGGGTGTTGCATGGGCTATTACAGGGTTTGAGGAGGTCCTGCATCTTTAGGTTATTAATAATGGCTTCTAGCCCTTTCCTAGCCTCTGGCCTTAGGGGATATTGTCTCTGGTTAGGAAAAGAAGATGGATCTGGACTGGCCTAGAGGTTATAGCTCAACCTATTCTTCCTTGAGTTGCCCACACTTCTTGATTAATATTAGCTTCCATCAGGGAGAGACAAAGAGTTTGTCCTGGGGCTATACGGATGCTGGCCCCCATGCGAGCTAGAATATCTCTACCTGATAAAGGAGTGGGACTTTCAGGCATGATTAAAAAGACATGTGTAAATAATAGGTACCCCCCTCATCTGCAGCTAAGGGGTTGAGAAAAATATTGGATTAGAGTTTTTCCTGAGACACCACTTACAGCCGCGCTATGGGAAGAGGGGAGGCCTAGATTCAAGAGGAGAAGAGAGAGACTAGCTCCAGTATTCAGAAAGAGATCTACCTTCCTTCCTTCAATTTCCAGAATCACCCGGAGATCCTGTGCTGTAATGGCAGTCTGAGCTGCTGGAGCTAGGGGTTCAAGCCCTGGCACCTCTCAGTCCTGCTGGACCATCTGTAAGACTGGTTCTGAACCCAGTGATCTCCATCTCCAGGGGCAGTTTGATTCTCCAGTGGTCTCTGCCACAGGCTGGACAGGGTCAAGGTGGCTTCTTCTTGCTGCCTGGGCATTCCCTCTTAAAATGCACTGACTTGTGATGTTGATAACAGCTAGTGGATGCGCCCTGGGGATCCAGGACTTTGCAAGCTTGCAACGCTGCTACTACAGCCTCTGTCCTTCTCTTGGTTTCCTCTCCTTTCCTTGGGCCTCCTCCTGATCCCTACTGCAAAAGGCCAAAGTGGCTATTCTCATGAGGTTTTCTAGGGTGCTATCTGGTCCTATAGCTTGCTTCTGTAGTTTTCTTCTAATATTGGGAGCTGCCTACATAATAAACTTGTCCTTCAGGATGAGCTGCCCCTCGACTGAATTGGGGGATAAAGAAGTGTGTTTTATTAGTGCCTTTCTCAGCCTTTCCATAAAGGCTGTGGGATTCTCATCTGGTTTTTAGTCTATCATGGACAGCTTAATTAAGAGGTTTGGCCCTGGTTTTTCATAAGCCTCTAGTATGCATATTAAAAAGTGCTTCCTTTTCCATTCATCTACTGATTTACTGGGGTTCCAATCAGGGTTGTCTACCAGAACTGCTTCTCTTCCTAGTGGGAATGGAGTTTCCATTACTTCTTCACCTTTCCCATCCCCTTTTCTCTCTTTGGTCTGCTATAGGAGACATGCTGCTCATCGCCACATTTTTCTGCTGCCTGCAGAACTGCCTGCTTTTCGGCTGCAGTAAGGGTCTGACCTAGGAGCAACATAACATCCCTCTGTGTGAGGTCAAACGCCTGAGTTAAATTTTGGAAAGTTTCTATATATCTATCGGGGTCATCAGAAAATTGGCCTAAGTCTCCCCTTATTTGCTTAAGGTCCTGTAATGAGAGGGGAACATGAACCCTCATGGCACCATTTCCATCAGACATTTCCTGCAGAGGTAAAAAGTGGGGAAAGTGGGTAATACTGGAGATGGTAGAGCTGGAGGAGCTGATGGTATGACTGGAGGGGGTTCTGGATGAGGGGCACTAGGAGGGTTGGGACATTCAACAGCTGTCTCAGATTGCTCCTCTGGAATCTGCTTTAGCTCTGGGGAACTATTCCCTGTGGGTTTGCCTGCCATGGCTGCTAAGAGAACTAGGTCCATTGTGCAAAGCTTGTAAAGGTTTGGGTTGTGTTGCAGGGCAAAGAAAGCCTGTACATAGGAGACCTCAGGCTATTTGCCCTTCTGTCTACAGAAAAGATCTAATTGTTGGATAATATTAAAATCAAGGCTCCCTCCAGCAGGCCAGGTTTGTCTGTCCCCAAGATGGTAAGAAGGCCATGCCCTGTGCAACAGAATATGAGGCAATTTTTATTCAAAGTCTCAGGGTCACAGGAGTCCCAGTGCTTTAGAATACACTCCAGGGGAGTGCATGCTGAAGATGATCTGTTACCCATCTAGAAAGAGAAGTGAGAAGAAGGTGTCCCTGAAGTCTCCTTCCTTTCTGTGTGAGACCCAGGGTAGAGAAGAAGATAGTGGGAGCATCCCCCCTGACTGTTTTTTCCTCCTTGGTTCCTGGCACCCTGTTAAATGTGCCACCCATGGTTGTAGGCATGACCCTCCAAACCATGGCAACAGAGATACTAAGCTATTGGGCTAGTCACAGTCACCCAAGTACCTCTAGTCATCAGCCTGTGATTTCCCTTTGACTTCCTAGACTTGTGTGACCTGTGTGCCTCCCTCAAAAAAAAAAAAAAATACCTTGGGAAAGATGATATAAAAGGCAAGTCTCCTTTAATGGAGGGAATGTGATAGATTGCCTGCTATTATGGTCCATGCTAAAGCATTTACCCTTAGAAAAATGGTTCTGTTTAACTTCCGGACTTAAAATCCCCTTACTAATTAAGTACTGTCTTAATCAGAGACAGAATAGGTGTCTTAAAGGGACATGGGGACCTAATGGCGATTTTCCTGCTAATGGGACAGTATCGGGACTAAAATTTGGCTGCAGAGGACATTTTACTCCTAATTGTTGAAGGCAGAACTTTCCCATTCACAGAAGCAGCATAAAGCCTGGTTTCCAATAGAAAGGTGGAAAAAGGAAAAATTGGGAAGCTGCAATGTTCAGCAGAGGACCAGCAATGTGTCTTATAAAGAGGATTTATATTTCCATTAGGTGGGCTCTTGGCTTAGAAATACCACGTACTCACCAGAGGAATAGTAGCGAATGACCTCACTATGGGGGAAAGGGAAGACCTCTGTTGCTAGAAGAGTGCAGCGGTATTGTCCTGAGCTATATCCCCGGTTACTACAGCATTTCCTGATCTTGCCTAATAGGATTACTTCCCTAGGCTATAAAAACTCATACATATTCAATACACAGAGAGAATAAGAGACAAAGCAACCACAGATAGAAAAAGAAGGAAAGTTTTGTGACAGGATAGCTGGAGATCCTTCAACAACACCTGGGCAGGCTGTCAGAGGCTGGGTCCGGTCCAGAAGCCTTTGAATAACACCAGGGTGTGCCCCAGCCAGAAATTCTTAGTTGCTTCAGGACTTTTCCCAGCCTCACACAATGGCTAAGATTCCCCGTGAAAAGAAGATAGTTTGAAGCATGGCCAACATTCCCAGTGACCCATGGGTATTCGGGGGTTCTCCATGTTCTCCCCAGCAAGCCTGACATCCAAATCTTTAAGAACGTCTGCCATGCTAGCGTATCTAGACAGCTGACAGATGCCCATTATTGATTTGATTTTTTTTTTTTTTTGAGACAGAGACTTGCTCTGTCACCCAGGCTGGAGTGCAGTGGCATGATCTTGGCTCACTGCAACCTCCAATCCCAGGTTCAAGCAATTCTTGTGCATCAGCCTCCCAAGTAGCTGGGACTACAAGCATGCACCACTACACCTAGCTAATTTCTTGTGTGTGTATTTTTAGTAGAGATGGGGTTTCACCATGTTGCCCAGGCTGGTCTTGAACTCTTGAGCTCAGGCAGTCTGCCCACCTTGGCCTCCCAAAGTGCTAGGATTACAGGCATGAGCCACTGTGCCTGGTCAATTTGATTTGATTTTAAAATGGAGGCCAAGAGCTTGGAATGAAAGGACAGATTTTGAGTTTACTCCTCTGCTCACCGCTCTGATGAATGTTGTAGCTTGGCTTCCTGGCCAACACACCACTACATTTAAGATTAGGCCTGAGGAGGTCTGGCAGACACAACTAAGTTACACGGAAGGGTGACCCAGATGCTAAGTTGCCAAACTCTTGAACTCTTGCCGCTTCCTTAGTTCTTACCTATGACCTTGTGAGGGATTTCCTAAGATCAGCTGGTGGAGAGAGAAAAAAATAAAGCTCTCCCAGTAGAAAGAGCTTTGAGCAGCACATGTAGTCATTAACTGTTGGGGGGAGGAAAAAGTGGCCAGAGGCAGAGATATTCAAGAACTCCTGGGAAGTGGTAAACAGCTCTGTTGGCTGGTCAGGGCCTGAAAAAAGAAAGGGAGAAATATTGGAAGATAGGATCAAGGAAGTCTGGAGAAGGAGCACATGTATATGTCTTTGTGATTCAGGTCAGTGCCTACCAGATCATTCATCAAAGAGGGCTTACACAGGAAGACTCATCCTGTGCTGGTAGTCAGCCTCTGTTCTCAGGCACTCCATTGTTTTCACAGTAAGTTGTGACTAGAGTAATCATGGTGGCAGGGATGGAAGCTATGCCAAAGCCTGATAGCACAGGCCCTTCTTATCAAGAATACTTTAGTTACTACCACTGCTAAATATCAGTATCAGAAACCAATACTAGCCAGGTGCAGTGCTCACATCTGTAACCCCAGCACTTTGGGAGGCCAAGGCAGGAGGATTACTTGATGCTAGGAATTTGAGACCAGCCTGAGAAACACAGTGAGACCCCATTTCTACAAAAAAATTAGCCAGGCATGGTGGTTCATACCTGTAGTCTCAGCTACTCAGGAGGCTGAGGCAGGAAGATCACTTGAGTCCAGGAGTTCAGGGCTACAGTGAGCTATGATTGTGCCACACTGCACTCTAGCCTGGGC
Organism: Homo sapiens; assembly: GCF_000001405.40. Classification (NCBI taxonomy): domain Eukaryota; kingdom Metazoa; phylum Chordata; class Mammalia; order Primates; family Hominidae; genus Homo; species Homo sapiens. Next base: position 115,086,163 of record NC_000005.10, read on the forward strand.
AACAGAGTGAGACCCTGTCTCAAGAATAAACGATTATTTTTTTAATAAAAATTTTAAAAAGAAACTAAGACAGGCACAATGGCTCGTGCCTGTAATCCCCGCAATTTGGGAGGCTAAGGCAGAAGGAATGCTTGAGCCTGTGAGTTCAAGACCAGCCTGGGCAACATAGGGAAACCCCATCTCTACAAAAAAGTAAAAACTAGTTGTGTGTGGTGGCACACTTGTGGTCACAGCTACTGGGAAGCCTGGGAGGTCAAGGCTTCAGTGAGTGGTGATTGCACCACTGCTTCACTGCTTTCCAGCCTGGGCAACAGAATAAGACAGGAGTGAAGGGAAGGAGGGAGAGAGAGGGAGGGAGGGAGAGAGGGAAGGAAGGAGGGAGGGAGGGAGGGAGGGAGGGAGGGAGGGAGAGGAAAGAAACCAATACTGAGCCCTAAATATGGCATACATTCCCTCAAGGAAGCCAATAAATCACTTGGTGACAAGTTGATTTCCTTACACACTAGAGAAGCAGTGATTCATCTTTACTGGGACGGATGTGTAGTCCAGGTAACATTTGCCTTCTTTGCCTATACTGCCTATATCAACATGATTATTGGAGGGTTCATAGAGTATGTGACTTACCAGTAAGAGGTCCTATATAACATCTACTTGGACTAAGGGACCCACTTTATAACAATGCAACAATGGGCACATGTTCACAGGATCCACTGGTGCTATCATTTACCACTCCACCCAGAAGGCTGCCAGTGTGATAGAACATTGGAATAACCTGTTAAAGACACAGCTATTGTTCCAGCTTGGGAATGTCACCCAGTTGAGGTGTAGTCCTTCAAGATAAGATATAAACATTGAATCAACAGACATTATGTGGTTAGTGTCCTGAGTAGTTAAAATACATAGGACTAGAAATGAAGGGGTATGAGTAGGAATAACCCCTGATATGGTCTGAATGTTTTTGTCCCCCAAAAACTCTTACGTTGAAATCTTAAACCCTAAGTTGATGGTATTAGGAGGTGGGGGACTTTGGAAAGTGATTAGGTCATGAGAGTGGCACCTTTATGAATTGGATTAGTGCCCTTATTAAAAAAAAGGCCCAAGAGACCTAGATCATTGCTTCCAACATGCAAGTTTACAGTAGAAGTTGCAGTCTGCAACCCGAAGAAGGCCTTTGCCAGAACTCAATTATGCTGGTAACATGATCTCAGATTTCCAGCCCCCAGAACTGTGAGAAATGCATTTCTGTGGTCTGTAAGCCACCCAGTGTGTGGTATTTTGTTATAACAGCCCAAATGGACCAAGATTTGGGCCAAGCCCAAATGGACAACCCCTCTCACCATCACTTCCAGTGAACCACTTATGTATGTTGGGATTCCTCTCCTTACCACTTTAGGTTCTGCAGGGTTAGAAATTTTAGTCTACGGGCATGGAATATACACAACAGAGTTCTACTAAACCTAAAGTTACCACTGCTTCCTGATCATCTGGGGATCCTCTATAGAAGTTAATAGACTAGCAGGCATAACTGATGAGGACTGTGATGAGGAGACATGGTTGCTGCTATATAGTGGGAGCAGGGAGAATGTCAGTGGATCACTGGGGTGCCCGTTAATGCTTCCATAACCTTCCAAGTGCAAGATCACCAGGGAGCCAGACTCAACAGGGAAGAAGGTCTGATCATCCCATTAGGTGAGCAACCTAGACCAGTAGAAACATTAACTAAAGAGGAGGGGATTCCAGAATGAACATTCTGTGAAGGAGAGGATGAATATCCCCACAGCCTGGGAACAACTGCAGCAGCATCCCACCAACCACCCTGCTGTTACATCCTTCCATCAGGGGTATGATTAAGGCCATTTTAAAGAATTAGTGACAGAGTGAACTTAACATGGGCACGTTAATAAGCAATACAAAGGACGTGCTGTGAAAGATGCACTCATGCCCTGCCCATATCCCCTTGACACACCCTGGAGGTCATCTGAAGACAACTCCCTTACTGTCCACTGGCTTCCTGTGCCTCTCAGCCCGCAGGCACTCTCCAGCCCAGGACTGTGCTTGGCTCACACATGGGGCAGGCTGGAAGTACCAGGGAGTTAATGTCTCAGAGACTGTCAACCAGAGCTGAAACTGATAATGACCCAGCTTTCTCACCTCTTGGTGGGAAATGTTGGGATTATTTTCCACAGTTTCTTAGAAGGATCTTAATAAGAGTGAGCTCCAGTCACCCTCAAAAAGTAACCCATTATTAGTGCAGCCTCAATGGCTTTCTTCCTTTTCCTGGCTCACTTCCCCACGTTCACCCACCGCATCCTGTGATCACCTTCCTATTCAACTTCTTACACCCAAATCCTTGACTAAAGTCTACTTTTGGGGGAAACCCAGGTTAAGATAAAAAGACAAAGAAAATTATCATATTTTCCAACTAACAGAATAATATGTGGCCAATGAAAATATGTACATAGAAATACAGAAAGATGCATGGTTTACAATATTAACTGAAAAACAATTGTTTGTCTATTCTAATTACAACCACAAGTAAGTAAAAACAGATCCTTGGGATGGAAATATACAGGGATGATCATCACTTGTTGGGGCTGAGGAAAAACATTTTTTAAGGAGGGAGAAATTAGAGTGTTAAAGTGCCCAGGGTTCAAGTGAGATAAGCGTGACATTACTCCCTGTTATGTTTGGACTTTTGTGCGCAGCATTGTTCTCAGCAGTCACAGATCTGCTGGTTGCAGCAAGATCACCACCATCCTCAGTACTGCCAATTATTTTCCCCAAAGCTGCTCATTTACTCACAAAGGATGGGAAAGCTCAGTTGATTCTGGCTGTGGCTGTAGAAAGCCTAGATTGGAGAAGCCAGACTAGCAATATGCAATGCTCATAAATTAATCCTGGTTTGGAAGAAAAGCTTGACTTACAGGTTTGGATATTCAGTAGCAAAACCCTGTACCCCACAAACTACAATTAAGTATAACCTGTCTTCTGAGTCCAGGGGGACTGAAAGTGACTAAGCCATAAGAATGACCTATATGGCCTCTGGCATTGGAAATTTTCCTTTTACTGAGAAAAAACAGATTAGCATATGCCAATGGCCAGACCATAAATGAAAAAGATTTAATTATTTACCATATAAAAGTATAAAGCATTTGGGGGGAAACTATACTACAAAAAAGAAAGTCAGAGCTGGGTGTGGTGGTGTGCTCCTGTAATCCCAGCTATTTGGGATGCTGAGGCAGGAGGATCACTTGAGCCCAGGAGATAAGAGACCAGCCTGGGCAACACAGGGACACCTTAATCTCAAAAAAAGAAAAACTCAAGAGCTAAACAAGAAACTGGGGGAAAAAAATCTTGCAATATATATGGCAAAGGGTTAATATCCTTAATAAATAAAAAAAGAAGACAGATGGTGAATAATCTTTATTCATCAGTTTCACCAACATATTTGCCCTGAACAGGATTGTCAGCTCTCAGTAGATATCTGGAACTCTATGCTGACTTAGGAGGAAAATTTAAATAGTCTACTGGTAAAAAGAAGTCAGCATTTGTCAGTGACAGTAGAACTGCTAGAAACTAGAGAAATCCAGGAAAAGCATGGCTTCATTTCCATGTTTTCACACTGAGCAAAATGAGGAAAGGAAAGTGTTATATTGGGGCTGAACTGGCACATTTAAAATATAGAACAACTTATAACCCTGTGTTCTGGGGCTTCCTGAAAGTTAACAAAGATCTAGCAAGCTACAGGGGAAATAAATAATAGGAGAATCATTCAATAACAGCTCTGTCTTTAATAAAGCTAATGTTTTGACAATTTTATAATGTTTGTATGGTTTTTGTTTTGTGGTAAGCTCAGAAGTAATCACAAAATATAATATGAAAGCATTATTATGATAAAAATAAAAACAACAAAAACAGATTGAACTAAGAGCAAAGGAAATCAATTCAATACCTTGCATTTCTCAAGGACTGATAGCTACACAGAGGGAGATAGCTACCAATACTGTAATTTGAGGGGCCCTAGAAAGGCTCCAGTGGAGATAATTCCTCTCATTTCCTCCTCTGAAATTCAGCCTTTGAAATTTAATTCGTTAAGATCTCAAACGCCTTTGGTTTCTTATGCTAATAAGGACAAGGATATCAGCCTAAAGTCATTTCCAACTATCACCCTTTCAAGGCCCCAGTGGAAAGAGAATTGAGACTAGAAAATGAGGTGAGAACCCTAAAAAGGGGAAACCTGGGAGGAGGCAAATACACATTTCTAACCATTCTAGTTGTACCAAGGTCAACATATCTCCCAGGCACACACATCACACAGGGACATCTGAAAGGGAGAGAACTGACAAGGAAACCTGCATAGATTCTAGAGCAGGTGCTCGCTAAGGTGTAACTTGCTGGCTTAGAAGGTACTGGCAAAGACACAGGGTTGCAGACATCGACTTCTTAGCAGATATCCTCCCACTCACTGCCTCAGCCTTCAGGGCTTCTTCAGAATTTCACAAATGCACCTTTGTTGTTGTTGTTGTTGTTGTTGTTGTTGTTATTGTTGTTGTGACAGATATTTGCTCTGTTGCCCAGGGTGGAGTGCGATGGTACTGGCTCAGCTCACTGCAACCTCCTCCTCACAGGTTCAAGCAATTCTCCTGCCTCAGCCTCCCAAGTAGCCAGGATTACAGGGGCCCACGACCATGCCTGGCTAATTTTTGTATTTTTAGTAGAGACGGGGTTTCACCATGTTGGCCAGGCTGGTCTGGAACTCCTGACCTCTGGTTATCCACCTGCCTCAGCCTCCCAACTTGAGCCACCGCACCTGGCCACAAATGCACCATTTCAAAGGAGTTTCCCCCAAGATGAATAATTGCCCCAGCGGTGGGCTTCCAACTTCCCTGCAGCCATGCCTGCCCTCTGCATTTGCATATCTTGCTGGGTTTTCACAACAAAAAGAGTTGGTCACAGGTGAATCAGCAGCTCAAGAAAAGCACAAATATTTTTCTGAGAAAATAAAATAAAAAGCTAAAAGCTTGCAAAGCCACCAGATGCTGAATACCTCAGAAAAAGAATTGCTTTGTAATACTGCTTTGAAAGGAGCTTTCTAAGCAGATGAGGTTCTCCCTCCTTCTAAACCACCTCCCAGCAAACCAGATATTCAGGTCATTCTCATTACTTTCTGGGGGTATCTCCATAGTTTAGAAGGCAAGATCACAAATTTTTTTTTTTTTTCCTGAGACAGGGAGCTCTGTTGCCCAGGCTGGAGCGCAGTGGCAGGATCACCACTCACTGCTGCCTCAGGCTCCCAGGCTCAAGCAATTCTTCCATCTCACCCCTATGAGAAGCTGAGACTACAGGCATGCCACCTTGCCTGGCTAATTTTTTTTTTAATAGAGATGGGACTCTCCTTATGTTGCCCAGGCTTGTCTCAAACTCTTGGACTCAAGAGATCCTCCTGCATCAGCCTCCCAAAGTGCTGAGATTACAGGCATGAGCCCCCATGCCTAGCCATAAGGTCACTAAGTTCCAAAGAAAACTAACATTTCTTTAGCACTTACCAATGTCAGGCACTATGAAAGTGACTTTCATGCATTTAATCCTTAATTCACCTCTATTTTGGGTATGAGAATAATTATCCCTGTTTTACAAATGTAGGAACTGGTACTTATAGAGCTCAAACCTATGCTCAAAGTCAGCAACTGAGGCAGAGCCAGACAGCAAAGTAAAAAGAAAAGCCTGCTGACACTACAGCTAGAGCCCTTCCCCTTCTGCACTGTACTCTCAGATTCACAAATATGGGGAAAAAAATGCACCTAAACTTGGCCAAGATCTACAAAGGTCAATTGAATAAAGGAGCTAGAAATACTTGGGTGAGCTTTACTGGGGAAAGGGGGGAGGGAAGTAAAAAGTGGCTCCTCCACTACTTAAATAGTGTCAGTACAGTAATTCATGAAGCAGGTACTTACGAGCTCATGCTGTGTGCTAGACAGTGTTCTGAGCACGGGAGATGGACTAGAGGGGGACAAATCAAATCCCTAACCTCATGGAGTTTAGATTGATAATGAAGACCTACAACATTGCAGCTGGCAGTGAGAGACAGGACTAGCTGGATTTCCTAGGCCAACTAAGAATCCCTAAGCCTAGCTGGGAAGGTGACCACATCTACCTTGAAACACAGGGCTTGCAACTTGGCTCACACCTGACCAATCAGCTAGTAAAGACAGCTCACTAAAAGGCTAATTCGGCTAAAACAGGAGGTAAATAAATAGCCAATCATCTATCACCTGAGAGCAGAGGGGGATGGATAATGATCGGGATACAACCCCAGGCATTCCAGCCAGCAATGTCAACGCCCTTAGGGTCCCCTCCCACTGTATGGGAGCTCTGTTTTCACTCTATTAAATCTTGCAACTGCACACTCTCTGGTCTGTGTTTATTCCCGTTCGAATTGAGCTTTTCCTCACCATCCACCACTGCTGATAGCTGTCGTTGCAGACACCGCTGCTGACTTCCACCCCTCCGGATCTGGCAGGGTGTCTGCTGCACTTCTGATCCAGCGAGGCGGCACCCAATTGGGCTAGAGGCTCCCCATTGTTCCTGCCTGGGGTTTGTCCTAATCGAGCTGAATAGAGCTATAACACTCACTGCATGGCCCAAGATTCCATTCCTTGGAATCCATGAGGCCAAGAACCCCAGGTCAGAGAACAAGAGGCTTGCCACCATCTTGGAAGCCGCCCACCACCTTCTTGGAAGCAGCCCACCACCATCCTGGGAGCTCTAAGAACGAGGACACCCCGGTAACAGCAGCATGGGCTATGAAGAAAAACAAGGAAAAGTGGTGTGATTTTGGAAAGGGTGGCCAGGGAAAGCCTCTCTGAGGAGAAGACACTTGAGCAAGAGGCCTACCTGAAGCAAAGGAGTCAGCCATCCACAGGGCTGAGGGAAGAGTTTAGGCTGAGGCACCGTAAGTGCAAAAGCTCTGAGGAGTTCATCTGACTTGTTCCAGGAACAGCCAGGCCAGTGAGTCAGGATATCCATGAGTGAGGAAGACTGGTAGGAGAGGAGGTCAGAGAACCAGCTATGGGACAGGTAATAGGACTGTGTTTCTCAAATTTTAGCCGGTCTCAGTCTCACTAGCATACCCTGTGTGTGAAAACTCATTTTGCTGGCTACCCCTAGAGTTTCTGCCTCAATAGGTGGGGCCTGCGAATTTGCATTTCTAACAAGTTCCCAAGTGATACTGATCCTGCTGGCCTGGGGACCGCAGTATGGCAGCCTTCCAAGTCCTGATAAGACTTTGAATTATGTTCTAAATGTGACTGGAAGCACTGGAAGATTCTGAGCAGAGGATGAAGAAAAGTTATAATGGGACAAGGGTAGAAGCACGGAACCAGAATGGAAGCCATTACAAGAGTTCAGGCAAGAAATAGTGATGGTCTAGAATGAGAGCAGCTGTGTTGGAAAGTGGGGAAATGGTCGGACTCAGACTTTCTGAAGGTAGTACTGATGCACTTGTTCATGGACCTATGTGACATGAGAGGCAAAGAGAAATCAAGAGGTGAGTCCTAGGCTGTAGACTGACCTACTGAATGGAAGCATTTGCTAAAATGGGAAGATAATTTTGGAATTGGGTTTCATTTTGAACACAATTACTTTGAGATTCCCATTAGACATCCAAGTGGGGTAGTGAGTGGGCAGATAAATTACACGTCTCAAGCCTTGGGAGACGTCCAGGACAGAGGTATAAATTTGAAAGGTATATTTTTATAACCAATAGGTACAATAATAGGGCTAGATGAGATCATGAGAGAGTGAGTGCAAATGCTCACTCTCTCTTGGCCCAAATACTGAGCCCTGAGGCACACAGAGTAGACAGAGAAGGAACAGCCTATGAAATAGGAAAAACCCAGGAGAATAGGAAGAAGCTGTGGAAATCAACAGAAAAGGTGTTTCCATAAGAAGGTCATAACCCAATGCTGATAGAGTTGGAGTAAAAGGAGGACCAAGATGTGACCACTGGAATTGGCAACCTGCACCTGGAAACATTTTGGTGAATTAGTGGCCAGAGCTGGATTTACCATAAGGCTAATGAAGCTTAATTTCAAGGCCCCTCACTTACACAGGAGCATCAAAATTTCCAGAAAGGGCACTAGCAAGATATTCACATGTTCATATGTTTTTGTAAAATTTACAAAGGTAAAACTAAGACTTCTATTAAATTTGTCTTTTCACTTTGACTTCCCTTCTGTTAAAAGGCACTGGTGTTGCCAAGGACAATTTTGGAATCTGGCTAAGGGCAAGTTGAGTTGGGGATACATTTATTTTGTGTTTAACAGGGTATATTATATGACTCATGGTCACTTTCATATAGAATAGTTATTATCAGTTGTTCTGGAATATGAGATCTTTGGTTTTCACATCTGTGGAGTTTTCCATGATTTATAGTAAGGGAGTCGGGAGCTTGGAAAATAGACCAAATGCCACTGAGCATCACCAAAGAACCTGTATCTCAAGAGTTTCTCCTGGTGCCTGCCTTACATTCTAATCTTGTGTGGACATGAGAGAGAATGGGAGGTTCATCAGAAATTGTATTTTAATCAGCTAGGGCACAGGTCTTAAAAGTTATACCTATTGTTATTTTTGTTGGTATCTGGTTTTAGTAGAAGAGCCTATTCAATTAAAATCTTACAGGGACACTCATTATTTGCCAGAGACAAAAGCAGTTTTAAAGTCGATTGGGCCTCATGCATCCTGGTTTCCCCAGTAGCCCAACCAGCCTCTAAGGACTGTACTTTGACAACTGCTGGTGTGGGCATTTGGATTTCTCTGACTCGTGTCACAATTACATACACTATTAGAGCAAAAGGAGAATTGTTTGGACTCCAAATTTCAGATGGGCAGACTAAACCTAAGTTAAGTTTGGCCTTGCCTACCTACCTTCATGGTCTACACAAATACATCACAGAAAAATAGACGAATTTTAGAATATCCAAAGCAAACAAAGAAAATGTGTGCTTAACCGAGAATATTTCTGTGCCAAAGGAAAGCTGGTAGCTGAATGATCAAGAAAATAACTAAACTTGTAAGAACTAAGCTGATAGTTATCCCCCTACGCGCTCAATTTTCCCACCCACCCAAAACTTACCTGATATAAATTGACAGATATTGATCGGACATCCAGCTTTCCAGGGCCCTTCCCTGGAAATGCTGATTTGGCCTGCCTGCAATGAGGCCCAATAATTTGTATTTTAATAACCAAGCAGTTCTTCTCATCAAGGAAATTGTAAAGTAGTAGATTTGAATGTTGCTACTCAAAATGTAATAAGGGAATCAGCAACAGCACAGCATTACCAAGGAGCTTGTTGGAAATGCAGACTATTAGAATCTACCCTAAACCTCCTGAATCAGAACTTGCATTTTCTGAGGTTGCATAGTGCTGAGAATATTGGAAGGAAAAATAAGCTAATCCAAATCATAACTTGAAGATTTCAATGCTCCCCTCTCAGTAATTCACAGAATAAGTAGATAAAAACTCAGCAAGGATATAAGGATGTGAACACCATCAACTAACCTGACCTAGTTGAAATTTGTAGTACACTTCACCCAGCAACATTCTTTTTAAATGAACATGAAACATTCATCAAGATAAATCATATTCAGCATGATAAAACAAGTCTCAGTATACATAAGAGTAAAGTCATATAGAGTCTATTCTCTTATCACAACAGAAATAAACTAGAAACAATAAAAGAAAGATACTGGAAAATCTTCAAGTAGTTGGTAATTAAGGAAATCACTTCTAAGTAGCACATGGGTAAAAAGAAATTACAAGGAAAATTAGAAAACATTTTTAACTGAGTGAAAATCAAACTCAACATGTTAAAATGTGTGGGATGTAGCTAAAGCAGTGCTTAGAGAAATTTATAGCGTTAAGTGCTTGCATTAGAAAAGAATAGCCTGGGAAAAATGGCACAACCCCATCTCTGCAAAAACTATAAAAATTAGCTGGGCTTGGTGGTGCATCCCTGCAGCCCCAGCTACTCAGGAGGCTTAAGCGGAAGAATGGCTTGAGCCTAGGAGATCGAGGCTGCAATGAGTCATGATCACGCCACTGCACTCTAGCCTCGGCAACAGAGCAAGCCCCTGTCTCAAAAAAAAAAAAAAAAAAAAAAAAAAAGGCATGTTTCCAATACTGAAAAATATTTAAAATATCCTGTACAGTTATTCATTTATTGACTGGGGTTCAAATCCATTCTTCATTGCCTGCTCCATAATAAAAGAGAAAGAACCTGTATCTTCCTTTTGCCAGCTGGCACATTGTTAAGCTTTGTCAGTAGAGCACATGGAAGGAACACAGGAGGAGGGAAAAGCATGGCTTTTCAGATTCTGGTGTGCTCCTCTCAGTAGGCTTCTGAAGCACGCAGCTTCCACCACTCTTGGCTCGTACAGCATGTGGCAGCAGGCAACTGGCAGCACACAGTCTATAGCAGTTCCCTGTAGGCAGCTTTCTCTGACACCCACTTTGGCCCTAAGGCATAATACCTCCCTCTGAACAGCTCCCTTAGCATTTCTTTTTTTTCTTTTTTTTTTAATCTTCTCTTTTTTTTTTTGAGATGGAGCCTCGCTCTGTCACTTAGGCTGGAGTGAAGTGGCACAATTTCAGCTCACTGCAACCTCCACCTCCCGGGTTCAAGCAACTCTCCTGCCTCGGCCTCCTGAGTAGCTGGAATCACAGGCGCCTGCCAACATGCTCAGCTAATTTTTGTACTTTCAGTTCTTTTTTTTTTTTTTTTTTTTTTGAGACAGAGTCTTGCTCTGTCGCCCAGGCTGGAGCGTAGTGGCACGATCTCAGCTCACTGCAACTTCTGCCCCACAGGTTTGAGCGATTCTCCTGCCTCAGACTCCTGAATAGCTGTGATTACAGGCGCACGCCACCATGCCTGGCTAATTTTTGTATTTTTTTAGTAGAGACGGGGTTTCACCATGTTGGTCAGGCTGGTCTCGAACTCCTGACCTCATGATCCACCTGTCTTGGCCTCCCAAAGTGCTGGGATTACAGGCATGAGCCACTGTGCCCGGCCTAATTTTTGTACTTTTAGTAGAGACAAGGTTTTGCCATTTTGGCCAGGCTAGTCTTGAACTCCTGACCTCAAGTGGTCCACCCACCTTGGCCTCAGAAAGTGCTGGGATTACAGGCATGAGACACAGCACCCAGCCTCCCTTAGCATTTCTAAGGAGTGTCACCATCCTGGCATCTTAGCACCATGGCCACACCCATACCCTCTCCATTGAGGTCTGGATCTCAGCCAGGAGACCTGACAGGCGGTAGAGGTGGTGGGGTTTGGGGATGTTTTTTTGAAATTTGCACCTTTGTTGGTGCTCTCTGTCAGTGCCAGGGACAGTGGCTATTCCCTGTAACTGCTATTTCTGTATTCTTTAACATTCTCTTTACTTCTTACCAGCCAATTCCCTGTTATTCGAATCCTTGGTCATAGTTAATACTTTAGCTTTTCCTTTTCAAATTACTGTGTGGTTTTTGTCTCCTGGTTGGCCCCTGACCAACACAGGTTGTGAGATGAAGAAGCCATTTTAACTTTCTCTCCCTGACAACAAAACCCAAATAAGCCATTTGCCTGATACCTAAGACAAACTCACATGTTGGCCAAATTTAAAAAACTGAATTCAATATCCTGACGTTGTATACAGAATTTAATACTAGCAATACTTAATACAAGTTATATAAAAAGTATAACAAGCTTATCTTTCATGAAAGACAACTGGCTGTAAATCCTATTGGCAAGATTCAAACAGTAAAATTATTAACCACTTACCACAAATGTGAAAGAAAATCTTCATGAACCAAAACTCTTCACCAAAATGAGCTGCTACTTCTAAAAGTGTCATCACCTCTACCTTATACTTACATAAGATCACAGTCCCTGGAAGTTTTCCAACTGGTACTCAAACGGGCAAGAGTTATTGTTAGCTGCAGATTGCCTAACACTGTCTAATATGTTAATTCTTTTGAGCATCCACAAATAAGTCAAATCAGATGAATAATTTGAGACTTTTGCATAACCATATTCAGCTGTGCTTTGTGGGGGTGCTCCTGGTTGGGCTACATTTCAGCACTAGGGGGCAATATCCTCACTTAGAATCTACTCTCCACTTGCACATGCCTAACACATTTTTGTTGTTGCTTTTTTCCTCCTAACTAGGGGATTTCTCAGTTAAAGAATCCAAAGAGGACATAAAATAAAATGCCATCCGAAATTCACTTGGGGGCTGTGGAAAACTTGCTCTCCAGTTATTTTTGAAAACTCTCAACAGTAGTTGCTGAATTCTGATTTTTACCTGGGCAGTTACAGCTTGTCATTTTCCATGTGAATGATTCTGTAAGCAGAGCCCAAAACTCTCATAGCCTCTGTTGTCATTGCCTATCAACCAGCCATCAAATCAAAACTATTTTTTTTCAAGAGTTAATTTCACCCAGATGCTGAATTTAAAAAGGGAGAGGTAATTTCCTTGACATTTCTAGACTTGATTAGACATAGACTAATTCAGTGGTAGGGAATGAGGGAGGATGGAAAATTTGTTAATTAAGTTTCATTAGGGAAAAGCATGAAAACAGTCTTTCTACTACCCAAATGCTTGGGAAATACTGTATATTTTTCCAGAGTTAAAGGCTCTCTCTCATATCTAAAATTGCATATATACAGGTTACCTAACAAACCACTCAACAAAGTCAGATTGCTCTTTGGGAAAACTGTCTTGGGAGAGTAACTATGAGGTTTATGGAAAGTCATAGTTTATGATAGAGGGATTTGTCCACTTCTCAAAATTAACATTTTTTGAGCATTTGTTTTTCTTTTTCTAAAAACTTTTATTATAGGTTCAGGGGTACACGTGCAGGTTTGTTATATAGATAAATTGTGTGTCATGGAGATTTGGTGCACAGATTATTTAGTCACTCAGGTAGTAGGCACAGGACCCAGTGGTAGTTTTTTTATCCTCTATCCTCCCACCCTCCACCCTCAAGTAGGCCCTGGTGCCTGTTGTCCCTTCTTAGTGTCCATGTGTACTCAATGTTTAGCTCCCACTTATAAGTGAGAACATGTAGTATTTGGTTTTCCGTTCCTAAATTCACTTACAATAATCGCATCCAGCTCCATCCATGTTGCTGCAAAGGACATGATCTTACTGTTTTCTATGGCTGTGCAGTATTCCATGGCATATATGTATCACAATTTCTTTATCCAGTCTACCATTGATGGGCATTCAGGTTGATTCCATGTCTTTGCTATTGTGAATAGTGCTGTGATGAACATAGGTGTGTGTGTGTCTTTACGGTAGAACGATTTGTATTCCTTTGGGTATATACCCAGTGATGGAACTGCTAATGGTAATTCCATTAGCAGTAAATGGTAGTTCCAAGTACTTTGAAGAATAGCCCACACTGCTTTCCATAATGGTTGAACCATTCCCACCAGCAGTTTGTAAGTGATCCCTTTTCTCTGTAACTTTACTAGCATCTGTTATTTTTTTTTTACTTTTTAATAATAGCCGTTATTAAAAATGGCTGGTATGAAATGGTATCTCATTGTGGTTTCAATTTGCGTTTCCCTAATGATTAGTCATGTTGAGCATTTTTTCATATGCTTATTGGCCACGTGTATCTTTTGTTCATGTCCTTTGTCCACTTTTTAATGGTTTTTTTTCTTAATTTGTTTAAGTTCCACATAGATTCTGGATATTAGACCTTTGTCAGATGCATATTTCACAAATGCTTTCTCCCATTCTGTAGGTAGTCTGTTTATTTACTCTGTTAATAGTTTCTTTTGCTGTGCAGAAACTCTTTAGTTTAATTAGGTCCATTTGTCAATCTTTGGTTTTGTTGCAATTGCTTCTGTCATCTTTGTCATGAATTCTTTGCCAGGGCCATTGTCCGGAATGGTATTTCCCAGGTTATCATCCAGCGTTTTTATAGTTTTTGGTTTTATATTTAAGTATTTAATCCATCTTTAGTGGATTTTTGTATATAGTGTAAGGAGGGGGTCCAGCTTCAATCTTCTGCACATGGCTAGCCAGTTATCCCAGCACCATTTATAGAATAGGGAGTCTTTTTCTCATTACTTGTTTTGTCAACTTTGTTGAAGATTAGTTGGTAGTAGGGATGCAGCTTTATTTCTGGGCTCTCTATTTGTTCCATTGGTTTATGTGTCTGTTTTTGCATCAATACCAGAGCACTTATTTTTCTGCTAAACGTATTACTCATTTTACCTTCACAGCAACGTAAATTCCGTGAAGCAATAACTTGCTCAAGGTCATTTCAGTTGAATGGATAAGTGAGTAGAACAGAGTCTGACACCAAAACTCACATGTTAATCTCTATATTATGCTGTCATCCAGAAGTCTTAAGAGACAGAGAATGCTAGAGCACAGGGACTTCCGAAAGCAGGGTCTAGTGAAATTTCATCTTCAAATGAACTCTCACACAGAATCTCAAATTTAAAAAAAAACTTAAAAGGTAATGTTCTTAGCTGGAGCGGGTGAGAGAGGAGACCTCTGGCCTCACCCATTCAGCAGCAGCCACACCCCACCCCGCTTCCCAGTCATTTTGTTTTGCTACCCTGAAGCATCCTTGGGCTTCCTGCCAGCAAGTTACATAAACTGTAGTTCCAGCTCAACTCCTGTTTTGAAGATGAGTAAACTGTTCTTTCCAGTCAAGTTGTATTTAAAAACACAACAGAATCAACAGAAAATGATTCCTCAGGCTGGTACAAAAAGTTAAACTTCTCCAACAGGAAAAATTGAGGCTCTGTATATTTTAAGCTCATCTGCTTCCTAGTATATAGCTCATCTTTTGAGTGGATAGGAATTTGGATCCATATCATGGCAATTACATTAAACATTTACTATATGCCTAATGTCAAGGCTGCTACATGGTTCTGCAATTTACCACAGCAGTACTCAGCTCAGCAGAATGAGACAGGGACCCAAAACCCACTTATTGCCTCTGCCTGGAAGGTGTACCTTTTTAAATTGACAGTGGCTTTGTCTGTTTTCCAAGCTGTGTACCTTCAAGCCCAGCAGTGTCTTGCAGGAGGAGGTGCCTCTCTAATTCACACAAAAGCACTACAGGTGCAGACTGAGGCCCTGGTGGTAAAAATGCCTTTCATGCGTTATCTGATTTTAGTCCTCATTTAATCACTACAGTCCTATGAGGTGGCTCATCTGAGCCCTATTTCACAGTTGGGGAAACTGCCTAATTCTAGGTTTCCCATGTTATATAGTAGTAAAGGGAAAAAAGGGAGAAACTGAACCCAGGTGTCTTTATTGCCTAAGCCACTACCAGGATGTCCTGGTACAATGAACAGCCCCGTGGTTACCAATGTCACATGTGCACATATAGTCCCAGTGAGAACGGTTGCCATATTATCTTTCCAAAGTCCCATAGGCACCTTCCTCTCACTTATGCTCCAGAATAAGCATATAAAAATAAAATCAAGTGGCCAGGCACAGTGGCTCATGCCTGTAATCACAGTACTTTGTGAGGCCGAGGCAGGCACATCACAAGGTCAGGAGTTCAAGACCAGCCTGGCCAACATGGTGAAACCCCATCTCTACTAAAAATACAAAAATTAGCCCGGCATGGTGGCAGGCACCTGTATCCCAGGTACTTGGGAGGCTGAAGCAGGAGAATCGCTTCAACCCGGGAGGCAGAGGTTGCAGTGAGCTGAGATCGTGCCATTGCACTCCAGCCTGGGTGACAGAGCAAGACTCCATCTCAGAAAAAAATAAAATAAAATAAAATAAAATAAAATAAAATAAAATAAAAGTCTATTGCATTAGCTATTTTTTATGAAATATTACAAATATGAAAACACACAAAAACAAATACATACTTTAAGGAATAAATTACAGTGAACACTCGTATAATCATCACCCAGATTAAGAAATTACCAGCATCTCAGAAGATACTCCCCAGTTAGTTGCTTCCCAGACACAGCTTTCTTTCTCATCCCTAGAAATAACAATATTTTGACTTTTCTTTTCTTTTCTTTTTTTTTTTTTTTTTTGAGATGGAGTTTTGTTCTTGTTGCCCAGGCTGGAGTGCAATGGCGCCATCTCAGCTCACCGCAACCTTTGCCTCTCGGGTTCAAGCGATTCTCCTGCCTCAGCCTCCTGAGTAGCTGGGACTACAGGCATGCGCCACCGTGCCCAGTCACACTATTTTGACTTTTATGGTAATGGGGCTTTTCAAATATTTTTTGTACCTACAAATACATTTCTAAATAATATAGTATGAAATTCCCCACGACATATACATTTGAGTACAATTGTTGGGTCACTGGGTGTATCAGTCAGGGTTCTCTACAGGGACAAAACTAATAGGATAGATATATAGATATAAAGGGGAGTTTATTACATAGTATTAACTAACAGGATCACAAGGTCCAACAATAGGCCATCTGCAAGCTGAGGAGCAAAGAAGCCAGTTCGAGTCCCAAAACTGAAGAACTTGGAGTCCAATGTTCAAGGGCAGGAAGCATCCAGCACGGGAGAAAGATGTAGGCTGGGAGGCTAGGCCAGTCTTGCCTTTTCACATTTTTCTGCCTACCTTATTAGATTTGCTGGCAGTTGATTAGATGGTGTCCACCCAGATTATTAAGGGTTGTTCTGTCTTTCCCAGCCCACTGACTCAAATGTTAATCTCCTTTAACAACACTCTCAAAGACATACCCAGGATCAATACTTTGCATCCTTCAATCAAGTTGACATTTAGTATTAACCATCACACTGGGTATGCAAATCTTGAAATTTACAAGGTAATAAACTATTTTCCAAAAATGGCTGTATCAATCTATACTCCTACCACCAATGTATGAGTTCCTATTGATCCAAATTCTTCCAAATACTTGGCATTGTCCGACTTTAAAATTTTTGCCACTCTGGTGTGTTGCTATCTCAATGTGATCTTATTTTGCATATCTCTGAATGTTTATTGGTCTTTTGAATTTCCTCTTTTGTGATATACTCAAGTCTTTTGTTCTTTATTGTATGAGTTGTCTTACTATGTTTACAGCTTTGATACATGGTAGACAAAATATGTTTACCAGCCAAAAGAAATGCTCTACCTCTTCAGTGTGACTTTTTCCCTACAAATCAATTTAATGTATATTTTTGTGCTGCAATTTTTCCACTAGGCTCAGGTTTCTCCACTGAGTTGGATGGAGTGAGGTGAAGTCACTCTAAACTTGATAATATCATTTTGAAAAAATATTCAGCTATTTTATTTGAAAACAAAATCCTTCTCAAGATTTCAAAGAGTAGTAAATGCTGAGATTTCCACTTCCTCACTTAGTAACTGGAAAGGCATGGTTGCTTGGACCCTCACCACTCTAGACACAAACTACTACTAGGAAGAATCATCTACACTGAAGGAATAAGGATTTGGAGTGACCTCCTAGCATTCTACTCATGGAGCAAGAAATGTCTTTCGAGATAGTGTATTCCTACTTATGACTTTAGAGACATTTGAAACTTACCTGGTAATATGAGCTTTGATCAGAAAGCCATGGTATGTTCCAAGATGATTTACACATGTAAACTCTGTGTACTCTTTTAGTCTGTTAAATGCAGTGGCATTTACATGAGTGAACTAGTATTGGTTTTCAAGCCAAAGTAACTCATTTTGGGATTCTTAAGAGACTTCTGGAGGAAAACAGATTACTAGAAAATTTTAAGAGAAAAATTTAAGCTGCCTAAGTCTTCTTTTTTTTTTTTTTTTTTTTTTTTGAGATGGAGTTTCACTCTTGTCGCCTGAGCTGGAGTGCAATGGCGCCATCTCGGATCACTGCAACCTCCGCCTCCTGGGTTCAAGTGATTCTCCTGCCTCAGCCTCCCAAGTAGCTGGGATTACTGGTGTGTGCCACCATGTTTGGCTAATTTTTTGTATTTTTAGTAGAAACAGGGTTTCACCATGATAGCCAGGCTGGTCTCAAACTCCTGACCTCAGGTGATCTGCCCACCTCATCCTCCCAAAGTGCTGGGATTACAAGCATGAGCCATCATGCCCCACTGTTAAACTGCCTAAGTCTTAATGAGAGTCATCATTTAAAAAAATCTGTTAACACTTTATCATTGTTTTAGTCTTCCACCTGTCCATGCAAATATCCCTACAGAGCTCAAGTAAAGATTCCAAATATAGATGTTAGAGAATGAGGTTGTCAGGAGCCCCTGAGTTAAAAGATAGAGGGCTATTGTGGGTTGAATAATGGATCCCCACAAAAGATATGATGAGGTCCTAACCCCTAGTACCAGAGAATGTGACCTTATTTAGAAATAGGACCTTTACCAAGGTAAACAAGTTAAATGAGTTCATTTGAGTGGGCCCTAATCCACTGACTGGTGTCCTTATAAAAAAAAAAAATGGAGGGGGGCGGAATATGGACACTGATATAGATGTACACAGGGGGAAGATGATGTAGAGACACAGAGAAAAGAGGGCCATGTGACTGGAGTGATGCTGCCACAAGCTAAAGAACACCTGGGACTACCAGAAGCTAGAAGAAGCAAAAAAGAATCCTTTCCCTACAGATTTCAGAGAGAATATGGCTTTGCTGACAGCCTGATTTAAATAAATTTCTGTCATTTTAAGCCACCCAATTTGTGGTACTTTATTACAGTAGCCCTAGGAAATGAATACAGAGGCTTTTAGACTTTTGAAAATCTAAGGAGGGAAGTAAACGGATGGTTGGCTTGAGGGCAGGGGGAGGAGAAAGAGGAATATGTAATACATTTCTTCTATTTCCTTCCCTGCTAACCCCAACTGAAGGATTGTCTTAAGCCTGGACACAAGCAGCAATGACTCAGGACCCAGATAGTCAAATATGACAATAGCTGGAGAGAGGACCATCTGCACTCTGCTAAAAGCTACAGTGCAGAGTAGCTGAGCCCAGCAAGGAACGCAGCATTTTTCTGGTGTCACTGACAACAAAGGTGGTCAGGGGTGATTGTGCAAGGACACAAGCATATCCAGTCCTGAGGATATGTCTGATAATTCTGGGAACTCCCAGTCTGTGGTTAAGAGTCATTATAATTTAGTCATTAATATTGACGTGACGATAGTTGTACCATAGGCTAATCAGACCTGGCATTTGCTGAGCAATTATTATATGCCAGAAACCATGCCAAGCAAGCTACCAAGAGCATGCACCTCAAAAAGCAGCTCCAAGGTAATTGTCAATAGAAGCAACACAACAATCTAAGGGCAACTTTTTAATCATCTAATCCAATATATTGGTGTAGTTCAAAAAATAAAATTGTTAAATTACTAGAAAAATGTATTTTTTTGTCGTTGCTTTGGGTATAATCCATATTAACAGAACACTTACCACCAGAGAACAAAAAAACAAAAAACAGGGAAACACTCTTCAAATCTAACAAGGTCAAAGGAAATGTTCATATTATTGGTAGGCACCAACAAGTAAATTCCGTCCTGTGAGAGAATTATAAAGAAACTCAAGGGCTTCTAGAGGAATCGCAGCCTTGTGAAGTTTATTCTCAGTTTGAAAAGGCAGGAAGGGGGCTGGGTGCAATGGCTCACGCCTGTAATCCTACCACTTTGGGAGGCAGAGGTGGGTGGATTGCCTGAGCTCAGGAGTTCGAGACCAGCCTGGGCAACATGGTGAAATCCCATCTCTAGTAAAATACAAAAAAATTAGCTGGGTGTGGTGGTACACTCTTGTAGTCCCAGCTACCAGGGAGGCTGAGGCACGAGAATTGCTTGAACCCGGGAGGTGGAGGTTGCAGTGAGCCAAGATCGTACCACTGCATTCCAGCCTGGGACAGGAAAGAAAAAAAGAAAAGAAAAGGTGGGAGGGAATTAACATTCACTGAGTACTTTTATGCCAGGCATACATTATTTAATCTAATCTGCAGAAATCCCACAAGAAAGGTATTTTTCCCATTTTACAAATGAGGAAACAAAGGCTCTGAGGGGTTATGAAGCTGCCAAGGTTATTCCTTAATAAATATAGTGGAGCTGCAATTTGAGTTCAAGTCTAGCTTGCGTCAAAGTTCTCCATGTTGCACCACAATCCCTAGAGAGTGTATTCAAAAAGAGTGCCAAATGCAAAGCTGGCAAAATCTAGGGGAGCAATTAAGCCAGAATTTAAATGACACTGATGAGGTGGGGGAGAGGAGATAATCTACCATAGAAGCTGTTATTCTTTAGACTTTCAGAAGTGGTATGGCAAATTGCTGGCACAATTTTCTGATGTACTTTGATGAGCGACTGAGGATACCAAAATGACCCTCTATCAAAACTATCTTTTCAACCCACTATTCTAACTCTTAGAAGATTTTTAATAGCTCTTCTTTTAACAACAAATTGCCTGAAAATTAAAACCACCATTCGATACGACCTTACTCCTGCAAGAATGGCATTAAAAAGTCAAAAAACAATAGACGTTGGCATGAATGTGGTGAAAGGGAAACACACTGCTACGGAGAATGTAAATTAGTACGAACTCTATGAAAAACCGTATACAGATTCCTTAAAGAACTAAAAGTAGACCTACCATTCGATCCAGCAACTTCACTGCTGGGTATCAACCCAAAGCAAAATAAGTCATTATATGAAAATTACACATGTACACTTATGTGTATTGCAGCCCAATTCACAATTGCAAAGATATGGAACCAACCTAAATACCAATCAACCAATAAGTAGATAAAGAAAATGTGTGTTATATACAATATACACACACATACAATATACACACAATGGAACGTTACTCATCCATAAAAAGGAATGAAATAATATCTTTTAAAGCAGTTTGGATGGAGCTGGAGGCCATTGTTCTAAGTGAAATAGCTCAGAAATGGAAAACCATATAGCATATATTTTCACAAGTGGCAGCTAAGCTATGAATATGCAATGGTATACAGTGATACAATGGACTTTGGAGATTCAGAAGGAGAAGAGTGGGAAGTAGGGTGTGAAATAAAAAACTACATATTGGGAACAACATATACAACTCAAGTGACATGTACACTAAAATCTTAGAATGTACCACTATGTAAGTCATCCATGTAACCAAAAACCACTTGTACCCCAAAAGCTATTGAAATAAAATTTTCTTTTAAATGAATTGCCTGGCTGAGGGGAAAGGTCAAGAGCCCTCGGAAATAAGTTTCATTTTAAGGCACCATTGAGACATCCAAGTGTCCATGCAAAGTTGGTGGTTACATAAATGGCCTTGGGGCTCAGAGGAGAGGTCGAGGCTGGAAACATTAAATTGTAGAGCAATTGGCAAATAGGTGAAGGCAAGTGCAAAGATAAGAGCATCCAAGGGACTGGGATCATCCAAGAGTGAGGGGTCCACAATGTTGGTGGTGTTAGTTAATATACTGGAATTATGAAATCCTAAAACTCCAAAAACAAACACAGATGGTGTGAAATGACTAAAACTCTCTCACAGAATGTCAAGATGAGAAAAATGCAAAGATCCAGATTCTCTAATCTTCCTCTAAAGACTTAACTCATCTGTCATCTGTTTATAAGAGATCTGATCTTTAAATATCAGATTTCCTCATATTTGAAATCTAATCTCTTAGTAAAGGAGATGAGGGTAGCCAGCCTAATTTCAGTTAATACGTTAACAGCACATGTAGGAACCTAATCCTTCAGTCTGAGTTACCCTGTCATACTGCATCCATCTTTTCTATTAATGCTACTTTAGATTCCTCAGATGTCTAGATCCAAGTTAACAACCATCCAAATGTCAAAGGTCATCTAATGACCTTACTCACAGGGATTCTAGATTGCAAATACTTAAAAATATCTTTAGTAAAATTGTCATTTGGGGGAAAAGGGCCAAGTAATAGATTATCATAATGTAAGAATGGTAAAAAGTCATACATTGAGTCTAAATGAGTGAATTTAATTTCTAGATTAATTTAGGAACTAACATAATTCATTTACATAATTAAACTTTATTTCACTTAGCTCCATTAACAAAATAGTTTGGACAATGTTCAATGTGATTACTTCTTTGAAATCAATGCTTCTTACATTTCTATTGACCCTAAATCAATAGAAATGGAATGAAGTGGAATGCTGGGATATGGAAATAAGAAGGTCAGTATAGACTGAAAACCTTTGTAGTTTCATAAACAACCTTTTAAAGCATTACATAATTTTAGTTCTCAAACTACACAAATTGTGGACAGGCTCAAACCTGCCTTGAAGGCTTTTATGCCTACTTAATTCTCTCTTTCTTACCTGGATTCTGGAAGTAAAATAAATAATAATTCTGGAGAGAGATTATTGTGGCTCTTGGTTAAACTAAAACCGACAAAGCAGGCCAGGCATGGTGGCTCACACCTTTAATCCCAGCACTTTGGGAGGCCAAGGCATGCAGATCACTTGACCTCAAGAGTTCCAGACCAGCCTGGGCAGCGTGGCGAAACCCCATCTCTACAAAAAATACAAAAATACTAGCTGAGCATGTGGTGCATGCTTATAGTCCCAGCTATTTGGAGGACTAGGGTGGTAGGATCCCTTAAGCCCAGGAGGTCAAGGCTGCAGTGAACTGAGATCATGCCACTGCACTCCAGCCTGGGTGACGAAGTGAGATCTTGTTTCCAAAAAAAAAAAAAAAAAAAAAAAAAAACTGATAAAGCAAAATATCTTTGGGGAACTTAGGAAAATTATCTCAAACAGACTTCAAGTTAGACTACTCACACAATAAAATCCATTCTTAATTAATTTCTATGTTAGTGCAAAGGAAAACAGTGAAGAGTGTAATAAACTAAGCTGATAATTATGACAGATTTGGGGACACCGTCACCAAAGTGCTGCACATCTCTACTAATGGTGGACAAGGTGCTACTGAGAACAATTCTACACCTTGTAGATAACGGGGTTTTTCCTAGCTAGAATCCAGTAACTCCACCCATTTTAGAATGAATCATCTAAATCTGAAAATGGCCCATGAAGATGACTTCTGATCACCAGGCTCCCTGTCAATTCATCTGCATTACCACTTTACAAGTTTCCTTTGAAAATGCTTAAGTCTACTAAAGCTACTGAAAAGATGGAGAATTTCTCATTTTCCCAGTTAGCTATGGAGTAGTCCCCATTATCTGTGGCTTCACTTTCCACAACTGAAGTTACTCATGGTCTGCAGTCTGGAAATAAGTGGAAAAATCCAGAAATAAAAAATTCATACGTTTTAAATTGCTTGCCATTCTAAGTAGCGAGATGAAATCTTCTGTCATTCCTCTTTGTCCCACCCAGGACTGAATCATCCCTTTGTCCAGCATTTCCACTCTGTAGACACTACACACCCTTGGTCACTTAGGAGCCATCTCTGTAATCAGATCAACTGTTGAGGTATTACAGTGCTTATATTCAAGTAACCCTTATTTTACATAATAATGGCTCCAAAGAGCAAGATTAGTGATGCCGGCAATTCAGATATACCAAAGAAAAGTTGTAAAGTGCTTCCCTTAAGTAAAAAGGTGACAGCTCTCGATTTTATCAGGAACGAAAAAAATTGTATGCTGAGGTTGCTAAGATCTACAGTAAGAACAAATCTATGACGCTGTGAAGAAGGAAAAAGAAAATCGTGCTAGTTTTGCTGTTGCAATTCAAACTGCAGAAGTTACAGCCACAGTGAGTAATAAGTGCTTAGTTAACATGAAAAAGGCAGTAAGGTTGTGGAAGATGTGAACAGAAATGTTTTCCAACTGATGGCAGTGCTATGCGTAGTTTCAGGCAAACACTGGGGGTCTCGGACCGTATCGTCCTGAGGATAAGGGGGAACTACTGCACATCTCTTCAAACTCTATGTGAGTTTGAAACTCAGGCTTTCAGAGACAGAGCAAGTAACAAAGGCATGACGTGAGCCTGATGCTGAAGAGGGCATGTCCTGCTGGAAAGTAGAAAGGCATTCAAATTCATGGTTTTGTTTTTTTTTTTTTTTTTAACAAGGTAAGTATTTTTCCCATTTACAGCTGAGGAAACAAAACATATACAGGTATATTCCTCCTAGAGTAGCCACTTTGAAACTCCTATACCAAGGACATTCTTTAAAGTATTATTTATAAGAACAAATTCTAAAAAACCTAATTATCCAACAATGAAATCCCATGCAGTCATTTAAATCTTTTCTTCTAAGAGTTAATGGTAGAAACAATTTTTCCAATTATTATTACTGTTATATTTAGCAAACATTCCTCAATATTTAAATGGTTTTAATAGGAAGGTTGGATAATTGTTCAAAGTTTAGATTTTGGGATAAATTTCGGATTCAAATCCCACTTATTACCTTTGAGACCCTAGACAGGTTATTAACCCCTTTGATCCTCAGTCTCCTCACCTGTAAAATGGGTAAAATGATACACTTAAGATATGAGAATTAAAATAAGATCTACAAAAAGCAATTTGCATAGTTCCTGGAATACAGCACTCAACAAATAGTAAACTTTTGAAATAATAAATCCTAAACTGGGCACAATGGCACAGGCCTATAATCCCAGCTACAGACTGAGGGAGGAGGATCGCTTAAGCCCAGAAGTTTGAGATTGAAGGACGCCATGATAGCACTTGTGAATAGCCATTGCACTCCAGCTTGGGCAAAGAGTTTTTTTAAGACCCTGCCTTTAAAAAACAACAACAACCAAAAAAAAAAAAAAACAAAAACCCTAACAAATCTTTCAGCTAATTGTGGATGTATTCTGCAATTGACTCATTCTCGTATCATCAAAGACAAAGGGTCAGAATCACTTAAATTCTATTCAGACACATTCTGGAAGATCCATGCCGAGATTGCTTGGTTTGTTTTACACAGTTGAGGTGATTTATAATCCCTGCACTTAATTTGAGAAGTCCAGACTCTCTCCTTTATGCTGTATGACATAGTATCTTAGAGTCAACTAAATGTTTGCCCAAAAATCCAAGCCGATTCAAAGCTTAAGAAACAACTTTGGCCTTACCTATAAATATCACGAGGGCTACCTCAGATGACAGTTTTCATTTCAGTTGATCCACTTAATTTTCCGAGTAGGCCAGGCGCGGTGGCTCACGCCTGTAATCCCAGCACTTTGGGAGGCTGAGGCAGGCAGATAACCTGAGGTCGGGGGTGCAAGACCAGCCTGACCAACATGGAGAAACCCGACTCTATTAAAAATACAAAAATTAGCTGGGCGTGGTGGTACATGGCTATAATCCCAGTTACTCAGGAGGCTGATGCAGGAGAATCGCTTGAACCCAGGAGGCGGAGGTTGCGGTGAGCCGAGATCTCACCATTGCACTCCAGCCTGTGCAACGAGAGCGAAACTCCGTCTCCAAAAAAATTTTTTTTCCTGGTAAACTAAAGTGTATGTTCCTATACCTCCTATTCTGGCTCCCCCTTCACACATGCGCAGAGCAACATTTCTGGTTTATAAAGCCCAGCTTCACCTGGATGGAGCTTGTTAGAAATGCAGACTCTCGAGCCTGCCTCAGGCCAACTGAATCATATTTACATTTTTAACAAGAACCCCAGATGATCTCTATGCATGTTAATGTTTGAAAAGCACTGCTCTGTAGTACATGCTGCTTTTTAACTAACAAGACTATCAGCAGTTTCTAGGAGCCACTAGAGAAATCTGTCATGAGCTAAGTTTACTTTAGATACTAATACTTGACACAGATTCTATAAATCCTTTTCTTTTGCATTTTATGAGCTCTTGTTCATTGTTATGTATTATTAAAAACACACCTGGATCATAGTATCTTGATCTCTCAGAAAACAGGATTTAATTTTTACTTGATGGATTAAATTTTACCTCAAATTAATTATTCCTATCACTCCATTTTGGTTTTGGTCATGAAAAACTAATAATAGCCGTTGAATATAAAGATGATTTCCCTAGCCCAACTTTCTATTCAAATATATAATCATTTGTAAAAAGCTATCTTATGGGGGTTACATCTCATTTTCAGAAATGCTATTTATTTTTGAAACAGGGTCTTTCTATGTTGCCTAGGCTGGTCTCAAATTCCTGGGCTCAAGGAATCCTCCCACCTTAGCCTCCTGAGTAGCAAGGATTACAGGCAGGTACTACTGCACCCAGCTCCAGAAATGCTATTTGAAAACAGAATATTTATGTGAAGCCACTGTATAGTGACTACCTAGTATCCACAACACAATGCTTTGTGCACATTATCTAATTTACCTAAAGTATATAGCACTAGAACTATTTTACAGTTAAGATGGAGCTCAGAGGTTAATAACATGTGTAAGGTCCCACAACTATTAAGAAACAAAGCTCAGATATAAATTCAAAACACTTAGGTATGAATTCATGTCCGACATTCAAACATATCATTTGAATGTTTTCAAGCTGATGGCAGTGCTATTCACAGTTTCAAGCATCCACTGGTGTCTTGGATGCCTAATTACCAGTGTAGTAACCACTACTACTGTTATATTTCCACAATGTGTTCCATGGACTGTTCTGTTAGATTTAAAGCCAAATGGGCACTAAATGCTGTAAGAATTCCTGCAGTCAAAACTAAAAGAAATATCTAATTTGCCTAGCTGAATATCATCCCAAACTTGTTTGCTCATGGAATCCTCTCCCTTTCTTAAAACCTGTATACTACTGAGATCAACCTTTTAGACATATACTGCAATGTACTAACCTTCACAACCTTTTTTTTTTTTTTTTTTGAGACAGAGTCTCCCTCTTTCGCCTAGCCTAGAATGCAGTGGCGTGATCTCAGCTCACTGCAACCTCTGCCTCCCGGGTTCAAGTGATTCTCCTGCCTCAGCCTCCCAAGTAGCTGGTATTACAGGTGCACACCACCACGCCTGGCTAATTTTTGTATTTTTAGTAGAGATGGGGTTTCACCATCTTGGCCAGGCTGGTCTCGAACTCCTGACCTCAAGTGATCCACCCACCTCGGCCTCCCAAAGTGCTGGGATTACATATATGAGCCACTGTGCCTGGCCAACGTCACAACTTTTTAAGAAGTTTTTAGAATTCCCTATCACCCAACGACTTTAAGGCACTTAAGGTGTACTCCAAAAAGGAATTTAAATACTTGCATGTAAAAGCTACAGGCAGAATTGGTAACACAAGAAATTTTACTAGGAAAATAATTTCTGGACTACAAATACTTCCACATAGTACAGATATGCTTTGCTTAAGAAATGCAAGGACAATCTAGGGTATAAATAATCCAAATAACAAAGTGTTATGCAGCACCTTGAAACTCTCAAATTTTATCCAATATTAAATCCCCTGACCAAATATGTTAACCTAAAATAATCAAAAGGGTGAAAATCTAATTTAAAGGTTTATTCAAGCAAAATGTACGAGGATGACTCATCTGGAACCACCAACTCCAAAGGAATGGAGTCAGCGATCTACAGTAGAGAAGTTAAGGTTCATTTATGTAGGCAGAGACAGAGGAGTTTTTAGCAGGATTATCACATTATTTATACAAGTTTGCTGCATAGTTACAGGAATATTTATACAAGGTTGGTGCACAGTTACAGGAATATTTGGTTACAGGCAGTGTTTCTTTTTGGGAAGGGTACACTTAGCATTTTTTACAGAGGGTGTAATAGTCATGAGATTTCTGTCATCTGGTCTGAACAAAGGACAATAAAGGGGATCTATAACAGTCATTAAAAAGGCAGGAAGTTTTTGTCCCTGACATCATCACACCCGACCAATCAGAGAGCTCACTAAAATGCTAATTAGGCAAAAACAGGAGGTAAAGAAATAGCCATCATCTATCACCTGAGAGCACAGCAGGAGGGACAATGATCGGGATATAAACCCAGGCATTCGAGCCAGCAATGGCTACCCTCTTTGGGTCCCATCCCTTTGTATGGGATCTCTGTCTTCACTCTATTAAATCTTGCAACTGCAAATAAAATAAAATAAAATAAAATAAAATAAAGTAAAATTCATATGGAACCAAAAAGAGCCCAAATAGCCAAAGGAATCCTAGGCAAAAATAACAAAGCCAGAGGCATCATTTTACCTGACCTCTTACTATACTATAAATCTTCAGTAACCAAAACAGCATGGTACTGGTACAAAACTAGACACATAGGCCAATGGAACAGAATAGAGAAGCCAGAAATAAAGCCACACACCTACAGCCATCTGATCTTTGACAGAGTTTACAGAAATGATCAATGAGGAAAGGACTCCCTATTCAATAATTGGTGCTGGTATAACTAGCTATATGCAAAGAATGAAACCATTCCCCTTTTACCATATACAAAAATTAATGCAAGATGGATTAAAGATTTAAATGTAAGACCTCAAACAGTAAGAACTATAGAAGAAAACCTAGGAAACACCACTCTGGATACTGGCCTTGGGAAAAAAATTATGACTGTATTCTCCAAAGCAATTGCAACAAAAACAAAAGTGAAAAATGGGACCTAATAAAGAGCTTCTGCACAGCAAGAGAAACTATCAACAGAGTCAACAGAAAACCTACATGTTGGAAGAAAATATCTGCAAACTATGCATCTGATAGAGTTCTAATATCCAGAATCTATAAGAAATGTAATTGAACGAGCAAAAAACAAATAACCTCATTAAAAACATGGGCAAAAGACATGAACAGATACTTCTCAAAAGAAGACATACAAGCAACCAATAAACATATGAAAAAAGGCTCAACATCACTATTCATCAGAGAAATGCAAATCAGAAACCACGATGTGATACCATTTCAAAGCAGTCAGAATGGCTATTAAAAAGTCCAAAAATAACAGATGCTGGCGAGGCTGCGGAGAAAAGGAAACGCTTAAACACTGTTGGTAGGAATGTAAATTAGTTCAGCCACTGAAGAAAATAGTTTGGAGATTTCTCAAAGAACTTAGCTACATTTGACTCAGTAATCTCATTACTGGATATATGGTCAAAAGAAAATAAATGATTCTATTAAAAAGTCACATGCACACACATGTTGACCACAGCACTATTCACAACAGCAAAGACATGGAATCAACATAGATGCCAATCGACAGTGGATTGGATGAAGAAAATATGGTACATATACACCATGGAATACTATGCAACCATAGAAAAGAACAAAATCATTCCCTTTGCAGCAACATGGATGCAGCTGGAAGCCATTATCATAAGTGAAATAACACAAGAACAGAAAACTACTGCACGTTCTCACAAGTGGGAACTAATATTGGGTACTCATGGACATAGAGATAGCAACAACAGACACTGGGGACTAACAAAGAAGAGAGGGTGGGAGGGACAAGGGATGAAAATCTGTTGGGTACTGTGCTGTCTGGGTGACGAGATCATTCATATCACAGACCTCAGCATCACACAACATACTCATGTAACAAACCTTTACATCTACCTCCAAATTGCAAATAAAAGTTGAAGTTACAAAAATAAATAAAAAGAAATAAGCCAACTACTGACTTCAGATAGGTTAAAAAAAGGAATCTAGGGAAAAAGAAGAATTTTATTCTGAAGGATTTTTAAGTTATCCATAGGTATTCAGACTATAGTCTATAATTCACATATGGCATATTTCAACTTATTTGTATTTTGACAATATTGTACAATCTTTCAGGTCAGAGTCTAGCCAGAACTTTAAGGATATTCTTTTCTTTAACTGTAACAATTATTCTTCTCTATTGCGAAGAGAAGACCGCAGATAAGAGGTATAAACTCAAGAGAAGCAGCATCTCCATTAGTCTCACAGATTATCTCAGCATGGAATGGCCAACTGGGAACAGAAATACCAGAAAGCTGAAACAAAAAGCTGCAATAGCTTTCCAAGTCTTCAAAAGTTCCTTTTGAGTTGTTCTAACATCTTGCAACATTATAAATACCCTTATTTAAGCAGTCAGCACAATGTCCATTTTCCAATTTATAACACCCCCTCAGCCACCACCACATATATTCTTCCCCTTCTCTCCCCCAGGAAGATAAATCCTGCTGTCTGCATCCCTAGAGAGCCCTTTTTGGCTGGCTTCCAGTTGGGTTTGGCCAATAAACAGCACCAGTAGAACAGGTGGAGGATGGCATCACATCTCTGGCAATAGCTGCCTTTCATGGAGACCTCAGCTCCTGCCAGGAAATCTTTCCTTAATCTTCTAACTCTGAGATCCAAGAAACACAATATTTTCCTCTTGTCCTTCTTCCCACATTACTGCTACAGAGGCAATAATGGCTCCAGGATGTTGCTAGTCTTAAGTGTCTCACCAGTGCTTGCTGCTTCTTTACCGCTGCCCATATTGTTAGGCAATTCTTTCATGAACTTTTCCTTTGAATCATATCTGGTGAATTCTATTTCCTGCCAGAACCCTGAACAATTCACCAGCCTAAAATCTTTTTCACACATATTATGCACGGCAATTCCCCCCTCCAGCAGTCTGTAGCCCCTTCCCTGTTTTTATCATCTCTCCTTGCTAGAAGGTAAACTCCATGAAAACAGGAACCTAGCAGGGCTGTCTTCTTCACTTTGTGCCCACTACACAGCACTATACTTTATAAACAGCAGCAGTTAAAAACTTTTTGTGAAATGAATGAAATAGTTCCAAATTAAACTTAACAAAACGAAATATCTTCAAGTTTATTTTTAAAGCAAAAGAGTCTCAAGAAAAACTCTAATTTTAGGATATTCCCATAAACAAGCAGATAAAACTCCTTTAAAATGAATGCAAATCTCTCTGGTAGAACATAATTTCTTTCTTAAGAGTATTCTTGCCTGTAATACTGTAGCAACACAATTGATTATATTTCCCTGAGACACACTTCCAGGGCCTAATCAGATTATGGGCTGTGGCAAAAGATTTAACAGGCCCAGATTGTGTTCAGTCCCCAAAAGGAGATAGCTCTGACTCATATGATTTTCAAGAGAGCAACTGTGCACATGACAACTAAGTTATTATCAAGGGTCATAGGAATAGCCTTGAAAGAAAAAACGTTAAGACCCATCAAGCATTAGTAAAGATTCACTGTGATCCACAACCCACCACAACTACCAGAATCACAGATCAAAGAGTATGAATGTGAACAAAGGACCGCTCATCTGGTCAAAACCTGATCTATTATGTATCAGAAAAGAAATATTAAACAATTTAATAGAATAAACCAGAGAGGTTCCAAGATGGCCGAATAGGAACTGCTCCAGTCTGCAGCTCCCAGCGTGAGTGACAAAGAAGACGGGTGATTTCTGCATTTCCAACTGAGGTACCAGGTTCATTTCACAGGGGCTTGTCAGACAGTGCATGCATCCCACAGAGCAGGGCGGGGCATCGCCTCACCCAGAAAGTGCAAGGGGTTGGGGAATTCCCTTTTCTAGCAAAGGGAAGCAGTGACAGACCTTACCTGGAAAAACGGGACACACCCACCCTAATGCTTTTCCAATGGCCTTAGCAAATGGCACACCAGGAGATTATATCCCGTGCCTGGCTCAGAGGGTCCCACACCCACGGAGCCTTGCTCACTGCTAGCACAGCAGTCTGAGTTTGAACCGCGATGTGGCAGTGAGGCTGGGGGATGGGCTTCCACCATTGCTGAGGCTTGAGTAGGTAAACAAAGTGGCCAGGAAGCTCAAACTGGGTGGAGCCCACCACAGCTCAAGGAGGCCTGCCTGCCCCTGTAGACTCCACCTATGGGGGAAGGGCATAGCTGAACAAAAGGCAGCAGAAACTTCTTAAACGTCCCGGTCTGACAGCTTTGAAGAGAGTAGTGGTTCTCCCAGCATGGAGTTTGAGATATGAGAATGGACAGACTGCCTCCTCAAGTGGGTCCCTGACCCCTGAGTAGCCTAACTGGGAGAAACTTCCCAGTAGGGGACGACTGACACTGCATATGGCAGGGTGCCCCTCTGAGACAAAGCTTGCAGAGGAAGGATCAGACAGCAACATTTACCGTTCTGCAGCCTCGGCTGGTGATACCCAGGAAAACAGGGTCTGGAGTGGACCGCCAGAAAACTCCAACAGACCTGCAGCTGAGGGTCCTGACTGTTAGAAGGACAACTAACAAACAGAAAGTGGATCCACACCAAAAACCCATCTGTACGTCACCATCATCAAAGACCAAAGGTAGATAAAACCACAAAGATGGGGAGAAACCAGAGCAGAAAAGCTGAAAATTCTAAAAATCAGAGCGCCTCTTCTCCTCCAAAGGAACACAGATCCTCGCCAGCAATGGAACAAAGCTGGACAGACAATGACTTTGATGAGTTCAAAGAAGAAGGCTTCAGACGATCGGAAATAACAAACTGCTCCGAGCTAAAGGAGGATGTTCGAACCCATCGCAAAGAAGCTAAAAACCTTGAAAAAAGAGTAGACGAATGGCTAACTAGAATAAACAGTGTAGAGAAGTCTTTAAATGACCTGATGGAGCTGAAAACCATGGCACAAGAACTACGTGACACATGCACAAGCTTCAGTAGCCAATTCAATCAAGTGGAAGAAAGGGTATCAGTGACTGAAGAGCAAATGAATGAAATGAAGCAAGAAGAGAAGTTTAGAGAAAAAAGTAAAAAGAAATGAATAAAGCCTCCAAGAAATATGGGACTATGTGAAAAGACCAAATCTACATCTGATTGGTGTAACTGAAAGAGATGGGGAGAATGGAACCCAGTTGGAAAACACTCTTCAGGGTATTATCCAGGAGAACTTTCACAACCTAGCAAGGCAGGCCAACATTCAAATTCAGGAATACAGAGAATGTCACAAAGATACTCCTCGAGAAGAGCAACTCCAAGACACATAATTGTCAGATTCACCAAAGTTGAAATGAAGGAAAAAATGTTAAGGGCAGCCAGAGAGAAAGGTCGGGTTACCCACAAAGGGAAGCCCATCAGACTAACAGCAGATCTCTCAGCAGAAACTCTACAAGCCAGAAGAAAGTGGGGGCCAATATTCAACATTCTTAAAGAAAAGAATTTTCAGCCCAGAATTTCATATCCAGCCAAACTAAGCTTCGTAAGTGGAAGAGAAATAAAATCCTCTACAGACAAGCAAATGCTGAAAGATTTTGTCACCACCAGGCCTGCCTTACAAGAGCTCCTGAAGGAAGCACTAAACATGGAAAGCAACAACTGGTACCAGCCACTGCAAAAACATGCGAAATTGTAAAGACCATGGAGGCTAGGAAGAAACTGCATCAACTAATGAGCAAAACAACCAGCTAACATCATAATGACAGGATCAAATTCACACATAACAATATTAACCTTAAATGTAAATGAGGTAAATGCTACAATTAAAAGACACAGACTGGCAAATTGGATAAAGAGTCAAGACCCATCAGTCTGCTGTATTCAGGAGACCTATCTCACATGCAGACAGACACACATAGGCTCAAAATAAACGGATGAAGATCTACCAAGAAAATGGAAAACAAAAAAAGGCAGGGGTTGCAATCCTAGTCTCGGATAAAACAGACTTTAAACCAACAAAGATCAAAACAGACAAAGAAGGCCATTACATAAAGGTAAAGGGATCAATTCAACAAAAAGAGCTAACTATCCTAAATATATATGCACCCAATACAGGAGAACCCAGATTCACAAAGCAAGCCCTTAAAGACCTACAAAGAGACTTAGACTACCACACAATAATAATGGGAGACTTTAACACCCCACTGTCAACATTAGACAAATCAACGAGACAGAAAGTTAACAAGGATATCCAGGAATTGAACTCAGCTCTGCACTAAGAGGGTCTAATAGACATCTACAGGACTCTTCACCCCAAATCAACAGAATATACATTCTTCTCAGCACCACATCACACTTACTCCAAAATTGACCACATGGTTGGAAGTAAAGCACTCCTCAGCAAATGTAAAAGAATAGAAATTATAACAAACTGTCTCTCAGACCACAGTGCAATCAAACTAGAATTCAGGATTGAGAAACTCATTCAAAACCGCGCAACTACATGGAAACTGAACAACCTGCTCCTGAATGACTACTGGGTACATAATGAAATGAAGGCAGAAATAAAGATGTTCTTCGAAACCAATGAGAACAAAGACACAACATACCAGCATCTCTGGGACATATTCAAAGCAGTGTGTAGAGGGAAATTTATAGCACTAAATGCCCACAAGAGAAAGCAGGAAAGATCTAAAATTGACACCCTAATGTCACAATTAAAAGAACTAGAGAAGGAAGAGAAAACACATTCAAAAGCTAGCAGAAGGCAAGAACTAACTAACATCAGAGCAGAACTGAAGGAGATGGAGACACAAAAAACCCTTCAAAAAATCAATGAATCCAAGGAGCTGGTTTTTAGAAAACATCTACAAAATTGATAGGCCGCTAGCAAGACTAATAAAGAAGAAAAGAGAGAAGAATCAAATAGATGCAATAAAAAATGATAAAGGGGATATCATCACCAATCCCACAGAAATACAAACTACCATCAGAGAATACTATAAACACCTCTATGCAAATAAACTAGAAAATCTAGAAGAAATGGATAAATTCCTGGACACATACACCCTCCCAAAACTAAACCAGGAAGAAGCTGAATCCCTGAATAGGCTAATAACAGGTTCTGAAATTGAGGCAATAATTAATAGCCTACCAATCAAAAAAAGTCCAGAACCAGATGGATTCACAGCCGAATTCTATCAGAGGTACAAAGAGGAGCTGGTACCATTGCTTCTGAAACTATTCCAATCAATAGAAAAAGAGAGAATCCTCCCTAATTCATTTTATGAGGCCAGCATCATCCTGATACCAAAGCCTGGCAGAAACACAACAAAAAAAGAGAATTTTAGACCAATATCCCTGTTGAACATCGATGCAAAAATCCTCGATAAAATACCGGCAAACCAAATCCAGCAGCACATAAAAAAGCCTATTCACCACGGTCAAGCTAGCTTCATCCCTGGGATGCAAGGCCAGTTTAACATATGTAAATCAATAAACATAATCCATTGTATAAACAGAACCAAAGACAAAAACCACGTGATTATCTCAATAGATGCAGAAAAGGCCTTTTACAAAATTCAACAGCCCTTCATGCTAAAAACTCTCAATAAATTAGGTATTGATGGGACGTATCTCAAAATAATAAGAGCTATTTATGACAAACCCACAGCCAATATCATACTGAATGGGCAAAAACTGGAAGCATTCCCTTTGAAACCTGGCACAAGACAGGGATGCCCTCTCTCACCACTCCTAATCAACATAGTGTTGGAAGTTCTGGCCAGGGCAATCAGGCAGGAGAAATAAATAAAGGGTATTCAATTAGGAAAAGAGGAAGTCAAATTGTCCCTGTTTGCAGATGACATGATTGTATATTTAGAAAACCCCATCATCTCAGCCCAAAATCTCCTTAAGCTGATAAGCATCTTCAGCAAAGTCTCAGGATACAAAATCAATGTGCAAAAATCACAAGCATTCCTATACACCATTAACAGACAGAGAGCCAAATCAGGAGTGAACGCCCATTCACAATTGCTTCAAAGAGAATAAAATACCTAGGAATCCAACCAACAAGGGATGTGAAGGACCTCTTCAAGGAGAATTACAAACCACTGCTCAACGAAATAAAAGAGGACAGAAACAAATGGAAGGACATTCCATTCTCATGGATAGGAAGAATAAATATTGTGAAAATGGCCATACCACCCAAGGTAATTTATAGATTCAATGCCATCCCCATCAAGCTACCAAATGACTTTCTTCACAGAATTGGAAAAAACTACTTTAAAGTTCATATGGAACCAAAAAGGAGCCCACATTTCCAAGACAATCCTAAGCCAAAAGAACAAAGCTGGAGGCATCATGCCACCTGACTTCAAACTATACTACAAGGCTACAGTAACAAAAACAGCATGGTACTGGTACCAAAACAGAGACATAGACCAATGGAACAGAATAGAGTCGTTGGAAATAATACCACACATCTACAACCATCTGATCTTTGACAAACCTGACAAAAACAAGAAATGGGGAAAGGATTCCCTATTTAACAAATGGTGTTGTGAAAACTGGCTAGCCATATGTAGAAAGCTGAAACTGGATCCCTTCCTTACACCTTATACAAAAATTAATTCAAGATGGATTAAAGACTTAAATGTCAGACCTAAAACCATAAAAACCCTAGAAGAAAACCTAGGCAATACCATTCAGGACGTAGGCATGGGTAAGGACTTCATGACTTAAACACCAAAAGAAATGGCAACAGAAGCCAAAATTGGCTAATGGGATCTAAGTAAACTAAAGAGCTTCTGCACAGCAAAAGAAACTACTATCAGAGTGAACAGGCAACCTACAGAATGGGAGAAAATTTTTACAATCTACCCACCTGACAAAGGGTTAATATCCAGAATCTACAAAGAACTTAAACAAATTTACAAGAAAAAATCAAACAACCCCATCAAAAAGTGGGCAAAGGATATGAACAGACACTTCTCAAAAGAAGACATTTATGTGGCCAACAGACACATGAAAAAATGCTCATCATCACTCGCCATCTGAGAAATGCAAATCAAAACCACAATGAGATACCATCCCACACCAGTTAGAATGGCAATCATTAAAAAGTCAGGAAACAACAGGTGCTGGAGAGGATGTGGAGAAATAGGAACACTTTTACACTGTTGATGGGACTGTAAACTAGTTCAACCATTGGGGAAGTCAGTGTGGCAATTCCTCAAGGATCTACAACCAGAAATACCATTTGGCCCAGCCATCCCATTACTGGGCATAAACCCAAAGGATTATCAATCATGCTACTATAAAGAAACATGCACACGTATGTTTATTGTGGCACTATTCACAATAGCAAGGACTGGGAACCAACCCAAATGTCCATCAATGATAGACTGGATAAAGAAAATGTGGCACATATACACCATGGAATACTATGCAGCCATTAAAAAAGGATGAGTTCATGTCCTTTGTAGGGACATGGATGAAGCTGGAATCCATCATTCTGAGCAAACTATCGCAAGGACAGAAAACCAAACACCACATGTTCTCACTCATAGGTGGGAAATGCACAATGAGAACACTTGGACACAGGGTGGGGAACATCACATACCGGGGCCTGTTGTGGGGTGTGGGGGAGGGGAGAGGGATAGCATTAGGAGATATACATAACGTAAATGATGAGTTAATGGGTGCAGCACACCAACATGGCACATGTAAACATATGTAACAAACCTGCGTGTTGTGCGTATGTACCCTAGAACTTAAAGTATAATAAAATAAAATAAAATAAAATAATTCAATAATTGGTTATTGTGCCAAAAAATACTTCCCTGTCAGTGAAACTGAATAGTTCTGGAGAAATATGCTTTCTCAACTATACACCCATCAACCAGAAGAACCCATGCTTGGTTTTAAAGTTAAGGATAGGTTTACTTTTTATTACTCTTTTGTTTGGTTCGAATATTTCCAGTGATTTCCAGGTCAAATGTTTACTTTGTTCATCACCATAAAAAAATTCCAAGACACATAGATTACACCAGGGCAGTCTTCTAGTCATCTAGAAATCAAATACTGAAACCCTAGGGAATCTGGTTCCATTCTTAGGCTTTATGTCCCATGTTGAATCCTAACAGCATTTGAAAGCCTACTATGTGCAAAACATTATAGGTTGTTAATAACTGCAATAGTAACATTGCATGTAAAAATATTACAAACTTCAGTGGACATCATGCACTATGGATACATATTCTACTAGAAGGAAGGATGTTTTCATATTCTCTTGCATAAACTTGCTGCTCTAGCCTATGGACAGATTATTTCATCTTAAAAGATAATTAAAACAGAAAAAAAAAATAATGGAATGTTTATAAACATATGCAATTGCCAATATGGTTTGTTGTTTTATTTTATGTTTGTTTTTTTTCCACAGGAGAGCAGAAGAAAAACTTATGGTTCATAAATGCTTAATCAAGTGTCGTTGATTCTCTAAAATTTCTCCTCAAAGATGCCTGGCAAAGTATCTCCAAGAGCTTTTAGCATTCTATAATCACGCATTCTGATTTGTTGCACAAAGGGAAAAATAAAATCTAGAATTGCTTAGACGGTAGAACTATTTACAGTATTTTATAAAACTGGGCTATATTAAGTACAGTGTTACAAGGTGGTTACTATATTGTACTATTTAGTAGATACTTTCTGATGTCTTTTAGTATATAACATTTGGTTTAAAGATGAGTATATTTTGAATATATTAATTATAAACACAGCATTTTGGTATTAAAATGTTGACCCTCAGATCCTTAGTCAAGATATAACTTTTACCATATTTTTCCTTTGGGGATAAAAGAACAAACTTGCACTATTATTATTAGCTTATGTAATAAAAAAATAAAATTTTATATTGTTTTATATTAAAAAAATTTAATATATGAAACAATTGAAGTTTTATGTTAAGCTTCTCTAATAATCACTTTCACAGAAATTAAGCTAATAAATAAATGTTCAAAATGATTTCATATAAAACTGTAGCTCTGAGTTAATATGTACAGCTAATCATCTTTTCATAATCAGTTTGTTTCAACTTTTCATGTAAACATACTAAAAATTCCTGGAATGCAGATCTGAATAATTACACATGAATTCTTTTTAATTTTTTATTAAAAATGAAAGAAACACAGCTAAACAATTTATTTACAATTGCACAAGGTTTGAAACAGCTATCCTATTCCTGTTAAAGCTTCACATTTAAAAATGTCTACATCATATGTGCTTGTACAAGGCTTGAGTATCAACCACAAATGTGACTTTAGCAGCTTTATTGCATAATGATCCACATAACGCTGCATTATTTGCTTAGTTTAGCCTACATCATAAAGTGCTATTCATAGATGGGAAATTAACAGCCTGCTAAACACTGAAGTTCTCCATGATATTTGCTACTTGAGTTGAGGGTAAAAAGCTAATTTAATGCTACCAGCCTGAGTAACAGATTTCCATTAAAAATATAACAACAAGGACAACCAAAAAAAACAGGCCTAAAAGTTTTGGTTACCCTGTTAAAACATGTCAAAAGCATTCCATAAATGATTACTGCTACAATGCATAAAAGTAGTTTCTGAATATTTTAACCTCAAAAAAATAAGTACTTTAAATAAAAACCACCTACTTGAAAGCAACACCTTTCAAAAACAGACACACAATTTAGATAGAATGTAATTCCTCAAATTAAAAGATATTTTAAAGGGTACACAGTCATTGTGATCTTAGTTATCATTTCTAAGTAATTAAATTTGTATTTTTACTTGCTTATATTAGAAATGCTTATTACCAATGAGAAACAGAAAATGCCACATAAGTGAACATTTAAATGTTACAAAAATTTATAATATATGTAACGCTACTAAAATATATAATGAACTTTTCAAACATGTAAATATAAATCAGGAAAACCTGATATGTAATAATTGGGCCAAAAATGAAAATCACAAAACACAGTAAGGGGGTAAAAGAATAAATATGACTTTTAATATCAGTCCATCTTTACCAATATATCTGAAAAATAATTCTTTGACATAAGAACAAATATTTTCACAGAATAAGAAAAACTAAAGATAAATTTCTCTGAAAAAAAGTATATAAAGTGAGAAGTTTAATGTGTTAGCTGAGAACTTTGTGTTTTCTGCAAGAAACCATGCTTACTACCCATGCTGTTAAATGAGTGTTATGGCTAAGCAGACTCTTAAAATGTCCTTAGCAATACAGTTTGTGGTCTTAACAAAACAAAACAGTAGTATTCCTTTTCCAGGCAATATATTTTTAATAGTTACACACTTTAAAATACATAATTTTCCACTTAAATATACTACCACTTTTATGGTGTTTTTCTTTTAACCTATCTAGAACTTTGTTTTCCTATTGAAAACAAATGCAAGACACATTGCTTAGTACTAATTCCTATCCATAAGGCATTTAAAAAATATCTTCTCTTAGGACATAAACATGATATAAAAATGAAAAGTCAAACAGAAGAGAATCATAATAAATACTTTTGTATCCCCCCCACCATAAGGAAAGTGTCAGCAACACCAGCTGACAGAAATAAATTAGATATCCTGTACATAAAGTAAAAGACAGTCCAGTTGCAAAGTTAACCACTTCAGTATTAACTTGGAAAGAACATCTTCACTTTCATCATTTGTGAAAGGCAGAACAACGACATGAAGACACAAGGCTGTTTAGATTTTCTGTATTTCAAGAAGAATCATACTCAAACACAAGTGGGGTGACAGAACACTCAGCGATATGTAATTAGTTACGAAGGTTAACGCTAAGGCATTGCTTTGTTTACAGTTTTTATCCTGAGTCACATCAGATGTTTCAACTACATGTCCTCTTGGTATTCCAGATATTTTGCTGTGATGGGTTCTTCAAGCTGAATTCCTCCACTGCCCATTAATGCAAATGCTGGATACAGTGTATGTGAACAGTCCACTTGGCGTTCATAAAGGCATTTCATCTGATCCATATCATAGAAATCTACTTTGCCTTTATCACAGTCAAGGAAAATCCCAATACTTGTTGGCATAGGGAGAACTCTATTTTCAGGTTCATTAGAAGAAGTAGGTGACTTGGGTATAAAAAATTTCTGCATGCCTATAGTAACTAAGGTAAATGGTTGTGAAGAATCAAAACAGGCATCCTCACTTCCACTGTCATGCCCACTGTCTTGCTCATATCTGAAACATAATACAAAGCATCTGTATCTTCAACAATAGATCTAAGTATCTTCAAAACATTTTCACAGGATAATATACATTGATGTAAAGTTAAAATAGTTTTTACATCAAAAGCTTTCTATTAAAACAAAATCAAAAACATAAAAATGACACATTACAATTTAGAATTATACCACAGACTCAGCCCCAAATTCCCTGTCATTAAACACTGCTTTAGTTATATACAGAAGTGAAACCCTAGAAAATCATTGATAATTTTAGCCTTCCAAAAAGTGAGGGAGCGGGCAGTGATAACTGGTCAAATGTTAAATTTTTATAGCACACAATCATGTACAATCATGTACCACAGAACATTTCAGTGAACAACAGACCTCATATACCACAGTGGTCCCGTAAGACTATAATGAAACTAAAATATTTCAGTTGGGTGCAGTGGCTCATGCCTGTAATCCCAGCACTCTGGGAGGCCAAGGCAGGAGGACCACTTGAGGCCAGGAGTTCCAGACCAACCTGGCCAACATGACAAAACCATATCTCTACTAAAAATCCAAAAATTAGCCAGGCATGGTGGTGTACGCTTGTAGTCTCAGCTACTTGGGAGGCTGAGGCATAAGAATCACTTGAACCCAGGAAGCAGAAGTTGCAGTGGACCGAGATAGCACCACTGCACTGCAGTCCTGGCAACAGAGCGAGACCCTGTCTTAAATAAATAAATTCATTCATTCATTCATTCCTATAGCTTAGTGACGTGGTAGCCACTGTAAGGCTGTAGTGTAACCCATTACATGTTTGTGGTGATACTGGTGTAAACAGTGCTTAAAGTTGTTACATAAAAGTGTAACACATACAATTATGTACATTATGTAATATTTAATAAGTGACTGTTACTGGCTCATGTATTTATTATGCAATGCTTTTATTGTTATTGTAGACTTACTCCTTCTACTTATTTAAAAAAATGTTAACTGTAAAACAGCCTCAGGCAGGCCCTTTAAGGAGGTTTTCCAGAAGGCAGCACTGTTATCCTAGGAAATGACAGCTCCA
The DNA here is from genome assembly GCF_000001405.40 of Homo sapiens. Taxonomy (NCBI): domain Eukaryota; kingdom Metazoa; phylum Chordata; class Mammalia; order Primates; family Hominidae; genus Homo; species Homo sapiens. The sequence goes on from NC_000005.10 coordinate 115,127,902, forward strand.
TGTATGTTACTGCCCCAGAAGACCTTCCAGTGGGACAAGACGTGGAAGTGGAAGACGATGATATTGATGATGTTGACCCTGGATAGGCTATTATGTTTGTGTCTTCATTTTTAACAAAAATGCTTAAAATGTTAAAAATTTAAAAAATTAAAAAAAAAAACTTGTAGAACAAGGCTATAAAAAAAATTGGGGGGGGCCAGGAGTGGTAGCTCACGTCTGTAATCCCAGCACTTTGGGAGGCTGAGGAGGGCGGATCACCTGAGGTCGGGACCAGCCTGACCAACATGGGGAAATTTCATCTCTACTAAAAATACAAAATTAGCTGGGTGTGGTGGCGCATGCCTGTAATCCCAGCTAGTCGGGAGGCTGAGGCAGGAGAATTGCTTGAACCCAGGAGGTGGAGGTTGTGGTGAGCCGAGTTCATGCCATTGTACTCCAGCCTGGGCAACAAAAGCGAAACTCCATCTCAAAAAAAAAAAAAAATGTATATAGATGTACAATGTGTTTGTGTTTTAAGCTAAGTGTTCCTACAAGAGAGTTAAAAAGTTTTTTTAAAAATTGAAAGTTTAGGCCGGGCGCGGTGGCTCACGCCTGTAATCCCAGCACTTTGGGAGGCTGAGGCGGGTGGATCATGAGGTCAGGAGATCGAGACCATCCTGGCTAACAAGGTGAAACCCCGTCTCTACTAAAAATACAAAAAATTAGCCGGGCGCGGTGGCGGGCGCCTGTAGTCCCAGCTACTCGGGAGGCTGAGGCAGGAGAATGGCGTGAACCCAGGAAGCGGAGCTTGCAGTGAGCTGAGATTGCGCCACTGCAGTCCGCAGTCCGGCCTGGGCGACAGAGCGAGACTCCGTCTCAAAAAAAAAAAAAAAAAAAAAAAAAAAAAATTGAAAGTTTATAAAACTAAGGTTAATTTCTTAAAGAAGAATACATTTAAATAAATTTAGTGCAGCCTAAGTGTATAGTGTGTTTGTAAAGTTTACAGTAGTGTGCAGCAATGTCCTAGGCCTTCAAATTCACTCATGGATGCACCCAGAGAACTTCCAGTCCTGCAAGCTCCATTCATGGTAAGTACCCTATAGAAGTATACAATTTTTTATCTTTTATAACTTATTTTTATTGTACCTTTTCTATGTTTAGATACACAAATACTTACTGTTGCATTAAAATTGCCTACAGTATTACAGTACATGCTGTACAGGTTTGTATTCTAGGACCAAAGACTGTTCCACATACCCTAAGGGTGTAGGAGACTATTCCATCTAAGTTTGTGTAAGAACACTCTATGATGTTCTCGCAACAATGAAATTGCCTTGCAATATATTTCTCAGAACATATTCCTGTTGCTAAGCTAATACATAAATGTATAAGAAACTACAGGCCAGGTGCGGTGGCTCACGCCTGTAATCCCAGCACTTTGGGAGGCTGAGGCAGGTGGATCACCTGAGGTCGGGAATTCGAGACCAGCCTGACCAACATGGAGAAACCCCATCTCTACTAAAAAAAATTAGCCGGGTGTGGTGGTGCATGCCTATAATCCCAGCTATTTGGGAGGCTGAGGCAGAAGAATCGCTTGAACCCGGGAGGCAGAGGTTGCGGTGAGCCAAGATCGCGCCATTGCACTCCAGCCTGGTCAACAAGAGCAAAACTCCGTCTCAAAAAAGAAAAGAAAATACAAAGATAAGATGTATGCCCTAAACCAAGGATTACCAGGCTAAGTGAAATATATGAGCACTGTAAAATAATGCAAGAGAAAAAAGCATGTTTCATTCTCATCCTAAGAACTCTATTTCCTGGTTGGGATTTCATCATGGATGTATGAAGCAAACAAAGATTATGAAGCTTTTTCACCTTTATCATAAAACAATAAAAAACTTATATAAAATTTTGAAACATGTTCCCCATTTTTTTCAATATGCCTATGTTGCTTTTTATATATTTTGGATAATACTGCATCAACAACGTTTACTAGGTTTCTCCACTTCTAGTATTTCTCATGTTATGAACTTTTTAAACATTAATACTAATTTTCTATCAAGTGGACATGTCACTATGTTTTACTGTTAAAATTTTCAGCATTATATAAATTTTTTATCTTTCTGAAGAAAGCTTTTCCTATCATTCAGATTGTTAAGCTGGGATACTGTTCACATGAGTGGTCAAAAATTATTTTTCAAAGCTAGTTGACCTTATTCCATCTAAAAGAACTGAACTGTACAATCTTCATTAGTCAATCTCTTAAGAAACTGGAAGTCTTTGCTGCGGAAATATGTCTACCATGACCCAATTTTGAAAAGGACTTATGGGAAAGTTTAAAGAAACTGTGTCCCATAAGAAAAGAACAACTTAACTGTGAAGTATGACAATCAGACGCATTGTATTATATACGTGGGTAATTTTTATGACATAGGTAACATGTTAAAGACTTTCAAAATTTAAAACTGTGAAGCTATATCACAATTAAGAGATATCCAAAATGGATTTCCTCATGATATTAAAAAGTAACTGCTAACTCTCCTTATTCAATGTGTGATTACAAGAATACCCGGCTCCTTTTCTCAATCAAGCCACAGCCAAAATACTAGAATCTAAGAAATAAGAAATGTATACTCCAAATGTAACAAAGCCAAATCTATTTTCAGGCTTACTTTTAAAAAATTATCAAGTTCTAGATCAATACAAAAACCTACCTTGGACTAACTGCATCCCGGGGAGAACGGAGCCATTCTTGTAGTTTATCGCTAGAAGCAACTCCCACTTTTACCAGGTATGAATATGGTTCCACACGGAAGGCCCAGAAGTGTTTTCCTTTTGTAATGCCAGTATCTCCAATGATGTAGTCTAAGCTTGTGTAATAACCCACTTGGATGCGTTCTGCAGCAAGCAGAAGATTAAATCCAGCTCTACTCTCTACACGGTCTCTCTTCAAGTTCAGCAGGAGGTGTTCATTATTATAGCCACATTTTTCATCAAAGAGGAAGCTGAAAACTAAATGGAGCTTAAAATTAATATCAGGCTAAAAATTATCATTGCTCTAGTTTGTTAAATCTGATAGGTTTTCTTACAGAAATTACTGAAGAGAGACAGGAAGCGGGAAGGAGGTGTCACACTACCCCGGACAACTATGACAAACCAAAACCCAACTTAGCAATATATCTTATCCAGTATATTGTCTACCTAAAAATCTTCAGAAATCTCATAAAGCAGATGTAAATATTTTAAATATATGTGAAAATTTATAAAAACAGCTCTTTGGAATACAGATAGCAAATCTATCACAGGTATTTCACACTATTGAATTTGTTCTTTTATCTTTATTAAAGATAAAAAATAATAAAGAGTTGTAAATTTTCATAAATAGTTCTACATTTTCTTATTGAAAGTTTTGTTAATTTGGGTCATTTTAGCTATTTTAATAAAGCTTTTTCTGTATCAACCAACATGGCAGACATAAGAAACATGGGACACTGTAAAAAAACAAAAACAAAAACACAGCTTTTGGGTTGAGAGAGACCTGGGTTTGAATCCTACTCAAGCATTCAACTAGAGTTTCATCTAAACTTTAATTTATTCATCTGCAGAATGATGATACCACTCCCATAAGTCTGTATCAACTCAAATATATTAAGCATAACATTGGCTGCTAGCCAATGGGGAAACAACAGAAAGTCCATCAACAGATGAGTAAAGAAAATGTGGTATATACATACAATGGAATATTATTCAGCCTTAAAAAGGAAAGATTTGGATACATGCTACAACATGGATAAATTTGGATACATACATTTGGATACATGCTACAACATGTATGATACATGCTACATGTATGGATAAATTTCGATACATGCTACAACATGGATAAATAAGCCAGATGTAAAAGGACAAATATTGCATTATTCCAGTTATATGAGATACCTAGAATAGGCACATTCATAGAGACAGAAATTAGAATCAAAGTTACCAGCCTCTGGGGAGAGGGGAAATAGGAGTAACTGTTTAATGGGTACAGGGTTTCAGTTTAGAATAATGAAAGTTAAGGAGGTAAAAGTGGTGATATTTAAACAATACTGTAAATGTACTTAATGCCAATGAGCTGTATACTTAAAAACTGTTAAGATAATACATTTTATCTTTATTACACCACAATTTAAAAAATGACCCCCAGGCATCATAGTGCACACCTTTAGTCCTAGCTACATGGGAGATAGGAGGATTACTTGAGTTCAGGAGTTTGAGGCCAGCAAAGGCAACATAGTGAGACCCCATCTCTCTCTCTCTCTCTATGTGTGTGTGTGTGTGTGTGTATATATATATATACATATATATATATATTTTAAACAGGCTGCTAGCAGCTGGGCCTGGTGGCTCACGTCTATAATTCCAGCACTTTGGGAGGCCGAGGTGGGTGGATCACTTGAGGTCAGGAGTGTGACACCAGCCTGGCCAACATGGTGAAACCTGGCTCTACTAAAAATACAAAAATTAGCCAGGCATGCTGGTCTGCATCTGTAATCCCAGCTACTACTCAGGAAGCTGAGGCAGAAAAATTGCTTGAACCCAGGAGACAGAGGTTGCAGTGAGCTAGTGAGCTGAGATGGTGCCACTGTACTCCAGCCTGGGTGACAGAGCCAGACTCCACCTCCAAAAAGAAAAAAAAAAAAAAAAAAAGACTGCTAGCAAACTACAGCCATTACCCACGTGTGAGCTGACCATTCTTCCTGCTAATGCCTCTTTTCCTGGCATGATTATTTGTGCTTGCTCTCAATCTCAAAAGTCTCCCAGTTTGCAAAATAAATTTAAAGGGTCACCCTAGTCACGTATCTTCTCTCATAAAAAGGAAGACAACTGTTAACACTTCCTCTCCTCCCTTCCCCTCCACTATGTGACTGAAAACAGCAGTTATGTCCAGGTTTTTCTTCCACTTTCAGGCAGAAAGACTAGAAAAGGAAGCAGAAATAGCATAAACCATAAAATAGTTACTTAATACCTGCAAATTCATCCCAAAACTCTCTATTGGATTTGATTAAAATTTAAGAAATATAATTTTAGCCAATCTTCCATGTTTGTATTCCAATTTTTTAAAAGCTACAATGTGCATGAAAAACAAATTGTGCTTTTCTATTTTGAACAAAAAAGGAAGAAAGGGGAGAGTGAAGAAAATATGGGTACATAAGACACTAAAAAGAGGCAAGGGACAGTGGACCTAAAATCCAATTAAAGGCATCTCTGAGGCAGTGACTGAAAGGGGAAAACGTTTTCCTGCTAACCAGGCTGAGCACAATTTTGGTTCTAAATATCCCTTGTTCATGGAGACATCATAGTGAACATCAACGAACCTTTAAAGTCATTCACATTCTATAAAAATCTTTAGGCGCTCTATATGTAGTATCAGTGGTTTTTAACTTGGGAAGGGAGGGGGCGATGACTGGGCATAAGGAGCTTTTAGCGTGGGAGGAAAAGCTATTCATGTGGTTCTAATATATGGCTTCCATCCCTATTATCTGAGAAGTGCCTAGTTAGATAAAAAAATCCAGACAAATCAGAATTAGGTTAAATCAAAATTATATTTTAGGATATTAGACCAATAAATTTTAAAAATTATGTTTTAGAGATTTCCATAAACCAAAAATACAGAATTATATATTTAAAACTTTTAAAATAGCATTTATGCTATTTAAATCCCAACTTACTAGCTCTGCTCACCCAAATTTCTTCCTTCCATGTTTTTCTCTATCTGACATCAGTTAAAACCCAATCCTGTTCTCAGCCTACAAGGTAAAAATTCAAGTACTCAGTTCATTTCTAAAGCCCAGCTGGGATAGAAGCTACTTTTCTGGAGTCTTTTAAAAACAAGAGCTGGTTTCAGTGCAGGTCTACATGGAGATACTGACTAGTTTATTTTATCAAGGTCTCTTGCAACTAACTCTATGCTTTTTTTATTCCTGATATTCACCATACCTGGAGCTGGAGGAGTATGAAGAATCAATTCTCTGCTGCAAGGACTACAGATTGAACCCTTGTAAGCTCTTACTCTGAAAGCATAGGTACTACTGTTTTCCAAGTCTTGAATTATTTTACTTGTTCCACACACTTCTATCTCATTCCATGACATTTCATCATCTCTATTGATTTTCCGATATTCAAGAACATAGCTATCAGCTTTATCCTTTTCTGGATGGTGCCAATTTATCAAGGCATTGTTATAAACTTTGCTCTGTTCCTCATTGATCTCTGGCACGTCTATGCCTGAAAGAATTATGAAATAGAAAACAACATTAAAATATTGACATTTGAAAACCAGTGTTTTTCCTCAATAAAATGACATATAAACAGTATTTAATGATTTCTATACTAATACTTTTCTAAATTTATAATACTATATATAGAAAGCACAAAAATTAAATATATTAAATATTTTTTATATTTAAAAGGTATATCTATATTTGTAACTGAAAGGAGAAAGAAGAGTAAAAAAGACAAAAACTGACTCAAAGCCACAAGTAAATTTTTTTTAACCACATGCCTTCTACCTACTGAATAACAGCCCAGGACTTGAAATTTTTTTACCTATGTCCTCCCCTAAACAAACTATTATTTTAATATTTTAAAATCTAAGTCTGGTAAGAATATCAAACTCTCAATGAATTTTTTTTTTTTAAGATGGAGTGTTGCTCTGTTGCCAAGGCTGGAGTGCACTGGCATGATCTCAGCTCACTCCAACCTCTGTCTCCCAGGTTCAAGTGATTCTCCCGCCTCAGCCTCCCAAGTAGCTGGGATTACAGGTGCGTGCTACCACACCTGGCTAATTTTTTGTATTTTTAGTAGAAACAGGGTTTCACCGTGTTAGCCAGGATGTTCTCGATCTCCTGACCTCATGATCTGCCTGCCTTGGTCTCCCAAAGTGCTGGGATTACAGGCATGAGCCACTGTGCCCGGCCTCTCAATGAATATTTTATCATTTCTTTGCATAGTTTATTCTGTAGAGTTGCAAAGCAAATTAATTTTTCTAAATAAAATCATGGTACATATTTTTATAAGGAAATCAGAAACTGAAAAATACACATTAAAAGATTTTAACTAACTCAAAGGTAATTACTATAACCTTTTTGTATAGATCTCGCCAGTATTTTCCCCCTCAATGGTATACTACCTACATGGATATATCAACATTTAACTGTTTAGTTTTGGAAACAGGTTTCTGGTTTTTCACTAAAAATAAAATGATTCTAAATCTTTATTCATATGCAAAGTCCTTTCTATAGAGCCAATTCCCAAGCTTAACTGCTGGAATCATATGCTAAGAACAATACGCTATAAAAGCTACACACACACATTTATGACAAATCACAGAGAAGGACATGAATAAGAAGCAGAAGTCTCTTTCCTCTCCTTATTCCCCAATGTATAAGCATTTCTGTGTATGCTGCATTTATACAACTGAATGTTATGCAGCCATAATGAGATCTGGAAAGTTATTCAAAATACATTTTAAAATTTAAAAAAAAAGTTACAGATTAACAAATAGTATGTCGCCTACCCCATACTCTTTTTCTTTCTTTTTTTGAAACATAGCTTACTAAAAAAAAAAAAATGCATGTAGCAAAAAATGAGGGGAAGATCCATCAGCCAGAAGCTAGGTGACTACTATCCCATTCTCATCCACCTGTTTTATTGGTTCCTTGCTATACAGTGGTATAACCCAGGATAACCCACCCTCAACCTTACCTTTCCAGCAACCATTTTGGGATCCACAGGGAGGGAGGACCTAGGACTCACAAGTAAGCAAATATCTATTTGTATATATACTATTCAAGCATACATTTTGGAAACACAGTATAGTGTATGAAATACAATCAGCATTTTAAGTGATGACAAATATCTATTTGAAAAAATAAGACGGTCATAGTAAGTAAGTATCAGATTCAGGTATAGATTTGAAAAGGAGGTCACAGTAATCCTTCAGAGTTTTAAACTTTTAACAAGACAAATTTCCTTGTATTAATGTACAAATCTACAAATCTGCACCTATAAAGTAATTATACTATAAATATATCTTTGTAGTGTTCACCATCACTAGAAGAGAAATCTTAGGGAGAGGAATGAGGTGAGAAGAAGAAAAAAAGGCAAGGAAGACCTCCCTGCTAGGGAGTAGCAAAATACAAACGTAAGCAAGTGTTATGGACTGAATTGCATCCTTCCCCAGTCCCCCAGACCCCACCCCTCGCCACTGGAAATTCACATGTTGAAGTCCTAACCCCCAGTACGTACCTCAGAATGTGACTGTATTTTAAAATAGGGTCTTTAAAGAGGAAATTAAATTAAAATCAGGTCATTAGAATGGGCCCTACTCCAATATGACTGGTGTCCTTATAAAAAGAGGAGATTAGATCTCTCTCACACACACACAGAGGACCATGTGAAGACACAAGGAGAAGATAGCCATTTATCATTTATCAACCAAGAAGAGAGGTTCAGAAGAAACCAACCCTGCCAACACCTTGATCTCTGACTTGTAGGCTCCAGAAATGTAACAAAATGAATCTGTTTTGAGTCACTCAGTCTATGGTACTTTTGTCACTGCAGCTCAAGCAAACTAATACAGCAATGTAAACAGCCTGCAGATTCCATTCCTAGGCTTCTGTCCAAGAAACTCACATACACTTGCCCAAAAAACTCTGACAAGGATGTGCGACACAGCGTTGCTCATAAAAGAGGAAAAAAATGGAAAAAAAAAGTCTCTTAGTAGGAAAATGATTTACTTATGAAATACTGTAAACAGTTAAAATATTGCTTTACACCAAAATTTCATATATTTACAAGTATTTATGTTAATTTTCTAAAAAGCAATTTACAAAAATACATACAACATAATGCTATTTATGCAATGTTTAAAAACACACAAACTAATGGAACATAGTTTTTGTGCATAAAAATATAGTTTTAAAAACATAAATAGGATATGATTTCAGGATGCTGTGATAGTCCTGGGCAAGTGAGATGCTGCTTTATAATGTCAAATTTAAGAGAACTTGTGTTTTCTTCCACACAATACAAATTCAGACAAAAAGAATGAGGTTTTTGCCTTCATTAAGACTTACCACTAGAGAAAAAGGATAATTCTCCAAGAAGTTCTGTTTGTTTAGAGGTATTAACAACATAGTCTTCAAAAGAAGTCTGAGCTGCAGGTCTAAAGCTCTTCAAAGATTCTGTGGCTTTCTGTATTCTGCAGACAGATATTTTATATAAAAATGTTTCTTTAAGAAGTCAAATCAGACTAAATATCTGCAACATGATTAACAAAATAAAACCCACACTTCACTCAAAATTAAAGTTAAGAATGAGGCAAGATGTACCTCACATTAACACAGCATTATGGACCAATCAGAGCTAAAGTGAGAATACACAGCAGCATTTAATAACATTGCTCAATAGGTTCTAAAGTTAGAAGTAAAAGAGAATACCTGAGGTGGAGCTGCTTTGCTGTCTGCACAAAGCAAGACTGATCTGTCTCCTTTAGCACTTCTTGAGCATATCCCACAAGTCCATTGTTCTCTAGAAGTCCCTGGTACTCTTCCATTTGAGTCTGAAATTTGTCTAATCTTAGTTTCTTAGAGGAGTCAATTGCTTTCAAAACAGATGATTTCCTCTCTTCCAGAACTTCAAAGAGCTTTTCAAAATGTGTAATTGCTTCTTCTTTAGCCCTCTCTCCATTACACTAAGAAAAAACAGTATCTCCATTACACTAAGATAAAACAAAGAATAGCCTCTTCTGCTAAACCCAAATGGCTTTCCACAAAGTTCTACATAATTACATTTCATCTATGTGATGACAGCATTATCAAAATTTGATAAAACCAACCTAGATATTATAAAGAAAAAAGTTTTATCTAACTCTGAAATTTTCAGAACAATATTTTGGCATCAAATACACTTAGCAAAGAACAACTGACAACTTTTATTCAGATTTACTTTGTAATTTTATAATATTGTACTTCCTTAAGCTTTTCATCTCCAAAGTCTGGCAATAAACAATTTAGTCAATTAAATAAGAGAATAATCTTTCAGTGGTATATAAAGGAATATGAAGGAGAAATGAACTGATTTAAACAAAAACAGGAAAACACAATTCCAGAACTTTGAATTCATTTCAAATTCAGAAATGTTTTCACCCTTTCTACGCTACTCCAACTTTTTAAAAAGTTGTTTTTGTTTTTTTGAGACAGAGTCTCGCTCTGTCGCACAGACTGGAGTGCAGTGGTGCGATCTTGGCTCACTGTAACCTCCGCCTTCTGGGTTCAGGTGATTCTCCTGCCTCAGCCTCCCAAGTAGCTGGGACTACAGGCACATGCCACCACGCCCAGCTTTTTTTCAATATTTTTAGTAGAGATGGGGTTTCGCAGTGTTAGCTAGGATGGTCTTGATCTCCTGACATCATGATCAACCCGCCTCGGCCTCCCAAAGTGTTGGGATTACAAGCATGAGCCACCGCGCCTGGCCTAAAAAAGTTTTTAGCCACAAAACTCTAAAATATGACATTCTTTACTAAGATATAAAAATAAAAGTATCCTCTTCACTTTAATATAATTATAATTAAATCCTGACTTAGCTGTGTGACCATATGCTAATCATTTCACTTCTCTTTCTGTTTTTTCTCTTCTGAAAATAGGGGATAAGAAAAACCATTTAGGTTTTTGTGAAGAGATTTTAAAAGGTTATTTACATAAAGTATATACCACAGTGTCACATACTGTAAATAAACATTCATACAAACTGTCATAAAATGACCCTAGTGTTTGTTAAACATTCTGAATTCCTATAAAATCAGAGCTCATGATTTTGAGAAGACTGGCAAACACTCCTAAGCACTTATTATAACAGACTCACAGACAGCAGCCAACAGAAAAAAAGTCTTCAAGAACATTCTTTTTTTTTGAGACAGAGTCTCGCTCTGTCGCCCAGGCTGTAGTGCAGTGGCGCGATCTCGGCTCACTGCAAGCTCCGCCTCCAAGGTTCACGCCATTCTCCTGCCTCAGCCTCCCGAGTAGCTGGGACTACGGGCGCCCGCCACCACACCCTACTAAATTTTTTTTTGTATTTTTAGTAGAGATGGGGTTTCACCGTGTTAGCCAGGATGGTCTTGATCTCCTGACCTCATGATCTGCCTGCCTCGGCCTCTCAAAGTGCTGGGATTACAGGTGTGAGCCACTGCACCCAGCTTTTTTTTTTTCTTTTTTTTTGAAACGGAGTCTTGCCCTATCACCTAGGCTAGAGTGCAATGGAGTGATCTTGGCTCACTGCAACCTCTGCCTCCCGGGTTCAAGCAATTCTCCTGCCTCAGCCTCCCGAGTAGCTGGGATTACAGGTGTGCACCACCAGGCCAGGCTAATTTTTTTGTATCTTTAGTACAGACCGGGTTTTACCATGTTGGCCAGGCTGGTCTCGAACTCCTGACCTTGTGATCCGCCCGCCTCGGCCTCCCAAAGTGCTGAGATTACAGGCGTGAGCCATTAAGCCTGGCTAAGAACATTCTTAAAAGCTGACAATATATGGCAGAAGCGTACTGTGCATTATCCATTGGCTTTCAGCCAACACCTATAATGAAAGGAAATTTTTTCCAGATCTCCTGTTTCCTAACCCCGACAGCCACATATTTTTAAAAGAGAAGGAGCAGAAGGTAGTGACATTTTGATAGTATTTCACTGACAAATCACAACATCCAACTCAGAAATATCATTATAGATAGATTTTTTTCAGCCAAGTAAAATTACAGATAAAAAAGACAGTGTCACCATCATCACTAAGTAAATGTCGAGAATGGAGGCAAGTTATCTAGCGTAAAAAAAATTCTTATTGATAAGGCTACAGATACAACTTAGGCAAATGATACAAAACAACTCAGTAATGTCCCCACTATCCCAAGGAATCAGTGTCTACATGAATACTTGACACCTAAGTTCCTCAATTTTTAACCTATTGATGACAAACCCCAAAACAGACTCTGGGTCTTCATTTCAGAAGTGAAGAGCAGCAGGACTGAGAGGACCAACAAACAAGGCTATTAATAAAATGACCAAAGATGCAACATTTGAAGCAACCTACTAAGGTGATCATCTGCTTTGTGTTGAGACAGTCTGTCACTTAATCCAACAAAAATATGAAAAAGAAAACCCCAAACTGCATGGAAAAATGACTGACTTAGGGTGGTGAATCAGTAAAGATCAGGAAAATAATATTAAAAACAAAAGCACTGCTGGTAGTGGTGTTAATTTTCGTGATTTCTCAATAATTTCAACCTATATTGGAAAAAAACTTCTTCAAGTAACAGTGTCATACTAGCTGGGATATTTTTATATTTAATTACTAAAAATCAGGAGTAATGGCTCAACTTTGTTTCAAATGGAGAAGAAAAACAAGTGTACAACAAAGTCAGTGAAGAATATCTGGACTTTTAAAACAACCCAATCCAATCCCCTTTTACTATTATTTTTAAAATGCTGTTATCTTTTCTAATTTTTTATTGAAACATAATACACAAATGGAAAAATGTACATGTAAGTATAAAGACTAATGAATCTTTACCCACACACTCAATATAACCAGCATCCAACAGAAAATCCAGATTAGATAAAAGAACATTACCAGTATCCCAGAAGCCTCCATATAACCTTTCCAGACACTAACCTACCCCCCTCCTCAACTCTAACATCATCATCTAGTTTCACCTTTTTTGGTACTTTTTAGAAATGTAATCACATAGTATGTATTCCTTTGTATCTGGCGCCTTCCTGTCGACATTACTGCAAGATTAATCTACCTGCTGTGTGCAGCTGCAGATCATTCATTCTTATTGCTATTTTTATTCTACTGTTAATGGGCATGTGGGTAGATCCCACTTTGTGACAATTACAAACAAGGCAGCCACCAACATTCTAATATATGTCTTTTGGGGAACATATATAGGGTATACACTCAGGAATACCGGGAATTTAAAATAAACCTGGCCCAATCTGCATACAGCACATTTTCCAAAAGTGATCTATTAATTTTTTAAAATATAATAAAAATAAGTAAAACCTATCATTTCCCTTATGTTACTATTAAATACTTTTGAGATCTTGTTAGTTGCCACACAAATAGTCATTTTTTCCCTCTGTGTTCCAATATCATTTAATCACTAGCTCTACCACAGAAGTGACCACACAACATTATAATTCATTTTTTACATTTGTTTCCATAGCCCCAGAAAAGCAGGGGTGAAATCTAACACAACTTTGTATTCCCAGCTCATATAATACTCTCAGGATTTTATGAACAAATGAATGAATGTCTAGATAAAATAACAATAATTTAAAATATGCAAGCTAGTTTATCACTTACCTCTGTTTCTTTCATTAACAAGTTTAGTTCAGATATTTGACTCTTCACCTGGCTTTCCTTACCAATAAGGTAATCAATATCCTTTGAAAGCTTTTCCTGTTGAAACATATTCGTAACACAAATAGACAAAACGGGAGTTTAGCAAAGACTTTGCAGAATTTTTTTTTAATTACACAGGACTCATCCTCTTCTACAGCCTCTGATAAACATAATAAAATCAACTATGGCAATTATCATTATTAACCCGGAGTAAACAGTTAATGGCCTTAGGCACAGAGGGCCAAAGGATGTATGAAAGATTAAAATCAGTTGGAAAAAAGAACAAGGTAATAATGGTTAAATTAGTCAAAACTTCTGAATATAAAAACAGTACATTTTTATTGTTTCATTATCATTCCTAGAGCTCCTGCTCCTAAGGCTTCTAAGTAAATGGAAGAACAGCAATTCAAATAGTTTTGTCTTCAGATTTTATAATTTACTCTCACAAACACCCACGTGCACACACACACACACCTATACACAATAGGAGTAGCAACAAAGAGACTTCCAAAATAATATTGACAGTTCATCCCAGCCTATTAAATAATTACACAATAATGAAAATATAGTTTTATAAAAATAGGCAATTTCCAGAGCTCTTTGAATAATCTGTCTGTAAGGAAGACCTTTTTAAATAAGTATAGTTTCTTTCCCACAGAAATACCATCCTAAGTTTTGGTGAGATCCCTGATCTTGCCCAGAAAACCTACTCTGAAATACACAAAAACCAAAACACAAAAGCCCCGAAACACCATGGGGTAAAAAGTTGTAACAGAAAAATGTATTGAGAGTCTAAATAAGAATAAGAACATCCAGAAAACACCTTTCAAGCTGTAGCTCTTAAAGGCCAATCTGAGCATTTCAGGCTCAATTACCACCGATGACTTGAAACGAAAAGGGTGCTCAACAAGAGGGCACTATTAAACACTAAACACTATTCCACAGGCTGAGAGGTACGTCTCAGCACCAAGCTGAAAGTAAAATGGCAATTCTAATAATACCATCCCTAACAGGCCTATGTGGAGATCAGAAGTACTAGGTGCAAAGTGGTGGTACTCTTTTTTAACTAGGGTAGCAATAAGATACATTTGGCCATTTAAATTGAAGTAAGGCTTAGTTGTATGATAGCAGCTTACATTAGAACTACAAGATAGGAAAAGATAAGTTAGTTGACTCAAAGAGGTAAGGACCAGAGAAGAATAGATGGCAGAATTCGGACACATGATGTAAAAGCACCACACTCTCTGAGTTTTAATGCTCAAAGTATCTGGCCAACTATACGTTTATCTGAGAATAGCTTTTATCTGAGACAGCTCCAGTCATAATAGTCCCCTCAAATCTAGCCAGTTTGTTTTAAAAGACTAGATCAGTTTTAAGCAAGAATCAGGATGTCCATTTATTCACAGGTCTCTAAAAAGTATATGTACCACACACTGAAAATAGGCATTGAAGATTAAAATGTAAAAAGACAAGGCTACCTCTTAACTCCTTTAGATAAATCAGGACCCCAGTTCTTTAGGAACTAATCAGAGGTTAATTTCTCAGGGACTTCAAAACTGCTCAGAAGCTTTCCTCTGGATCAGTGGTTCTCAAACACTAGTGTATATCAGAGTCTCCTGAGGGCAAACCAAGAACCCTAGGGAGATGCAGCTGAGTCCAAGGAGGCCATAGGTTATAAGGCATGTACCATAGGTTGTAAGGTATGTATCTAAGAAGAGACTGTTGTAAAGAGAAAGAACTCCAGAGACACAAACAGTCTCCCATACATATTCAGCAGTCCTCATCAACTCTTGTGTGTGAGGAAACTGTCCAAGCCCAGGCAAAGAATCACCCTACAGGTTCAAGGAAACAATCCCAGGAGCTTACACAAGGCTGGAAAGAGTGCCTGTTCCCCACCAGCCAGACAAAAAAAAAAAAAAAAAAAAAAAAAAACAAATCTCTAAATTCACAGGGCATTGAAAAGAGTAATCAAAGGCTTTTACTTCAATAGTCAGATAAAATTAGCCCTTAAAATTAAATGCTGTTCTGTCCTGCCTCACAAAAGACCCAAACGTTTCCAAGCAACCTAATCACATACTCAAAGAAAATAGCATTTGTAGAAATACAAAACTATCCAATAGCTGGCAGCCAATCAAAAATTACCAGGCATGCAAGGTAGCAGAGAAATATAAACTTTAATTAAAAAAAAAAATCAAAACTGACCTAGTAGTGAAACAGATGAGAGAATTAGTAGGCAAGAACAATTATACAATTATACCTGTATTTCGTATGTGCAGAGAAGGTAGAGCACAACATAAATATAAAATGCAAAACACAAAAGTTTGCATATATGCAATTAGACAGAGGCAAAAAAATGCATACACATACTGTTAAACAGAGGAAAGAAACAAAATGGGTAGTAGGTACATAGATGATTTCTTTTAAAAATATTGTTTAAAGGGAAAAAGAATAAAACGAAAAGATAGTAGTGTACTGCTGCCTTTGTTGTTGATTATGAAATTTGAAAGTTTTAAACATCATCAATAAAACTAACACAAAGGAAGTAATTCAGGTTTTTTTTTGTTTGTTTTTGAGACAGAGTCTCACTCTGTCACCCAGGCTGGAGTGCAGTGGCGCGATCTCAGCTCACTGCAAGCTCCGCCTCCTGGGTTCACAGCATTCTCCTGCCTCAGCCTCTTGAGTAGCTGGGACTACAGGTGCCCGCCACCATGCCCAGCTAATTTTTTTTTTGTATTTTTAGTAGAGATGGGGTTTCACCGTGTTAGCCAGGATGGTCTCGATCTCCTGACCTCGTGATCCGCCCGCCTCGGCCTCCCAAAGAGCTGGGATTACAGGTGTGAGCCACGGAAGTAATTCAGTTTTAAATGGTAAGTGTGCCACCAGAATGAACAAAATAGTAATTCTACAGGCAAGAAATAAGAATCAAGTGTCTTAAAACAGCCACAACCCTTTAAAGTATGTCAATCCTATGTATACATCCATTATCATAGACATTGGGCTCATTTGGGTATCATGATGAAGTGTCCTTCATCCTTCTCTTCCCTCAGAATTCAGAGCTAATACAACATAGGTGTCAATATATGCCGGGCCTTATCAGTACCACAAATAATTGTTGATCAGAAATACTAACAACCTAATATTAGTAGATCGCTAAGTAACACTTTAACTCATTTTAGTACAAAAGAGACCATATAACACACCATGATTTTATAAATGAAAAGTTAAAGGCATAAAGTAAAGTTACGAAGAATCAAAATTCTGTTCCAAAAATAAGTCCTACCTTTAAGGTTTTGTAGGCACTGCTCATAGTGGTTACACGGTGGTTGGCATGATTACCACCCAACTTACACAGATGGCAAACTGGCCTCCTACATAATTCACAGTACATGTTTATTCTCTCTGTTTCATGTTCTGGGCACATTAAAATCTATTGAGTAAAGAATAAAAGTGTGATTAAGGATCTAGGTTTCAAGTAATCTAACAAATTACCAAAATACAAAGATTTGCCTTATAAAATCACTAAATAAAGCCATTTAAGTGAATATGAATGTAAAAAGAAAAATGGTTGATACATCACATGAAAATTCTCTATATCGGAATTACTATTTTTCAATTTGAGGGTTCAAATGATTAATACGTAGATGTTGTCTACGGCCATACCCCTCTGAACATGCCTGATCTCGTCATAATATATAGATGTTATTTCTCCAAAACTTGTTAAGTTAGAGTTTCATTCCTATCAGATTCAAATGGAATGAACACTTAACCAAGTTAGAAAGGCCATCTGACCACACTGATGAAGCAATTCTTAATGATCAAAGTCAATATTTTTAATGAAGTACCATAACAATTTATGAGACTCATGGCCTCAGTAACAGAAATCTGTTGCTAAAAGAGTCTCAGAAAACTTTATAAGCTTCTAGATGTGTTTCCTTTTACAAATTAATTACAAATGCACTGACCAAATTTGGAACTGTTTTTCTGATTTCATTGTCTACCTTTTTATTTACTTTGTAAACTATTATCATAGAGGATTAAAAGCTATCAAATAACATAAAATTTTATGTAAAATAACTGTTTTCATTTGAAAGAAAGGGGAGATTCCTTTAAGTTAGTATGTTAATAAAATCAAAAGTTGTTAAAGATTCCAACAGATTAGATTTTAAGCAATTGTAACTTGTCTGATAACTTACAGACATTTATTTATTTATTTATTTATTTATTTTTGAGACAGAGTCTCGCTCTGTCGCCCAGGCTAGAGTGCAGTGGTGCAATCTTGGCTCACTGCAACCTCCACCTCCTGGGTTCAAGCAATTTTCCTGCCTCAGCCTCCCAAGAAGCTGGGATCACAGGCATGTGCCACCATGCCCAGCTAATTTTGTAACTTATAGACATTTAAAAGGAACGAACAAAAAGTACAATACAGAAAGTCCTAATACCAATATATAGGTTCAGGAGAAAAACAACTGGAAAAGGTTTCAAGTTTTTCAGCATGTCCAAGTTTCTACATCCCCAAAGCCATTACATTTAAAATAAAATACAAAGTTTGTCCATCTGCAAGAAATGATCAAAAGAACTCAACGTTATAGGCAAATATTCCATAGCATTTGCCTATACCATTTTGGACACCGTTTTAGAATTTTACTATATTGAGTAGCACTAACTACTTGAAAAATGAAATGTTTCTCAGTATAACCTATCCATGTTTCTTTGGTGTTCTCTTATCAATCTTTTATTATATTTGTAAATAGAAACATCAGGTTGAAGTCACAAATTTTTAAAAATTGATGGTCTTGAGCATTTAAAATGAGGAACATAATACAGGATTAAAAGCTATCTGATGAATCTACTACCAGACTGACACAGTTTGAGAAAGGTCATTCAAAATGTGATAGCACAGATTGTTTTTGCCTTAATCTACCAATCCTTTACTATTTAATATAAGAAATAGCTCACAGTTTCAAAAACACTTTTGAGATTTTTTTCCCCATTTTTTATTACAAATTAAAGGTTTTACACTTAAAAATGCAAGTAGATTTTCATACACAAGTCACTAAGTTATAAGGAGTAAGAACTTTGAAAAACTCAACCATAGGTTTTTAAAATCTATATACATCAGAAAGAAGGGAAGATATCAAAAGATCAGTTTCTTTCCAGGCACACAGCAGGGCAAACAATACATAAACTTCTTTTGAGCAATATTAAAGAAATTACTCAGAATGTTAAAGAAATTACTCAGAATGTTTAAGAAATGCAAATTCTACTCCAGATAACATATAACCATTATATCACAAACTACAAAGTATTAGGCTGTAATTACTTTTATTCATTGTACAATTTTAGCCAAATGCAACAAAAATATGTTTCGCAGTCAAACCTTTTAAGCAATTATGGATTTATGACACTAAAGCACAAAAAAGCTTTTTAACTTTAACCATTTCAATCTTAAAGAGTATATCTGAGATAACCTTTCTTTAATCAGAGTTATCATTACAAACATGCATTTATTGTATTATATCACACTGGATTGTAATAGAATAAACCACAATATTGCCCTCCTTTGGTGGGGATGTTTAGCCCCATAGTAAGTAACTCCAGCCAACTAGGCCTTAAGTTCTTATACCTGCTTTTAAAGTTATTTCCTTTCTGTCAAGTTCTAGACTTAATAATTTATTTCGTAACATTAAGTACATAAAAGTTTCATAACATTAAGTTAAAATAACATTCTAACTTAATAAAAACTTCACTTACCTTGGGTCTGAAGTTAGTAGTTGGACCAACATACTCATGTTGAGCTTTTATAGTACCCCAAGGGTGATGAATTTTGAAGCATTCATTGCAGTAACTTGCACTACAGTCCATGCAGCTTTTTGTGGATTCTTGAGGTGGTGGTTTACAAAGGTCACACATAATGGCTGTGGCTGCCCTAGCTGCTTGACGATATCTTTCCACAATAGTTTCCAAAGTGAAGTTTCGAAACAGACCATTGATTCCTCGTTCTCCAAGATCCACATCATGCTCACAGCCAGGGCAAGGGAAAACAGTTGTCCTCGGGGTCAATGAATTGCGCTTCCAGCCTGTGTAATTAGTAAGTCTTTGTTTAGTTATAGCAGTAGGAAAATGATTAGAATGAAGAAAAGAGGAGTCATGTCTTAGAGACATATCTACAAATGTATCACAAAAACAGTATCCGAAGTGGCTCCACGTGAAATTTGTATTGTGAAAATGTTTTTAAAAATTTTTCCTTAGTATACAAAAGACAAGCCCAAGTTATCAAATCAAACAGCAAATCAAAAAGGAAAATATTCTACAGTAAACCCACATAGAATCCATATTAAATCAAACATAGATATAAAGATAAAACACGTAATACAATACTACATGGCGTTAAGATCTTTTAAAATTATATAATTAGCATTTATAGTTACTTTTATACACCATATCCAAAGACATTTAAAAGAACAGTCTTTGCTGACTGACAGGAAATGAATCGATACATAAAAGAGCAGGGGTCCCTAGCACAAAGCCCATGAAGAGGCCCAGGCAGATCCATGAACTATTTGAAATTGTGCACAAAATATTCCACCTATATACATATACATATTTACTGGTAAAAACCCACAGCTTTTATCAGATTTTCAAAAGAATATGTGATGTGACCACAAAATTTTTAACAACACTACAATAGAAGCTTTCCCACGTAGTATTGTTTTATCTGGAAAAATTCAGTAGGGAAGATCATTAGTTAATTGAGTGCAATCTATAGAAGAGTGAAAAATTCATTCATAGACCTATAATTTAGTGATTTTTAAGAGGGACCAACCATTTAATAACTTCTTATGACCTGAAACAAAGAATCATTAAGATTACTTAACTCAGTAAGCCAAAAGTTACCCCAAAAACACTACAAATAATTTTACAACATATATAAAACAATGAATGACCTTAAACATCACATTTTTGTTCAGTATTATCCCAATTTTAATAAATCAAGAAACCAATGCATGACAGTCCTTACCCATTGGTTCACAGGAATCCAGGGTTGTCCATTTACGACAGGTGCATGCATATCACATTCCCTCATTTGTAAATCTGTTCTTTTTTTTTTTTTTTTTTTTTTTAGATGGAGTCTCACTCTGTCACCTAGGCTGGAGTGTGATCTCGGCTCACTGCAACCTCTGCCTCCCAGGTTCAAGCAATTCTCTGCTTCAGCCTGCCAAGTAGCTGGGATTACAGGCGCCCACCACCACACCTAGCTAATTTTTATATTTTTAGTAGAGATGGGGTTTCACCATCTTGGCCAGGCTGGTCTTGAACTCCTGACCTCGTGATCCACCTGTCTTGGCTTCCCAAAGTGCTGGGATTACAGGCGTGAGCCACCGCGCCCGGCCGTAAATCTGTTCTTAAGAGTATGCAGTCTTAGTTGCCCCAAAAATAACTCCCTTAACTTAAACACAAACTTCTTAACCTACACCTTCTTTCATACTATCATGTATCCAATACCAAAAATGAATGGCTGAATTTGGTATACCACATTACAAAAGGTCTTTAAACAGCTACATCAATATACCCTTTGCATATAACTGTCATCACTCAAAAGAATATCTTAAAAGATGTCTGACATGATATCAGTTCAGGTAAAATTTAGCAATCAGCCCATAATAATACTTATTGGAAGTGATGTTAATAGCATGCTATATGGCATTGGGCCCCAAAATCTACTTATACAACAAACATGCAGAATATTTTTAATATCTTCATTTAAAGATATTTTAACGTTTACATTTTTAAACATTAATGCATACAAAAAAGTTGCCCCATAAAAATTTGAAAATCCTAAAATATATTCAGATAATAATTCTAAAAGCATGCAATACAATCCAAACTCTTTCACACCACAGCAGGCATATCATGAAATAAGCAGCAAAGCTACTTTTAAATCACATGCCAATGAAAATTTCATTTAGGAAAGAAAACAAGCCAAACAATTCTGGAGATGGTATGGTGCAGTGGTCAAGTTTAAACAAATAGAAATTCATATATAATCGCAGGTTTCCACACATGAAATAGGTGATGAAAATTTAGATAAATAGAAAACTAATCTCAAAAGTGTTAAAAAAATGAGTTATTTTTGGTTTTATGAAGATTATGACCAATTAAAGTAACGGGATAATGAAAAGTAAATAATGACAACAAAATCAAGCTTTAACATGTATGCTGGTGACACCCAGAATTGGGTCCTCAGAAATTTGAAAAAAAAAAAAAAAAAAAAAAAAAAAGTTCATCCCTTTTCTGTTTACCTCTGCTACTGTGTTTTTACAGTGTAAAAAAAAAAAAAAAAAGGTGTGAAACACTAAACTTAAATCAGACATTAAATTAAGACATGTAATTTTTCACAACTCGTCCAAATAGATATCTTGGCTATCTTTCTAAACAGATCTTGAAAGCTCTTTTTTTTTGAGATGGAGTCTCGCTCTGTCGTCCAGGCTGGAGTGCAGTGGCGCGATCTCGGCTCACTGCAAGCTCCGCCTCCCGGGTTCACGCCATTCTCCTGCCTCAGCCTCCCGAGTAGCTGGGACTACAGGTGCCTGCCACCACGCCCGGCTAATTTTTTGTATTTTTTAGTAGAGATGGGGTTTCACCATGTTAGCCAGGATGGTCTCGATCTCCTGACCTCGTGATCCACCTGCCTCGGCCTCCCAAAGTGCTGGGATTACAGGCTTCAGCCACCGTGCCTGGCCCAATGTGCTTAAATATTTCTTACAAATGCTAAAGAACTTTTATTTCATCTGTCTTATATTTCTTTCATTGTTTTCATAAAAACAAACAGTAGATGTTCAGAGCAATAAAGAAAATGAGAATCTTAGGATATTCTGGGAAGTAATATCCTTAATGAAAAAATCAAGGCAATGGAATTAAGAACAAAATGGAAGAGTCAACTTTCTACTTTCCATGGCTGTGTCATCTGATACAGTAGCCATTAGCCACATGTGACTTTTAAAATTTAATTAAAATTAAGTAAAATTTAATATTCACTTATTTGGTTACCATAGCCATATTTCAAATTCTCAAGAGACACATGTAGCTAATGGCTACCATATTATATGACACAGGGTTGAACATTTCCATTATAGTAGAAAGTTCTATTGCATAGTATTGCTCAATTGCATTAGACAATGAAAAAGAAAAACAGAGGGATCATCACAAACTAGATTGAAGGACTATAACTAGAGGAAGGACTAGATTGCAGCTCTGACAGAGCAGCATGTGGATGCTAGCACTGTGAAATTTTGCTCCAGAACGACTACAGAAATAGGAAAGCTGAGAGGACCCACAGGCCCCCTGAAGGAAGCAGACTGCTCCTACAGGACCTGGGAGACACGCTAAATACTGCGAGGGCCCAAACTGTGGAACTGGGAAAGGGAGATTGTCTGCCCCTGAACACACCTCCACTGGGGAAACTGAAGACCTGGATAACGGGAGATTTTGACCTTACCTGGAGCTGAGTCAATTTAGAGAGCTGAGTGAAATACAAGGGTAGAGGAAGCAGTGGGAAAACCCCTGGAAGCTCACTGGGCCCCCATCAAGTCGTTTTTGCCTGGCCTCACAGGGGTCCTTCCGGAGAACGGCCAGAGGCTCTGGGAAAAGGCCACAGGGAGAAGGAAACCTCCAGCTAAAGTTTGTAACAATTTGAACTGATGGAGAAGCCTCCTGGCCACAACTTGGGGGAGGGTGTAAATCCAGTGTGCAGACTCCACAGGTGGGAGAAGGAAAGCCATACTTGCTTTTGCAGCTGGGAGGCGGGTAGACTGGGGCAAGTTCTCAGCCCTGCTCACCCACTGCCTGGAAACAAACTTGGTACTGTTGTTGGGGGTACAGTGGAAGTGGGACTGGCCCTTTGGACTGTGTGGGAGCTGGGTGAGGCCTGTGACTGCCGGCTTTCCTTCACTTCGCTGACAACCTGCATGACACAGCAGAGGTGGCCATAATCCTCCTAGGAACATAACTCCATTGACCTGGAAACCTCATCCCCCAATCCCCGCAGCAGCTGCAGCAAGAGCTGCTCAAGGAGAGTCTGAGCTCAGACACGCCTCGCCCTGCCCCCACCCAGGGGTCTTTCCCTACCTACCCTGGTAACTGAAGACAAAGGGCATATAATCTTGGGAGTTCTAGGGCCCTGCCCACTGCCTGTTCCTCCCCCTACCACCACAGTTGATGCTCTTTGGAAAGTGCCACCTCCTGGCAGGAAGCCAACCAGCACAAAAATAGTGCATTAAACCACCAAAGCTAAGAAGCCTCAAAGAGTCCATTTCACTGCCTGCCACCTCCATCAGAACAGGTGCTGGTGGTATCCATGGCTGAAAGACCCAAAGATGGTTCACATCACAGGACTGTGGGCAGACAACACCCAATACCAGCCCAGAGCCTGGTATACTTGCTGGGTGGATAGATCCAGAAGAGAGAACAATCACTACAACTCGACTCCCAGGAAGGCACATCCATAGGAAATGGGGAAGAGTACCACATCAAAAACAACCCGTGGGACAAAAGGAACTGAACAGCAACCTTGAGCCCTAACATTTCCTCTGACAGAGCCTACCGAAATGGGAAGGAACTAGGAAACCACCTCTGGTAATATGACAAAACAAGGTTAACACCAGCAAAAATCACACTAGCTCACCAGCAAGGGACCCAAACAAGAAGAAATCCTTGATTTACCTGAAAAAGAATCCA
Organism: Homo sapiens; assembly: GCF_000001405.40. Taxonomy (NCBI): domain Eukaryota; kingdom Metazoa; phylum Chordata; class Mammalia; order Primates; family Hominidae; genus Homo; species Homo sapiens. The sequence continues at coordinate 115,152,052 of NC_000005.10, forward strand.
GAAGGTTACTAAGCTAATCGAGGAGACACCAGAAAAAGGCAAAGACCGATGTAAGGCAATCCAAAAAATGATACAAGAAGTGAAGGAAGAAATGTTCAAGGAAATAGATAGCATAAATAAAAAACAATGAAAACTTCAGGAAATACTGGACACACTAATAGAAATGCAAAATGCTCTGGAAAGTCTTAGTAACAGAATTGAACAAGTAGAAGAAAGAAATTCAGAGCTCGAAGACAAAGTCTTCGAACTAACCCAATCCAACAAAGACAAAGAAGAAAGAATAAGAAAATATGAACAAAGCCTCCAAGAAGCCTGGGATTACGTTAAATGACCCACCCTAAGAATAATCAGTGTTCCTGAGGAAGAAGAGAAATCTAAAAGTTTGGAAAACATATTTGGGGGAATAATCGAGGAAAACTACCCCAGCCTTGCTAGAGACCTAGATATCGAAATACAAAAAGCACAAAGAACACCTGGGAAATTCATCGCAAAAAGATCACTGCCCAGGAACACTGTCGTCAGGTTACCAGTTAAGACAAAGGAAAGAATCTTAAGAGCTGTGACACAAAAGTACCAGGTAACCTAGGGAAAACCTATCAGATTAACAGCAGATTTCTCAGCAGAAACCCTACAGGCTAGAAGGGATTGGGGCCCTATCTTCAGCCTCCTAAAAAAAAATTATCAGCCAAGAATTTTATACGCAGCAAAACTAAGCTTCACTTGTGAAGGAAAGGTAAGAGTCTTTTTCAGACAAACAAATGCTGAGAGAAGTCACCACTACCAAGCCTCCTCTAAAAGAACTGCTAAAAGGAGCTCTAAATCTTGAAACAAATCCTGGAAACGCATCAAAACAGAACCTCTTTAAAGCATAAAACACACAGGACCTATAAAACAAAAATAAGATTTAAAAAACAACAACAACAACAAAAAACAAGGTACACAGGCAAAAAAATAGCACAGTGAATGAAATGGTACCTCATATCTCAATACCAACTGAATGTAAATGGCTTAAATGCTCCACTTAAAAAAAGACAAAGAATTGCAGAATAAGTAAGACTTCACCAACCAACTATCTGCTGCCTTCAAGAGACTCACCTAACACATAAGGATTCACAAAAACTTAAGGTAAAGGGGTGGAAAAAGACATTTCATGTGAATGGACACCAAAAGCCAGCAGGAGTAGGTATTCTTATATCAGACAAAACAAACTTTAAAGCAAACCAATTTAAAAAGACAAAGAAGGACATTAAATAATGATAAAAGGCCTTGTCCAACAGGAAAATATCACAATCCTAAACATATATATACCTAACACAGGGGCTCCCAAATTTATAAAACAATTACTAACAGACCTAAGAAATGAGATAGACAGCAACACAGTAATACTGGGAGGTATCAATACACCACTGACAGCCCTACACAGGTCATCAAGAGAGAAAGCCAACAAAGAAACAATGAATTTTTTTTTCTTTGAGATGGAGTCATGCTCTGTCACCCAGGCTGGAGTGCAGTGGCATGATCTCAGCTCACTGCAATCTCTACCTCGTGGGTTCAAGAGATTCTCCTGCCTCAGCCTCCCGAGTAGCTGGGATTACAGGTGGGTGCCACCAGGCCCAGCTAATTTTTGTACTTTTAGCAGAGACAGGGTTTCACCATGTTGTCCAGGCTGGTCTCGAACTCCTGACCTCAGGTGATCCTCCCACCTTGGCCTCCCAAAGTGCCGGGCCACCATACCCGGCCAGAAACAATGGATTTAAACTATTCCTTGGAACAAATGGACCTAACAGTTACATGCACAACATTCCATCCAACAACCACAGAATATACATTCTATTCAACAGCACATGGAACTTTCTCCAAGACAGACCATATGATAGGCCACAAAATGAGCCTCAATAAATTTAAAAATATTGAAATTATATCAAGCACTCTCTCAGACCACAGTGGAATAAAACTGGAAATCAACTCCACAAGGAAACTTCAAAACCATGCAAATACATGGAAATTAAATAACCTGCTCCTGAATGAGCACAGGGTCAAAAAAAAAATGAAATTAAGATGAAATTTAAAAATTCTTCAAGCTGCATGACAATAGTGACACAACCTATCAAAACCTCTGGAACACAGCAAAGGCAGTGCTAAGACGAAAGTTCACAGCCCTAAACGCCTACATGAAAAAGTCTGAAAGAGCACCAAGAGACAATCTAAGGATACCCCTCTAGAAACCAGAAAAGCAAGAACAAACCAAACCCAAACCTAGCAGAAGAAAGGAAATAAGCAAGATCAGAGCAGAACTAAATGAAATTGAAACAAATGAAAAAAAAAACCCACAAAAGATAAATCAAACAAAAAGCTGATTCTTCGAAGATTAATAAAATTGATACACCATTAGCAAAATTAACTAAGAAGAGAGAAAATCCAAATAAGCTCAATAAGAAATGAATCAGGAGATACTACAACTGACACCACAGAAATACAAAAGATCATTCAAGGCTGCTGTGACTACCTTTACATGCATAAACCAGAAAACCTAGAAGAGACAGATAAATTATTGGAAAGATACAACCTTCATAGCTTAAATTAGGAAGAATTAGATACTCTGAACAGACTAGTAACAAGCACCAAGATTGAAATGGTAATTTAAAAATTATCAACAAAAAAAGTCCAGGACCAGATGGATTCACAGCAGAATTCGACCAGACATTCAAAGAACAATTGGTACTAATCATATTGACACTATTCCATGAGATAGAGAAAGAGGAACCCTCCCTAACTCATTCTGTGAAGCCAGTATCACCCTAATACCAAAACCAGGAAAGGACATAACAAAAGAAAACTACAGACCAGGCTGGGCGTGGTGGCTCACGATTGTAATCCCAGCACTTTGGAAGGCTGAGGCAGGCAGATCCCCTGAGGTCAGGAGTTGGACACCAGCCTGACCAACAAGGAAGAAACCTCGTCTCTACTAAAAATACAAAAAAAAAAAAATTAGCCGGGCATGGTGGTGCATGCTTGTAATCCCAGCTACTCGGGAGGCTGAGGCAGAAGAATCGCCTGAACCTGGGAGGCGGAGGTTGTGGTGAGCCAAGATCGTGCTGTTGCACTTCAGCCTGGGCAACAAGAGCAAAACACTGTTTAAAAAAATAATTAGCCAGGTGTGGTGGCGTGAACCTGTAATCTCAGCTACTCAGGAGGCTGAGACAGGAGAATCGCTTGAACCAGGGAGGCACAGGTTGCAGTGAGCCGAGATCGCACCACTGCACTTCAGCCTGGGCAACAAAGAGCGAAACTCCGTCTCAAAAATAAAAATAAAAATAAACTACGGACCAATATCCCTGATGAACACAGAAGCTAAAATCCTTAACAAAATACTAGCTAACTAAATCCAACAACATATCAAAAAGATAATCCACCATGATCAAGTGGGTTTCATACCAGGGATGCAGGGATGGTTTAACATATGCAAGTCAATAAATGTGATACACCACATAAACAGAATTAAAAACAAAAATCACATGCTCATCTCAATAGATGCTAAAAAAGCATTTGACAAAATCTAGCATCCCTTTATGATTAAAACTCTCAGCAAAATCAGCATACAAGGAACATACCTCAATATAATAAAACCCATCTATGACAAACCCACAGCCAACATAATAGTGAATGGGGAAGAGTTGAAAGCATTTCTTCTGATAACTGGAACAAGACAAGGATGCCCACTCTTACCACCCTTCTTCAATATAGTACTGGAAGTCCTAGCCAGAGCAATCAGACATAAATGGCAACCAAATCGGTAAAAAGGAAGTCAAACTATCACTGTTTGCTGATGACATGATTTTTTACCTCGAAAACCCTAAAGCCTCCTCCAGAAAGCTCCTAAAACAGATAAAAAAATTCAGCAAAGTTTCAGGATACAATACTAATGTACACAAATCAGTAGCTCTTCTGTACACCAACAGCGACCAAGCTGAGAATCAAATCAATAACTCAACCACTTTTACAATAGCTGCAAAAAAAACCCCAAAACCAAAAAACTTAGGAATATACTCAACCAAGGAAGTGAAGGACTTCTACAAAGAAAACTACAAAACACTGCTGAAAGAAATCATAGAAGACATGAAAAAATGGAAACACATCCCATGCTCACGGATAGGTAGAATCAATATTGTGAAAATGACCATACTGCCATGAGCAATCTACAAATTCCATGCAGTCCCCATCAAAATACCACCATCATTCATCACAAATTAAAAAAAAAAAATTCTAAAATTCATATGGAACCAAAAAAGAGCCCGCATAGCCAAAGCAAGACTAATAAGCAAAAAGAACAAATCTGAAGGCATCACATTGCCTAATTTCAAACTATACTGTAAGGCCATAGTCACTGAAACAGTATGGTACTGGTATAAAAATAGGCACATAGACCAATGGAACAGAATAGAGAACCCAGAAATAACCCAAATACTTACAGCCAACTGATCTTCAGCAAAGCAAACAAAAACAGAAAAGTGGGTAAAGGACATCCTTTTCAAGAAATGGTGCTGGGATAATTGGCTAGCCACATGTAGGAGAATGAAACTGGATCGTCATCTCTCACCTTATACAAAAATCAACTCAAGATGGATTAAAGACTTAAACCTAAGACCTGAAACTATAAAAATTCTAGAAGATAACACTGAAAAAACCATTGTGGACTTTGGCTTAGGCAAGGAGTTCATGACCAAGAAGCCAAAAGCAAATGCAATAAAAACAAAGACAAATTGCTGGGACTTAATTAAACTAAAGAGCTTTTCCATGGCAAAAGGAATAGTCAGCAGAGTAAACAGACAACCCACAGAGTGGGAAAAAATCTTCAAAATCTATACATCTGACAAAGGACTAACATCCAGAATCTACAATGAACTCAAATAAATCAATAAGAAAAAACAATCCCATCAAAAAGTGGGCTAAGGACATGAATAGACAATTCTCAAAAGAAGACATACAAGTGGTCAACAAACATATTTCAAAATGCTCAGTATTACTATATGATCAAGGAGATGCAAATCAAAACCACAATGTGATACCACCTTACTCCTGCAAGAATGGCCATAATAAAAAAAAAAAAAACAGTAGATGTTGGCGTGGATGCAGTGAACAAGGAACACTTCCACTCTGCTGGTGGGAATGTAAACTAGTACAGCCACTACAGAAAAGAGTGTGGAGATTCCTTAAAGAACTAAAAGTAGAGGCCAGGCACAGTGGCTCACACCTGTAATCCCAACATTTTGGGAGGCTGGGGTGGGTGGATCACCTGAGGTCAACAGTTCGAGACCAGCCTGACTGACATGGTGAAACCCCCGTCTCTAGTAAAAATAGAAAAATTAGCCAGATGTGGTGGTGCTCACTTGTAATCCCAGCTACTTAGGGGGCTGAGGCAGGAGAATTGCTTGAACCTGGTGGGCGGAGGTTCCAGTGAGCCAAGATCACGCCATTGCACTCCAGCCTGAGCGACAACAGCGAAACTCTATCTCAAAAAAAAAAGTACTAAAAGTGGAACTACCATTTGATCCAGCAGTCCCACTAGCGGGTATCTACCCAGAGGAAAAGCAGTCATTATACAAAAAAAGATACTTGCACACATATGTTTATGGCAGCACAAGTAGCAGTTGCAAAAACGTGGAAAAAACCCAAATGCCTATGAATTGAGAAGAAACTGTGGTATATATACACGACGGAATACTACTCAGCCATAAAATGGAATGAATTAATGGCATTCACAGTGACCTCGATGAGACTGGAGACTATTATTCTTAGTGAAGTAACTCAGGAATGGAAAACCAAACATCATATGGTCTCACTCATAAGTGGGAGCTAAGCTATGAGGATGCAAAGGCATAAGAATAACACAATGGACTCTGGGGACTCAGGCAGAAAGGGTGGGAAGCGGGTGAGGGACAAAAGACTACAAATAGGGTGCAGTGGATACTGCTCGGGTTATGGGTGCACCAAAATCTCACAAATCACCACTGAAGAACTTACTCATGTAACCAAACACCATCTGTACCCCAATAAACTATGGAAATAAAAAAAATTTTAAAAATGAAAGAAAGAAAAGTAATGATGGCTTGGAAAGGTAAGGAAGTAATGTAGACCAAGAAATGCAATTTTATACATCAAACTGAATCTGTGGGGACAATAATATTTGCAAATTATATACTAGCACCTTACAGAATCTCTTCTTTTTCCCACAAATCTTTCCTTTGAAGGTAGATTAAAAAGTCAGCATAATTTTAAAATAAAGACTCTAAAAAATTTCAAATTGGTTTATAGCAAATCCCCTAAAAAAGTCAGCTTTCAGTCATTTGTTTAACCATTTAAATATCAAAGAGAAAATAAAGTATTTCAAAACAAAGAGAAGAGAGTCAGTTCATAACTAACAGGTTCCAAACCTCTGCCGGTTGCATCCTCTCCCGTATTCTGGCTGCGACTTCCCCATCGCTATCCCTGGACAGTTCATGAACTACCTCTCCCAATGGTGGACACTACTGTTGGGCTTTTGCTGTTTGGCAGTGGCCTGATATCTTATGCTGCCACCTTAATGCTTCTTTTGGTACATTCTGACTATTTGATGCCTATGAGTTATATTTACCTTTTGGGTATTATATCAGCATTCTTCACCCTGTAAAATTTATTTCTCTCAACTACCCTCTGAACCAAAAATGGGTAGTAGCTTTTTTAAAGCAAACTGCTCCTATCTTTCCTTCTAATTACTAAATTTCAACACTTAAAATTTATATTCTCAAAAACCTGTAAGAAAAAGAATTACACGTGGCTTCTAATCGTGGCTTTAAGATTTTTAAATCAAGAAATGCAGAAGAAAGAGAGAAAGACAGAAAGGGGATAAATTTCAGGTGTTAAGTATTCTCCCATGAAATAGATGGTGGTATCACCAGCATTCCATTAAAAAGCAGTCAATGTTATTTTTAAAGGTCAACTGGAGTAAAAATAAATTTTAATAAGATAGGTTGCCCCATCTTTTACATAGAATCAAATATTTCAGAAAGTCTAATAAAGGAGTGTACATTTACCCACAAGTGGGTAAGACCTCAATGCTAAAACTCTGATGCCAAGTACTTTAAAACATCAACAAAGAAAAGACTCTATATGTATAAAACGAGCAAAGATATCATTAAATAGAAAAATAATCAATACCTTTAATCAAATTTTTCAATACATAAGAAAGCATTAGCTTATTTAACCTTTAAATGTAGCAATATCAAGCTTTGTTCACTAAGTAAATGTAAAGGATGTTTTAAGATATCATATACAAAAAACAAAAGCGGTATAAATCATTTTCTTCAAAAATATCTTGTCATGTATATTGACAAAATGCAAGCACCAATAATCAGTGTTTTCTTTTAAAAACATCAGAACTTGCTTGGAAATTTAGTCCTGTTGACCTTTAAGTCGTTTCAGCCCAATTTGTTCACTCTCTACACAATTTTGAAGACTTGACCACTGATGTTTAAGAATCTTACACAAGATTATTTAATTTAAATCTAACACTATATTGCCTGCGGCCACAAAAGCAATAAAACATTTTCTACCTCTCCACCCCACAGATCTCCGTTGTGATGCTGTGAACAATGAACAGAAAGCTGGATTTAGAATTTAATTTCAAAGAGAAGATTCACAACTTGTTAACAAAAGAGAAAGCGGTAACTGTGTCCTGAAAATAATACAATTATTGAATTAACAGTAAAAATGTGTTTTTCCTGGTACACATAGTATTTATGAAGCCAGGAGCATAAAACATACATCAAGCAATCTTATTACAATCATTGTGGGTATAGCACTTAAGAGACAATACTTTGTTCTATATAGATTTGTATTTTTAAACAATCATACTTAAGGTAAATGTTGCAAATACAAAGTGAAATCAAACATCTTTTGTTTGACTTTTTACTGACCTAATAACTGTTAAAAAAAAGAAAAAAAAAAAACTAAAATGAACATATTCAGTTTAGACAACCAGAAAATACAAACTGGGGGGAAAGCTTACTGTATACTTTATGATCAAAAGTATACAGTAATATGGCTTTTATTTGTACATAATTTAATATGCTACTGTGTTATGCACACAAATCTTACTCTCCTTTCAAGGTACCCTTTAAAAAAAACTGTCAAAAATCTAATGCAAAATAATCCAAAAGAAATGTATGAGCCAAAACTACAATATACGTAAGTTTAAATTTTCCAGTAGCCATATTAAAAAAATTGAAATTAATTTTAATGTTATTTAACCCACTATATCCAAAATACTATGATTTCAAAATATAAACAATATAACAATTATTAAAGATCATTTCACAGTCTTTTTTATTCTGTGTATTTTAACTCACAGCATATCTCAATTCAGACTAGCCACATTTCAACCACTTAATAGCCACATGTGGCTAGTGGCTACCATACTGGACAATCCGGGTTTAATTAATCCCTTTATTAGACCAGTGGCAAAACTAGACTGGGTATAGTGAATAACGCCTGTAATCCCAGCACTTTGGAAGGCCAAGGCACAAAGACTGCTTGAAGCCAGGAGTCTGAAACCAGCCTAGGCAACAAAGTGAGACCTTCTTCTCCACAAAAAAAATTTTTTAATTAGCAGGGTGCGAGTGAGTAGCATGCACCTCTAGTCTCCGGTATGTAGGAGGCTGAGGCAGGAGGATCACTTGAGCCTCAGAGTTAGAGGTTACAGTGAGCTATGATCAAGCCATTGCACTCCAGCCCAGGTAACAAACAGAGTGAGACCCTGTCTCAAATAAATGTCTAAAGGATAAAAACTTAAGAAGAAAGCTGTCAGAAAAAAAGGAATATTACTCATGAATCTACCAAAAAAAGAATTATATGCAAATGCCCAATAAATAGATGGCAAGTAACATCACATTTGCACTGCAATGACTTCTACTAGTTTAAAACTGGTGAAGGACAATCCTAAAATTTGCATTAAAACCTCCAGGAATGATTTCCATACTTACAGCATTCGCACCCTTTGGGTGCTCTCTCTTTGTTAACTTGATCTGTGTGTGTTCGTGATAAAGGACTATGCTCTAGTAATTACAGCTGTTATAAAGCTTTGCACAATGCTAAGGGGTATGTGTCTTTAAAAAAAAAAAGAAAAGAAAGTGGGTCTATCTCGCTCATTGTTCTTAACCATTTAGCCATATCTGGTAACCAGCAGGTGCTCAAATATTTGTTGAATGAATGAATGAATGCCACTGGTATTTAATAAGGCATAGAACTTCAGTGCTGGAGATATGGCATGTGACAGAACAACTGGCCCAACCTACCACCCACAGCAGAAACACCCTCCACAATATTGCAGACAGTGGCCACCCACCCATTGTTTTAAACAAAGTCTTCAGATACTGATGGCCCAAATGCTGCATGGGTCACAGCCAAAGACATGTTTTGGCTGTCCTGCCCTATTGAGCTGGTGTGGTATTGTTAAATAATCTGAATTGAAAATATTTAAAAAACAGATTTCACATGGAAACCACTATCAAGTTTTTGTGAAAAACCAATAAATCTGACAATCTGGCATCTTCAACCCTGACACTGCCAAGTGGTTACTGCCCCCTTTAACAAGGCATCCGTTTCAGTCTCCACAGTCCCAAACCACACTCTACTTCTCCAATAAGGAGTCGTAAAATCAGTTGGCTGCTGTCACTTTGGGCTGATGGTTTTCTTACAGTAGTTGAGCTAAAGGGAAAATCAAATATTTATTGTCTCCATATTTACAGCGAAAAACTAAAATGAAGGAGAGTCCTATATTTATTATGCCTGGGGCTCTCTTCATTAATGCACCCGTTTGGCCCTGCAGCATCTAAATTTGACACCTGATGTAAACACATTTAGTGGCAGAAGTCTGATATACTTAGCCCATTTCATTTCTGGACAGCCTTAGTGGGGTGTGTGTGCGCGTGTGTCTTCTTTCATGCTAAGTTAAATCTGCCTTCCTATTCCATCTACTCATTGACCTGGAACCTCTGCTAGAGATATCCAGCATACTCATTCTATCCATAAGAAAACTATCATATTCTGCAGTCACCCCTTCTCATCTCCTGTAACTGTTCTTTACAGAGAAAAGTTTTCAAACTCCACCATTCTAAGTTTCCCCTCTCAGGACATAATCTAACTTCGTAGGGTTCTTCCTAAAGAAGAGGGAGAAACATCCCAGTAATGCTATTTCGGATCTAGACAGTGAAATGTATGGTGTAATGGAGCTCATATTCCAAAAGACAAATGCCATTATTACTGAATATAAGCCATTGTGGCACTCTCTGTACAAATCCTGTGGCAGAGGTTTCTCATTCAACATCCATTCAACAAATATTTATTAAGCATCTACAGAGTACCATGTCAGGTAAATTCCTGAAAACAGAAAATCATTCATCTTGTTCTTCATATGAATCACATAAAAAACTAGCCAAATCTTAACATTAAAAGCCTACAGAATTTTGTGAAATATGTATATAAGTGCAATCTAATTATAAGTAGAAATATCTAGTACATAACTAAAATTTTATTTGTTTTTGCTAAATATTAACATACAAAAAGTTTTCTTTGGTCAATCAAGCATGGGTTCCCAATTAGCCAATGAAGATCTACCAGCAGAATATCAAGTTTTATCTAGTAGGACTGATTTCAAGGGATGCTGTCTTTCCCTCCTCAGTGCGCCAGATTGGCAGCAAGGGAGGAAACATAAAGGTGATGACTAGCCATTAGGTAGTCCCACTCCTTAACTCTGCAGTATTTATTTTCCTATTACCATATATGAATGTTTTCCTAGTTAGTATTTCAGTAGTCCATTATTCTATGTATCAAGTACATTGCACAGTCAGAATAATTCCTAAAGACAAACATAGCTTTTTTTTTTTTTTTGAGACAGAGTTTCACTCTTGTTGCCCAGGCTGGAGTGCAATGGCGCGATCTCGGCTCACTGCAACCTCCGCCTCCCAGGTTCAAGCAATTCTCCTGACTCAGACTCCCAGGTAGCTGGGGTTACAGGCACGCGTCACCACACCTAGCTCATTTTGTATTTTTAGTAGAGATGGAGTTTCTCCATGTTGGTCAGGCTGGTCTTGAACTCATGACCTCAGGTGATCCACCCGACATGGCCTCCCAAAGTGCTGGGATTACAGGTGTGAGCCACTGTGCCCAGACTTACAAACACAGTTAATAAGGAGTTTAACACAAAGTTCATGTTCAATATCCAATATCTACTTCAAGTATGTATCAAAAGACGAGAGTTCATTTTGACATTTTAACAGTGGGGGAGGCCCCTTTATAACTACAGTTTTAATTTATTCACCTGGAAAAATTAACTCTCAAGATGACAAAAATAATTTTCCTTCCAGTTACCACTGAATATATATCTATAAGCTTACCCCCACTACCATCCCAGCCCACAGTTCTAACACATACCTGGTCTGTTAATTCGGTCAATTTTATCCATACTAGGGGAGGGGAGCCGAAGTCGAGGACTGCTTTGATTGGAGTTGTCTGATCCCACATCGTTGAATGAATCATCGAGAGTCAGCAGGAGTTCTTTTACACATTTATGACAGATACTATGTTGGCAAGGGAGAATCAATGGGTGGGTAAACAGCTCCTTGCATGCTGGGCAAATGAGCTCCCTTTCGATATTCTTAATGGTAACCTTGAGAGTAAAATAGTCCAAGTTAAAGGCTCTTAGTGGGTAAATATATTAACATTCTTATACCTCCTGAATAAGTACATGTGTTTATTTTTCCAAAAAGAATTAAGAAAATGATTTTCTAAATTTTAAATTTCTTTTCCCCAATAAAATTTGATACCATCAACTGCCCTCAACACCCATAACCCAGAACTGAAGGAACATGAGATAGTAAAAGGCAAAAATGAAGAGAAAAATTATGTAAAATATTAGGGGACCATGATATTTTATCAAAAATTATAAAGCCATCATTCGAATCTCCATCACCAGTGCACTGATTTAGGACTTCGGTGAAATCCTAAAAGTAGATCATGTCAATAAAAATTTTGAATACAGCACTAAGAGTAAGACTATATTCTTATTTAGTGAATTAACACTGTGACTGACAAATAACAGGAGCTATTAAACACTAGCTGAGTCAGTATGTTCATGGAAACCTAGTTGGTATCTATTTACAAGCTGAATTATCAGCAATTTTCTACATTAAATGCGACCATTCTTCATTAATGCCTGAGGTTCTCATGCTGTATATCAAAGCAATTATCTTAAAAGCACTTTATGAGTATGTATTAGTCCATTTTCACACTGCTATAAAGAAAATTACCTGAGGCTGGGTAATTTATAAAGAAAAGAGATTTAAGTGACTCACAGTTCCACATGGCTAGGGAGTCCTCAAGAAACTTACAATCATGGCAGAAGGGGAAGCAGATCTGTGTTACGTGGTGGCAGGTGAGAGAGAGCAAGAGCAGGGATACTGCCTTACAAAACCATCAGATCTTATGAGAATTCGCTATCACAAGAACAGCATGGGGAAAATCTACCCCTGTGATTCAATGGCCTCCCACCAGGTCTCTCCCTCAACACCTTGGGATTACAATTCAAGATAAGATTTGAACCTAACCATATCATTGTGGCCCTGGCCCCTCCCAAATCTCATGTCCTCACATTTCAAAACCAATCATGCTTCCAAACAGTCCCCCAAAGTCTTAACTCATTTCAGCATTAGCTCAAAAGTCCAAGTCCAAAGTCTCATCTGAGACAAAGCAAGTCCCTTCTGCCTAGGGGCCTGGAGAATCAAAAGCAAGTTAGTTACTTCCAGGATACAATGGGTGTACAGGCATTGGACAAATGCTCCCATTCCAAATGGGAAAAATTGGCCAAAACAAAGGGGCTACAGGTCCCATGAAAGTCTGAAACCCAAAAGGACAGTTATTAAGTCATAAAGCTCACAAGTGAGATCTCCTTTGACTCAATGTCTCTCATTCAGGGTACGCTGATCCAAAGGGTGGACTGCCATGGCCTTGGGCAGTTCCACCCCTGTGGCTTTGCAGGGTACAGCCCACACACCACCTGCTTTCATGGCTGGCATTGAGTATCTGCAGGTTTCCCAGGCGCATGATGAAAGCTGTTGGTGGATCTACCATTCTGGGGTCTGGAGGACCATGGTCCTCTTCTCAGAGCTCCCCTAGGGAGTGCCCCAGTGGGGACTCTGTGTGGCGGCTTATATCTCACATTTCCCCTTTGCACTGCCCTAGCAGAGGTTCTCCATGAGAGCTTCGCCCCTGCAGCAGACTTCTGCCTGGATATCCAGGTGTTTCTGTACATCCTCTGAAATCTAGGCAGAGGTTTCCAAACCTCAACTCTTGACTTTTGTGCACTGGTAGGCCCAACACCATGTGTAAGCCACCAAGGCTTGCACCCTCTGAGGCAATGGTCTGAACTGTACCTTGGCCCCTTTTAGCCACAACTGGTACTGGAACAGCTGGGACACAGGGCACCAAGTCCCAGTGATGGCAGCTGCAGCCCATCTGGAGCAGCTGCTGCAAAGATGCTGGCTGCAGTTGGGAAGGCACAGCCGGACCTGCTTGCTCTGCAGAGCCAGCGGGACCCAGGAACAGGCAGGAGCCCTTCTCCCTTCCGAGTTGGTGCGGAGGGAGCCCCATGCTCCTGGGTGCAATTGCAGCCACCCAGCTGTGGACTAGGGCATTCCTATGCTCTCGGGGGCCCAGGATGCCTCTCTTCCCCCACATGCTCAGAAGTGCCTGCTCCTACTGCTTGGCCTCTCCCCATTCCCAGTGCCCACTCTGACTTTGGAGAAAAGCTGTGGCCAAGCCCGGGCACTGACATGACCTGGCCAGGTGTGTGTGTGCTTGAGGAGATGCTGACACACCAGCCCCCTGCCACCTCAGCTCCCTCTGGACTTTGGGCGCTGATGAACGTGGGAGGGAGGCCAAGGGCAGGGCTGAGGGTGACTCAACGTGGTACTGCAGGCGTCCCTCAGCTAAAACAGTCTGGGCACCATGAACAGCAGTGGGAGGGAGACAGGCTCCTGGGAGGAAAGGGACAGGTCCCTGCTGAAACCCCACCTTCAAGCCAGGGATAGCCTGAAGCCTAGGGTCCAGGCTGCCAGTTCCACTGACTGGAGTGAAAACTTACAGTGAATTTTCCAGGCCCACCCATGGCCACCCATGGGCCAATCAGCACACACTTCCTCCCCTCTGAAGCCCATAAAAACCGCAAACTCAGCCAGACTCTGGCAGATGATAGGACGACCTGCCTGCAGGTAAGAGCTACCCACTTGGGTCTCCTCTCCACTGAGGACTGCACACTCGACAAAATGACCTGCCTGCAGAGAGGAGGTACCCACTCCGGGTCTCTTCTCTGCTGAGAGCTGCAGTTGTCGGGAGGAACTGCCTGCAGAAAGCAGCTACCCATGACAGGTCTCCTGAGAGCTACTCTTTTGCTCAATAAAGCACCTTGTTCACCCTCCAGTTGTCCATGTAGCTCATTCTTCCTGGACACAGTACAGGAACTCTGGACCTGCCAAATGGCAGGACCAAACAAGCTGTAACACAAACTGTGTCAAATACACCCTGCTGCTCGCCATGTTGTGGGTGACGATGAGGAGACAAGAGAGGAGAGAAGAGCTGCAGCCCTTCAGGGAGCCTGGACTTAGGAGCTCCCCAAGCCAGGGCTGTGACATCCTCTTTGTGGCTCTGCAGTTGCCGGCATCTCCAAGTTTCTGGGTGCCACCATGTTCCACAGTGCTTGTAGTGGGAGCCACTTGTGGTACACCTGTTCCAGCCACAGCAAGGAGCCGGCGCCCATACTGGCACCTGGACCTGCCTGCCCCGCCACAGCCACCATGCCTGGCTGTGCACACTGTACCCCGCGCTCGCTCACTCATGCACCCCTTGCTGCTCTGCACCTGGCTTGCCGTTGGCAGCCGTGGGATCTGGGCCAGTAGTGAAAACCAAGCACAGCCTGCTGGGTCAAGTGGGCAGAACAAGCCCAGTGGGCCTGAGCAAAACTTGGGCAAAGGCAACACTTGCCACAGAGGTTTCTGGCTGGTGAAGCGACACCCTAAGGATCCTGTGATACCGAGGCTGCACACAGCAGCAGGGCCCTGGGCCCACTCCACTAAAACATTTTTCTCTCCTAGGCCTCCAGGCCTGTGATGGGGCTCTCTTCATTAATGCACCTGTTTGGCCCTGCCAAACGGAGGGACTGCTGCCAAGATCTCTGACATGTCCTGGAGACATTTTACCCATAGTCTTGGCAATTAACATTTGAGTCTTTTTTACTTAAGCAAATTTCTGCAGCTAGCTTGAATCCCTCCCCAGAAAATAGGTTTTTCCTTTCTACTCCATGGTAAGGCTGCAAATTTTCCAAACTTTTACGCTCCGCTTCATCTCTCTCAAGTTCAAAGCTTCACAAATCTCTAGGACAGGGGCAAAACACTGCCAGTCTCTTTGCTAAAGCATAGCAAGAGTCACCTTCACTCCAGTTTCCGACAAGTTCCTCATCTCCATCTGAGACCACCTTGGCCTGCACTTCTTTGTCCATACCACTAGCAGAATTTTGGTCAAAACCATTCAACAAGTCTCTAGGAAGTTCCAAACTTTCCCACATCTTCCTGTCTTCTTCTGAGCCCTCCAAACTGTTCCAATCTCTGCCTGTTATTCAGTTCCAAAGTCACTTCCACATTGTTGGGTATCTTTACAGCAGTGCCCACTACCTTGGTACCAATTCTCTGTGTTAGTCCCTTTTCACAGTGTTATAAAGAAATACCCAAGAGTGGCTAATTTATAAAGAAAAGAGATTTAATTGACTCACAGTTCTGCATGGCTGGAGAGGCCTCAGGAAACTTACAAATATGGCAGGAAGGGAAGCAAGCACGTTTTACATGGCAGCAGGCGAGAGGGAGTAAGAACAGAGAATACTGCCTTATAAAACCATCAGATATTGGGAGAATTCACTATCACGAAAACAGCATGGGGGAAACCACTCCCACGATCCAATCACCTCCCACCAGGTCTCTCCCTCAACACCTGGGGATTACAATTCAAGATGAGATTTGGGTGTGGACACAAAGCCTAACCATAACAGAATATTAAAAGAATGTAGGGGACCCTTTAAAAAGGTGTATAAGCACCACTACAACTGCTCTCAATACTACAGCCTTTCATTATTTTAAGTGAGAAGCATTTTAGACTCATCACAACTAAAAAAGTTTGATGACCTCATACCAGTTTCCCCATCATTTCTCTACGTAGTTTTTTCCATGTATCCCAGACTTCATATCTATGAATCCTATAGTCAGCATCCCTGCAATTTTAAAGACAGCCCAACTTCAAAGTACTTATAACCTTGTACAATCATTTCAGCTACTAGAAATACACAGAAAATTAAAATTGACTTAACTAAATGTAATGAAATTTTAAAATGTATGCTAACCTATTCTCCCTAAAGTGACACCAAGTGCTTCAATAATCTCTGACAATTTAACTGCATTAGAGCCAACTGGTTTTATCATTGTCAGTGGGTGTTTCGATGCAGTCTCTTGCTGCATCACTCAAATATGTGATGAAGAGCCATATCACCTCCCAACTGTTCACAGATTTGGAAATAAGATAACTAAACCTCACAATTCACATCAAAGAATACAGAATATTCACATCCTATCTCATTTCACAAAGGGTTTGGCACCTAATTCAAAAGAAAATCTTGTCCGGGATATCCAAAATAGGTTCTTACATTCCATTTTATGTATAAATATGGTCAGTTCAGGTTTACTTGTCACTGGGGGAGGATCTAAAATCATTTCCATTTTCTTGTACATAAAGCAGTGTCTTGAATCTGACTTTTTAATCACAATGGACATAAAGTATTTCTTACCCAAGAGAAAATTTAGTTCATCTGTCATTGAGGGAGAAACAAACTGATTAAGTGTGATGTGGCGGCTCCCTCAATTAAGCAGTTCCTCGAGAAACTTCGGAAGAATTGCACATTCGACACCTTTAAACAAAAACACTTGTAGGCTGACAGCTGCCGGGGCCCCGGCCCGCCCCCCGCGGGCAGGCGAAGCCGGGGAGGAGCCTCTGGCCCAGGCGGCGGCAGCCGGCCGGGCCCGCGGGGGTCAAGACGCCTAGACAAAGGGCGGCCCCGCAAGCGCGAGGGACGCGCCCCAGCTTTCTGCCCGCACCCGACTCCCAAACGCTAATTAATTCTACAGCCTGAGCTCCATTAGAGAGACCCTCCATGATTCCCCCGAGGTGCTCAGGTGGGCAACCATCGGATTTGCGCTCTTCTCCGGCCCAGGGGACCCCACGTCCGGCTCTCGGGGATAGAAAGGGGACGCCCCGGATTGCGGAACCTAGCCCCGGGCGGGAGAAGGCGAAGAGGAAGCGGGATCCCCACACGCCTGCCTTTGCTCTCCCGGGAGGAGGCTCCCTCCGGGCTCCCGGCGGAGGAAAGAGAAAGAGCCGCGGTCGGCACACCGCCCTCGAGGTGGGGGCGGCGGTCCCCTCCGCACTCACCGGCGAATCTGAGCCATCGCCCTCCATGGCTGCCTTCTGCCAGGTGTCATCAGCGGCACGTTCCACTCACACCGGCTACCGAGCGCAGGGTCTGGTGGGCGGGTCCCTGCGGCGGCCGTGGAGCCTCGGTCCGAAGCTGGAAGATGAGCTGGTCAGCTGTACGTGGCCAGCGGACCGACGCGGGGAGAAGTAAGCCGGGGCAGGCAAAAGCACAGGCGCGGGAGAAGCGAGCTTTGCTCCCAGCGACTACCCCGGGAATCCCGCCCAGCTGCCGGCTGCAGCAGCGGCTCCTGCGGACTGCGGCTGGGAACGGCGCCGCGCAGAGACCTGGGCGGGGCACCGCGGGGCGTGGACAGGGCGTGGCCTGGTCGTTGCCCAGGCAACAGCGCCAGTCGCACAAAAGAGGCGGGGCCGCCTGGGGCTGGTAGGCCGGGTGTCTGAGTGGTAGGCTGAGCGGGACTCGGCTGGGCGTGGGTGTGGCACGCGGTTGGGACTCGGCGCCCTCCGCCGCCACCTTCCCCCTACGCATCAGCCCCTCCCTCCCACCCGGGTAGTCGCCCGTCGCCCTATGCCAGGCTGGGGGGCTCTGAGGAACGGAAGTGAGGGCAGCGGGGAGCGGTGGGCGGGTGCCGAGGGCGGCGCCGGGGCGGGGAGGCTCCGCTGCAGCAGAGCAGCCGGCTGCAGCCCTGGCCCCTGGCCCCTGGCCCTGCGCTGCCATTCCGCCCTTCAGTTTGCTCTCACTGCGCTTTCTTCACTCGCGGTTCGAAGCCCCGCTTCCAGGCTCGGCACAGGACGGTGCGGGCGAGGGCGAGCCTAAGCCACCTTCCCTGAATGGCCGCGGCGAGCACGGCAGAGCTGCGCGAGGCGACCAGAGTGAGACCCCGCCCGCCCTCTCCGCGGTCCCTAGCCAGGCGCGGCCTGGGGTTCCCTGGCCCCGCCCGGCTTGTCCCAGTTCTCTTCTGGCTTCACTTGCTGGGTGAACTTAATAGTCCCTGACTGGGCACCGAGCAGTCATATCCCGCTTTCTGCTTCTATACCCCCAAGTCGCGATGTCACCGCACGTTCTTGCCCAGTAGCGCGGGGACCGCCTGCAGGGTGGAGATTCCTCTCCCGGATGCTGGCCAGGGACTGAAGTTAAAAGGCCGCGGCAAGGGAGAGACCCCCCGCCACCCGGGCCTACGCTTTCCTTCCTGAGGGCCAGGACAGAGGGTCCTGAGCGGCTCCGGCACCCCCGCACCCCCGCGGGGAGTGCTGCTGAACGTTAAGGCGCGCGCCAGCTCAAGGACTGGCGGCGCACATTTCACCTGCCACGGCCCAAGTGTGTTTCTGGTGTTGTTTTCAGGACACACGGAGAACAAATTAATTTAGGATTATTAGATCACGCACTGCCTTTCTGGCTAGCTAAACAATTCATTCCTATGTATTAGGCTTTAAGAACAGATGCCCTAAATTGCTGGGTAAGTAGGGACTACAGAGCTGTAGCGAGACATCTCGTTTAGGTTTTAAAATGCTTCCCACTTTTATTTCCTGTTTGGGAGAAGTCTGTCGCTGTGGCAAGTTCCGTCGTCTTCCCACAGCCCTGTCTGCAGCGGTAGCCTCGTCTCCAATCCGGCATCTAAATAAGGAGTGTAGAATTAAAAACACTGAGGGACTATAGCAATTTTCTCTAATGGAATACCCTCCATTTACAGATGAGGTGAACAGAGGACGAAAGCTTTGCCAGGTAATAATGCCTGGGCTGTTCTGATCCGGATTAATGCCCGTTGCGTGGCCGCAGGTGCTAGACTTGGGAAGGCTTCCTTCCCACAGGTTCTGAAAAGTGCTAATCAGGAGGAGACTAACAAATGCCTGCGTGAATTAGGTGCCTATATATATATACATATATTTAAAGGCTCAACCATTAGAAAGCATTATAAGTCTTTCTCATACTGGCCTTTGAGCTAAATAATTCCCCTTGGGCTGTAATTTCACATCCGCACACCTGCTTTGATCCAAAACTTATTAGTTGACACAGTAAAAGTGATTAGAAGGCTCCATTAACAGGAATTAAAGATAAAATCTGTATAGACAATATTTTGGTGAAAATACATTGCTATGGCCTTCCATTTTGCAAATCAGACTTCACTGAGCTATCATTTTCTACCTGATCCACAAAATTCAAACATGATGTTAATATACTTGGCAAGTGTTAATACACTTGGCAAAACTGTGTCTCCAAAAAAATAAAAATACTTATGCAGTGGGCACAACCTTACCATTATCACCCCAGCACAGGTTTTAGTTGTGTGAGCAACTATCTATTCATCCTTCTGAAACAGATCATTTGGTGGTATTTTTGTTTTGGTCCCATGAGATGTTTAAGACCTTATATTAGTCTAGATTTGAGGACTTTCTAAGCCTAATTCTTTCAGAGTATAAGTGTCTTCTTGTTTTAATTTTGTGTTTGTAAAAATTTTTGAATATTTTTGTGCCTCAAATATGTTCAAAGTTTAATAATTCACCAAGTAATGGTATCATTGCCTATTTCTCTATCAAAAATACAAGATTTACAAAGCCTCTCTTATTTTGCTCAAACCTTTTTGTGATATCGTATGTTGGTACAGCTTATCTCAAGGGACATTTTACAAATCCTATCAAAAATTTTAAATATTTTTACCTTTTGACTAAGCAATTCCACATCTAAGAATGTTCCTACTGTAATACTTGCATGTGTGCACAAAAACATGTACAAAGAGCTTATTGAGACCTTATTTATAACTAAACATCATGCATAATATACATTCATACCATGGAATACTATGCAGCAGTTAAAATCAATGTACTGATGAGAAAGGATTTCTAAAATATAATGTGTGCAGTGGCCCACACCTGTAATCCCAGCGCTTTGGGAGGCCGAGGCAGGTGGATCACCTGAGGTCGGGAATTCGAGACCAGCCTGGCCAACATGGTGAAACCCCCCCTTTACTAAAAATACAAAAATTAGCCTGGCGTGGTGGCACACGCCTGTAATCCCAGCTACTCAGGAGGCTGAGGCAGGAGAATCACTTGAAACCGGGAGGCAGAGGTTGCAGTGAGCCAAGATCGTGCCACTGCACTCCAGCCTTGGCGACAGAGCGAGACTCTGTCTCAAAAAAAAAAAAAAGTACAAAACCATAAGGATTCTGAATGCTGCCACTCTGGCCAAAAAACTAGGTATATCTGATTACAGGCAAACAAAAATAAGCATCTGGAATAGAGCACAAAATATGATAACCATTGTGGAGAAGTAAGGGATGGAGTTAGGTATACAAGATTTAACTCTTCACTCACATTGTATTATCTTTCCATCTTATATGTACATGTTATAGTTCTAAAACTTTTTAAGGTTAAAAATCCTTTCTATCCATAAACTTTTAAAAACAAAAGGTGAGGGGAAGAAGACAAATACGAAAACTGCCATTTTAAACCACTGCTTTCCCAGTTCCCTGATCATTTCTGTCTCCCTGGGCTGCCGTGCTTTGTGTCAAGTCATCAACTTCTCTGTTTCAGCATCGAAATATCCCAGCCTCCCAGGATACCAAGACCCTTCCCAGTTCCTCAAGTTAAAATCCTGGTGGGTTTTGTTTGCTTGCTTTTTATCTTCCTTTCTTCTTCCCTGTCTATCTCTGATCAGCCTTAAATCATAGTTTGTTACCAGATTCTGTTCTTTCTCATCCTCACAGCTGATTCCTGTGCCCACTCTAAGCCCCCTCTCCGCATGCCTAGATTACAACAGTAGCCTATAAGTTGAGTATTTACAGATGATTTTCCATATGTGTAGCCCTGTCCTCATGCCTCTATTTGCACAAGGAGCAGAATAAGCTACAGTCCTGGACCACAGGCAGCTTGGTATTGGAACATAAGGGGGTGGGGGGTGTGTGGACATGTGTATTTGAATGTGTGTGTGTGTGTGTGTGTGCGCGCACGCATGTGTTGAAGAGCAGGAGTTAGAGGGTGGTAAACCTGTGGTAACAAAATAAGTCTGGTAAAGTATGGAAGGCCTCTATGCTTTTGTAGATGTTGAGCAGCTTTTGAAGGCTTTTTAGCAGGAATGGCATGAAATATCTGAACTTTAAAAAAATCATTATTCCCCTATTTTACATTGTATATGCTGTCCCTTGGTGCCTATTCCTCCGCAGTTTGGAGTATCCTAGCACCTCCTTTTTCAATAGTTTATTTTAAAATCTGGGTTAAAATGCAAAACAAGAAAACCTATCCTATTCTTATCCCCCTAAGTCCACAGACCTTCAATACTCTTGCCTTCATTGTGATATCTACTTTTCTACTTCTGGTATTACTTAATTGCTCTTCTATCACAGGGGCATGAGCTCTCTCACATCCATCTACTTCATGAAGTCCAAAAGGTCAAGATTCCCCTCTCCAAACACACACAATTCAGGCTTTGATAAAACAGAGCCTCAATCAATGTTCATTGCTTGATATTTAAAATATAAACCCCTTACCCTATAAATCATATACTACTCCATAAGCTGACTTGGTCTTTTTCCATATTGATTCCTAATACCCAACAAGAGATTAAATTCATGGCTGGGTCAAGTCCTAATGACCATGGTGCATATTAATTGGTTTGCTCTGAGATCAGACAGGCAGGGTACCACCATTCTATTGGTATATACTAAACAAGAAATAGAAACAAGGTAATATGGCCACATATTCCCTAAACTCTGCCCCCTTTTGGGAACCCCTAATAATTAAGCAGCCATAGGTATAAAATCAAGAGAGCACCTGGACTTACAGAAAATAAAAAGTACAGAAATAAAGTAAATTACAGGGTTTTCCAGTAGATTGGCACACGGACCACCTATACTGCTGGGTATCAGGAGGTTACCAGTAAAGGGATAATGAATGGTATTGTCTATCAATTATTGACTCAAGCTACTGACAGGCCAAGCTTACCAGTCATAAAGTGTTTCTATGGGAACAAAGTCAGGGGAGAGGAGTCCAGAGAGCCAGCAAGTTCAGATTTCCACTACCTGGCCAAATCCTCCTCATCTTTCAAGTTGCACTTCTGGAGCCTCCTTTATTAGTTTTGATTTCATTGATTATCTCCCTCTATTCTGAATTCTTTTAGCACTCAGTTTAACACAAATACCTAGTCTTTGTACACTGATGTTTGATGTTTTGTCTTCTCGACCATTTAAGCTTTTATTTAAGACAAAATCTAGTAAGCATTTATCTACTAAACAGTAGCACCAGAGCAACAATTTGCTATTAGGAAGATGAGAGGAACCCAGTGCTGCTCTCACGGACATTTTTCCATTAATGATGAGTGTATTAGCTGCATAACTAGTGGGCAAAGAAGTTTTCTGGCCAACTTGAGGTAAACAAAACTGGTAATATTTTGAGGCAATCTAGCAGGTCCCTCTCTGTTGACCACATCTTATTATTCTTCCCTGTAGGGTTACTAGATTTAGTAAATAAGAACACAATACACCCAGTTAAATTGGAATTTCAGATACATGATAATTTTTTAGTATATGTTCCAAATATCACATTGCACATATTCTAAAAAAAAAAAAAGTATTTATCTCAAATTCAAATTCAAGTCTACATCCTGTATTTTATCTGTCAGCCCTACCTCCACTTCTTAATGATCACAATGTGGATATAAGGTGTCTCAAGGCCCAACCCTGTTGTCATAAAAGCTAGAAGTAATAGCTTTCATTTATTGAGGGCCTATGATGTGTCGATAACAGTATTAGGAAACCTGCATAAAAGATTCATTTAACCCTTGCAGTAACCCTGTGAAATAGGTATAATTCTTTTCAGAGAAGACATGTAACAACTAAAATTCCTCTCCACCTCCGCCCATAGATTAAGTAATATGCTTAATCTATGGGCTATATACTACATGGCCATATACTAAAAAGCCAGGATTCAAACCTGGGTCTCAGTCCAGCATCCTTATTGCACTGCCCACAGGTGAGTATACAACACAGAATTTACAATTTCACTAAAAATCTGATTTAAACATCCTTTTACAAAGTAGTTTAGGAGACACCTTTTTTTTTCAAATTATCTTTAGCGCAATATAGTAAAAAAAAATAAGAGGAAAATTATATTTATGAAAGTAGCTCTTTTCAAATGATATTACAAAAATCTAAATCTTCTGCCTGCCTTCCCTACTCCCCACAGCACATACATTTCACCCAATTTCAATACATATATTTAAAAAACCTTTAAAAAATACTTTGTAGGCCGGATGCGGTGGCTCACCCCTGTAATCCCAGCACTTTGGGAGGCTAAGGCAGGTAGATCACTTGAGGTCAGGAGTTCGAGACCAGCCTGGCCAACATGGCGAAACCCTGTCTCTACTAATAATACAAAAAATTAGCCGGGCATGGTGGCGTGTGCCTGTAGTCCCAGCTACTAGGGAGGCTGAGGTAGGAGAATCGCTTGAACCCAGAAGTGAAGGTTGCAGTGAGCCTGAGATTGCACCACTGCACGCCAGCCTGGGCAACAGAGTAAAACTGTGTCTCAAAAAAAAATAAAAATAAAAATAAAAATACTTATGCAGTGGGCACAACCTTACCATTATCACCCCAGTTTAGATTTTAGTTGTGTGAGCAACTATCTATTCGTCCTTCTGAAAGAGATCATTTGGTGGTATTTTTGTTTTGGTCCCAGGAGATGTTTAAGACCTTTTATTAGTCTAGATTTGAGGACTTTCCAAGACTAATTCTTTCAGAGTGTAAGTGTCTTCTTTTTTTAAGGTAAAGTTTGTGTTTGTAAAAATTCTTGAATTTTTTGTGCCTCAAAGATGTTCAAAGTTAAAATAATTCACCAAGTAATGGTATCATTGCCTATTTCAGTATCAAAATTAAATATAAGATTTACAAAGCCTCTCTTATTTTGCTGAAACCATTATGCTCTTAGATGTGCCTGAACAGTAAATATTAAATTATGGGAACCGAATGTACCTTCTGGCTATTTACACATAAATGTAAATATGCTAAATACACAAAATACAAAGAGATATACTAAAATTTGAATTCTATATTCCTTGTCATCAAATCTTCATTATATGATTCCAGAAGCGGTGATAAAAAAATTAGTGAGGCAAATCTTACAAGAGACCAAAACAGTTGGAAAATACTGCTTTGAGTAACCTTAGATATTGACCACAGATTTGGAAACCTCTCTTTTAATCCAAAGAGATTAGCTGCAAAAGAAGCGAAAAGACAGCTTTCAGAAATGGTAAAAGTTTCACTGCTAGTGAAATGTAAGGAAATACATTTTCATTTTTAAGCCTCTTGAGAATGATCGTAAGTATTAACTACACTTATGCAGTATTGTTTGATGAGCAGAAAGGTCACAATGGCAGATATCACTGTGTACTTTAAATATTAAAGTAGCCATCACAATAGAGTAAATAAGCTGATCCAGTTTGTCCTGTAGGTTTTAGGTTACCCTAAGAAAAAAGGCTTACTTCCCACATTTCAGAGAACATACGGTATGCTAATTTAATTTGAAATAGACACACAAACTGCTGCCACTGGGGAAGGAATGAGATTGGAGGTGGGCATGAACTTAGACTTTTTACTCTGTGAACCTTTCTGTGAAGTTTGAATACTTTACAACAAGCATATATTCCAGGTATTAAGTTTGTAAAAATGTAAAGCTATGTATTTTTAATTATGTACAGAGCTTGAGAAGTCCAGTACAAGGATGAAACAAATCTGGGGGAAAAGTGAGAGAAATTAAGAGGATGGTTAACTCAGTGGTCTCAACTTTGAGGGATGGTGGGGCGGAGGGCAGGCCAACTACAGGCCTCTACTCTCTTAACTCTCATAATTAGACCAGTTTCCCATTATTCTTTACATTACAAACCCGAACTACAAAGTGGAACCGAACCCCACAGAGGAAAATAAAGCAAGTCAGTCTCAAAGGTCTGCTATTCCATGGTTAATATTCAGTGTTCAAATCCTGTATAATCACACACAAAACAGGGGTCTTAAATGGGCTAGTGCTGGGGCTGCGGGGCGGGGCAGGATTTGAGCCTGAGGAGAGTGGTAGGAAATAAGCTTACGTTGAAATGGTTAGGAGCCTACTCCAGACCAACTCTCCCCCTCCAACCCCCACAAAACAGAGAGAGGAATTGTCCTAAGTTCTTCTTGGGAGAGACTGCTTTCCAACCTCAGAGATTTCAAAGGGACAGCGGGCCTCTCCACCTTTAGAAGTCAACCGGGAATGCTCATGGGTTTGCTGCAGGCCCATTGCTGAAGCCTAGTGAAGAGAGAGACAGAGAGAGAGAGAGCAGAGAAATCCAGTAAATGAAGCCAGAAAGTTAGTTTGTGTTTTTTCATTATAGTGAGCATACTGTGATGAACCCATTGGTATTCTGAGAGGGTTTTGTTTTTGTTTACCTGACTTGATTATAAGGAGTTTTAATGGTTCTGCCCTACTTCCCCATTTCGTGTTCATAGGACATCCATCAGTCGGCTTCATGGTCACCTGGGCTGTTCTTCACATGCAAATCCCTGGGTCCTACCCCGAAATTATTCTCTCAGAATTTCAGGATTTGTCTGCTATTGAAGGAAAGCATAGCCAACTAATACAATTCTGGCTTACTTTGAAGAATATCTGAGCGCCATAGGACAAAATTCACCTATCGATCATCCTATTCTCCATCCTATCAAGAGTAGTCCATTTATTTTGTTCAACCAAAGGCATTCTTTTTCCTCCCTGCCCCCTAGCCCCTCAACGTTCCCAAATAGATGCCCCTGTTAGGCATTCCCCTAGACCTGGGCAGTCGGTGTCCTGCCTGCACCTCTCGCTCTTTAGAGGCCGTGGTTCTGGCCCTCCTCTGGTTGCCTGCCTCTTTGCTCAGAGCCAGCCCTTTCTCTTATCAGGACTTCTCTTCCCAGGGTCCATTCTTCAGAGGGAAGGGTGGGCCGCAATATGCACCCTAGGCCCGAAGGGTGGTCAAGGGGCTGCTGCTGGGGCGACAAAGAGCTCGGATATACTGGACAGTGTGTGCTGAAGGCCCCTTGAGGTGCAGGATGGAGTCTGGGCTTGGAAGAAAAGTGGAAGGAGAGTTCTCCAATTGTACTTCTGGCCCGGGGTTGTAAATGGTAGGGGAGGCCCAAGACACAGCTTCACTTTCGAAATGTTAATGAATATTCTGTTTCTGATGAATGTATTCAGTGCCTGTAGAACAAGAGAATTCAGAGAGGCGTAGGGTTCATTTGGGACTTTTTAGGCTAAGAGTGCATTAAACCAGCTCCCCAGCCCTGGGGCCATAGGACTGTCGGGCATGAATCTAAAACTACTCCATATGCTATATCTGCGGCGTTGGAGTTAGTGGGGTGTGGGACTGCAGGGTTTCAGGTGCTCACATCAGGGCTACAGAATCATCCTCCTTTCTGTTAACCGCGCACAGGGAGTCGAGTGCTCCTTTGTGCCATCACCTCTTCTCGAAGCTCCAGGCGCAGAGGGCAAACGCTGACGCCCTTTCCCGCCTTCTCTCCGTCTGCGAGTTCCGGAGGGCAGTGCACTGTGCAGCCTCCGTACTTCCCGACACGTTCCGCCTGCAAACCACTTAGGAGCTTCTGCCGGCAATTTCTCGGATGCAGCGCGGAGCCCAGCCTCCCGCACTGACTCAGGCCCGGCACCACCCCGCCTGCTGAGGGCGTCGTCGCGGGCGCCACCGACGGCGCCAGCCTGCGTTCCTAAAGGCTCCAGGACAGGTGTGGGGCTGAAATCCCGCTCCTCCAGCATCTTCCCCTCCCTACCAAAAGAAGGCTGCTTTAAATATTCCCGGCCTGGAGCAGCAGCAGCTAAGGACCTGGAAAGAGGCCCGAAAAGGCCAGGGCAGGGCGAACGAACGTGCTGTCCCTATTTACCGGCCACACGCTCTGACTGCGGGCTGACCCTGATCGCACACTTCGAGCCTGTTCACTCGCTGGGCGGACCCTCCCTCCACGCTCCGCGCCCAGGCAGGCGAGGTCACCCACTCGAAGTCACCACGTTTGAGTAGCCCTGGTTGGTGGGGCAGCGCCCCCTTGGCCAACGCCCCGCCCTCCTCTCCATCTTCCGACGCTGGGCTCTCGCCCTTCGGCGTCCGAGAGCCCCTATTGCTGCCCAGCTGGCCCCAAAAGCGTCCGAAAGTCCCCTCTTGGCTTATTTCAGAGATGCCACGCAATAAAGAAAAGGCGGCTACTTTGCATTCCGCAGCTGCTGGGACGCCCGGGCTGCGAGCGCGGCTCCTGGATTCCAGCCTCCCGCCCTTCCCAGGCGCTGGAATGGACACGGACGCCCACAGTGGCGGGCCAGGTAGTGCCGGAGTCGGGGGCCCAGGCCGCGGCGCCCCGCGCCTCATCACTTACCTTGCCTTTAGCTATCAATTCCATGATGTAGCCAAATTCACTCATCTCCCCAGACTCCGACATGTTTACACCCCTTCACAAACTCTGGAGGACCGACGCGGGTGTATCGAATTTGTCCTTTCTTTTCTCTTTTTCTGTTTTTAGTCTGAGTTTTGCCGAGCTCCCCGCCCATAAGCTGTTAACCAGGAAAAGAGGGGAAGCGCCGGGGAAAGCAAGAAGCGGGCTTGGGTGAAATGAAGGCCATCGAGGGCTCCCGGGCAGCCTCGCCCGGCTTGCTAGGATCCGGGTGCAGCGGTCGGGGCTGCGCGATCTAACGGAACAAACGAGGGCGGCGGCGGCGGCAGCAGAGGCCGTGAAACCCTCACCAGGCGGAGC
Organism: Homo sapiens; assembly: GCF_000001405.40. Taxonomy (NCBI): domain Eukaryota; kingdom Metazoa; phylum Chordata; class Mammalia; order Primates; family Hominidae; genus Homo; species Homo sapiens. Next base: position 115,180,350 of record NC_000005.10, read on the forward strand.
CGGGCGCGCGGAGGCCCCGCCTCCTCGGGGGTCGCGGCAGCGGTTCGGACCGCAGCGGAGACAAACAAACGCGCACACAAAGCGGGTCCGCACTCGGCTCAGCGCGGCCCCAGCTAGACATTCCCCGGCCTTTATCGCATGCCGGCAGGTTGGCCGTCCCCGGCTCTCGGCGCGAAGATCTGGAAAAAAGCCCCATCTCACTGTCTGGAGGTGCGAGGGCAGACAGAAACGAATACAGAGGAGGCGCAACAAAGGGGCTGGCTGCCAGCGCCGGAAAATAAATAAATAAATACATAAGTGAAGGCCAGGAAATGGCAACGGCGCATCTCAAGTCAGCCTTCCTGAAATCCAATAGGTAATAAAGACCAAGCCCCGCGCTTCGGAGATGAGAACAAATACAGGGATTGTATTTTAAACACTCTGTGTAAGGTCTGTTGTATCTCCATATCCTTTTGATACTCAACTTTCCTTTAACAACGACAACAAAAAAAAAAAAAAAAGAAAGAAAGAAAGAAAAAAAAAGAAGAGGAAAGAAAAGAAAAAAAATATTGCCAGCCAGGTTCCTGGACACTCTGACCGTTAGTTACCACAAGTCCACTTTTCTAATTATTTGTTTCGTTGGTTGAGTTAAAGCATTCAGTGCAGGCTTCTCACATTTCTATACTTCTTTTTATAACAGCAGCTTCCCTAGGAGGCTACAGCTGAAATGGCCTCAGACCATACCTGACAATCTTTGCTTCTCTTCAAAAGAAAACTTGGCTGAACAAAATCAGTCCCAGTCTATCACTCTGCTCTAAGGAGTCTTTGCGATTAAAGGCTTGATGTTTTTTCTTTAAAAAGAAAAGAAAAAAGCTGCCAGCAATAATTAGATTAGACACGAATAAGATTTACTACAAAGTTCGTGAAACTACTTTCCTTAAGCAAGTTGGCAGAGTTTGCGTTGCGCTCAGCACCAGTGGGCAGGGTGGTGTGTCGAAATGACCTATTTTACAGGTGTAAAAGAGTTTTGCAGGCTTAATGAGACGTGGGGGTTTTTCTTTTTTGCCTCTTCCTTTTGTCATTTTCTAATTTCTCCACTTTGGTCCAGAAATCCAGAAGCATACACATTTCTTTCTTTTTTCAGCACACCTCTCCGTAAAGCTCCAACAGTGTTGCTCTGTAACTGTTGTTCTACCAGAACTTTGCTTCTTCGGTGTGTTACTTTACTTTATGAGCTGGTGCTGAAAACCTCTTAGAACAAGCAGCAAAAGTTAACATGCTGATGTTCACAATTAGGGCTCTGTAGGAGGCAAGACACAATCATAATGCTTCTTGGATATACAGCTAGAAGCTTCTTGTCCCTCTTAAGTTCTGTAGAACTTCATGTATACTCTTTGCGTCCATAGGAAAACTAGTAGAATTCAACTAAGGTCTGTAGCATCCATAAATGGGTTCTTGCCTACTATTAGCAACACTTGATGGATTACCAGAAAGAGATATTGCTCTAAAAGTGAACATTTTTTCACACCCAGAATGGATTCTGGCACCTGATTAAAAACCACAGTGTTAGAGCTGAACAGCTAATCTTATGTCTGCATTACAAGCAGGAAGGAGGAAGGTAGAGACAAGAGCACACAAGACATTTGTTTCCCCTTAAAAAGCTTCCCCCAGCCCCATCCAGTGACCTCCACTTACACCTTTGTGAGAAATGGGTAATATGCATCCCCTAGCTCCAAGGAAGGCTGGGGAGGTGATTATTTTGTTCTGGGAACATTGCCACTCTAAACAAAATCAAGGATTTGTTAGTAAGGAAGAAGAGGAGACAGATATCGGGTAGAAAGTTGTTAGTTTCTATTAACCTTGAGTAAGTCCATTCAACTTTCAGAGCTTCAGTTTTCTCTTCTATAAAATGACTGGTGTTGACTAAATGGTCTCTAACCCCTTCCTGTTCTTAACCCTAAAATCTCTGATCTGAGGATCCCTTTGCCATCTGGCCGCATTAGCTGCCATTCTCCTCCCTGAAAAGATCGCTCTTAAAAAAGGGCTGTCCACCTGATCACTTGCTACTAGAAAATACTCCAGACAAAATATCCTTATCAGTTGCCTAGATTCCTACCCAAGACCAAGAAAGTGGTGGAGGCAAGAGTTTTAGAGAACATAAGTTGGGTCCTGAGCATTTATTTACACCAATGCCTGGTGGTATTTACCACTCTTTATTGTCGTTGTGTGAAGAACACTCTGGAGCATTAAAGACCTTTCAAAGAAGATAGGCATATAAAAATGAAGACCACATTGAAATTTCTTCTGAAATTCTATGCATGCACTCACTTCAAAGACACAGGGTCAAACTGTCAATAGGTACCAAATAAAAGTTGCTTTATTATGTCCCTTTCTTCTGAAAAAAAGATTAAAATCATATAAATTTAAAACTTCACTCCCTAAAAGAACCAAAATTAAGAAAAATGTTAATTCATATTTCTCTAAAAATAAGAATGAAATTAACATGACAGATGCTGCTTCACAGGGGACTTCCCCACCTAAGAGGAAGATATTTAATAGAGGGATTATATGATGTGTGAATTTTTCACACTGAGAAGACCAGCAATATTAAAGGGTCCCTTGCTGTGGAAAATCTGCTAATTGCCAACTTTCATCAAATGGAGAAAATTCTTCAACTGCTCTATTGCTATGCCAATTATTGAAATAAGTATTACATAGAGATTTACAACATTCTATTTTCTCCTTCTGATGGCAACCAGCATAATACATAATAGCTTGAACAAATAACATCAACAAAATACACAATCCAAGTTTTCTTTTTAATGGTGACACACAAATTGTATTTTTGAAGGTTTTGAATTTAAAATCTGTGAAGAATGTTCAGCTTTTTAAGAGTTAGAGACTGAAGAAACCTAAAATATCTTACTTTTAATAAACTCTCACATTTTCTTAGTTTTTATTTCAAAAATGTAAACCTAAAATTTGACTGATACCTGTATTCAAAAAGGTCATTTTAAAAAAAAAATCTTTTTTGAATAAGCTTTATTGAGGTACAATTTATATACCATAAAATTCACTAATTGTCAGTGTACTGCTTAGTTATTTTTATTAAATTATGGATTTGTAAAACCATCTCATAATCTGGTTTTACAATATTGGAATATTCATTTATTGAGATTTTCTTTAATTTTTCCAAGCAATGTTCTATCACTTTTAATGTTCAGATATTGTACTTATTGTATTACATATTGCAAGGTACTCCTTTTAATATTATTGTGAATAAAATTGATTTCTTGGTGTCATTTCTTGGATTGTTAATTACTGTTATATAGAAACACAACTGATTTTTGCATAAGGTTGTGTTTTACAATGGGGCAAAATTCACTTATCAATTCCAGATTTTATTTTCAGATTCCTTATAATATCATCTGTAATTAAAGACAATTTTATTTCTTCCTTTCCAATCTGTATGCCTTTATTTTTCTGCCTTATTACTCTGGTTAGAACCTCCAGTAGAACCTCCATTGAATGCATGCAGCAAGTGTGGGCATCCTTGCCTTATTCCCAATCTTGGGGAAAAAGCATTCATTCTTTCACCATTAAGTACTGATTGGTTTGGCTACATTCCATGACTTTTGATTTTTTTAAAATTAAGTTAGAAATATTTTTAAAATTTCCTATTGTGATTTTTTTGACCCATGGGTTATTTACAAATGTGTTAATTTCCAAATTATTTCAAATTTCCAAATAGTTTAGATTTTCTATTTTTCTGTGTGTTGATTTCTAATCCAATTCTGTTTTGAGCAAAGATCATCCTTTGAATGATTTTAATGTTTTTAAATATATTCAGGCTTTTTAATAGTCTAATGTGGAAGTCAGCAACTTTTTCTTAAAGGGTAAGATATTAATGAACATTTTAGACTTGAAGCCATATAATTTCTGTTACTACTTGGCTTAGTACGTGTTGCTACAAAAGATTAGCCTGGGACTGGATAATTTATAAGGAAAAGAGGTTTATTTGGTTCATGGTTCTGCAGACTTTACAGGAAGCATGGTGCCAGCATATGCTTCCAGTAAGGCTTCAAGAAGATTCCACTTATGGCAGAAGGTGAAGGGAAGCTGGCATGTCACATGGCAAGAGGGAGCAAGAAAGAAAGGAGGGGGGGGGTGTCATGCTCATTTTAACAATCCGTTCTCATGAGAACTAATAGAACAAGAACTTAACTCATTACCACGAGGACAGCACCAAGATACTCATGAAGGATCCACCTCCATTACCAGAATAGCTCCCACTGGACCCCACCTCCAACATTGGGGATCAAATTTTAACAGTAAATTTGGAGGGGACATATATCCAAACTATATCACTGCTCAACTCTGCTGTTACAGGATGAAAGGGACCATTGACAATAGGTCCACAAATAGGTACACAAATGAATGTGGACATGTTTCAATAAACATTTATTTATGAAAATAGGCAGCTGAATAAGCACATGAAAAGATGCTTGACGTTATTAGTCATTAGGAAAATGCAAATCAAAACCACAATAAGATACTACCTCATACTCACTAGAATGGCTAGAATCAAAAACAGAGAGAATAACAAGTATTAATGACAAAGTGGAGAAATTGGAATGCTCTTAGAATTCTTAGAACTTAGAATTACCATATGACTCAGCAATTCCACTCCTAGTTATATACCCAAACGACTTGATAACAGGGACTCAAACAGATACTGGTACACCAGGGCTCATTGCTACATTTTTCACAATAACCAAAAGGTAGAAACAACTCAAGTATCTGTCAATAGATGGATAAACAAAATATATATACATATAATGGAATTTTTTCAGCCATAACATGTAATGAACTTTTAACATTTGCTACAATATGGATGAACATTGAAAACATTATGCTAAGTGAAATAAGCCAGAAATAAAAGGATAAATATTATATAGTTTCACTTATATGAAATATCTAGAATAGACAAACTCATAGAGACAGAAAGTAGAGGGGCTGGAGAGAGTCTGGAATGGATTGTTTAATGGATAGAGTTTACATTGGGAGTGACGAAAAAGTTTTGGGTATAGATAGTGGTAATGATTGTACAACGTTTTGAATATAATTAATGTTACTCAGTTGAACACTTAAAAATGGTTTAAAAAAAACTAGGCAGCTGCCCCCTGGCCTGTAATTTACTAACCCATAGCCTAGAATATCACCTATTTTGGATGATATTCCATGTGTGCTTAAGAAGAGTGTATATTCTCCTGGTTATTGGATGAAGTATTCTACAAATGTCAGGTAAAGTTGATTATTTCTCTCTCTCTCTCTCTCTCTCTTTTTTTTTTTTTTTTTTTTTTTTTGGTGACAGGGTCTTGCTCTATTGCCCAGGTTGAGTGTGGTGGTGCAATAACAGCTTACTGCAACCTCCACTTCCTGGGCTCAAGCCATCCTCCCACCTCAGCTTCCTGAGTAGCTGGGACTACAGGTGCATGCCACTACATCCAGCTAGTTTTTCTTTCTTTTTTTTTTTTTTTTTTTTTTTGTAGACATAGGGGGTCTCACTATATTGCTTAGGCTGGTCTTGAACTCCTGGGCTCAAGCAATCCTCCAGCCTTGGCCTCCCAAAGTGCTGGGATCACAGGCATGAGCCTCCATGCCCAGCCTTAACAGTGTGTTTTCTCCAGAAATTTATTACACACAATCTTTGGCCTAAAGAGAGCAACAAAATTCCTTGGGATTGTTTGTGTCACAACAAAGGATCACTCCTTGTCTTAGAGTTGCTCAAATGGTAGAATTAGAACAGTGTGCACATATCCTAAAGCTATCCTCATTCTCAGGGGATGATATTTCTCTAGCAAGCAAGACTTTGCCCAGGAACAAGCCTAGGATGGCCAGCCCAGGCTATCACAGGAGCCAGTGGCCTCCTAAGACATGCTGTTGAGCACATGGCCTTCATGTCCCTCTGTGCCTGAATCTCAACTAGATCTACGGAATCGCAATGTGCCAATATTATTCATTCATTAAATAGTCCATTAAATATAAGTCACCACCTACTGTGTGCCTGGCAGTGTCTGGCAATGGAGATTCAGCAGTAAACAAAATAAACGAGACTTTTAAAATACAGATGTCCTTTTAATACCATGCTGTGTTTTGAAAGCTTTTATTTTGTATGGGGCTTTTTGATGCTACGGCAATATGATCTTGGTAGGTAGGGCAGAACCTTTATTTCCCTGCAGGGTACACAGTGAAATGATACACCATTTCTTTCCTAGGAAATGAGATATGTGGAGATCATCAGTTAGTTTGTCATTAGATATGGTAGAACCATATTGGATAACCAGTGTTCTCTTAACTAAGGTCCTGACTAGCTATTCACCCACTCCCTCCCCCCACTTCTCTCTCCATCAACCCCCACACTTTCACATTAGGTCAAAAATTCTTTGGGCGATGACAACTTCTATAGGTACAAGGAAAGTAGGGTTAAGAGAGAAATCTGCCTCTGATCAATACAGCTGCAGCATCATCATAAATAATTTAACCACTTACTCTGTTTTTAGTTTCTTTGATCTGCTTCTCTCATCTTGCCTGGTTGTGTTACTGCCACAAAAGTTTGCTCTTTGAGAGGATGAAGAACCTTCTAGTCATACCTCAGTCATCATCCTGGGGCAAAGGTCCACTTTGTATTACTCCTCCTGCCTCATGCCTCATAGCTAAGCATCAATGTTTTTTTACCATTCTGAAGGTTCCTGGGTGTTGCTTTGAAATGTTCTAAACCAGAAATAATGAGGTTTCTTATTAGGCTGACCCTAAGAGCTATCATCCTGTTGTTCTTTATTTATTTTAGAAGATTGCTTGTTATGTGGGTGTAGAGGGAGGCAAGCTAGAGAGAGGAAGAGGGATAATTTATAGGATCTCAGATTCAGTTCGAGTATTCCTTTTAGGGGCAGTGAGTGAGGAGATAGGGTATATTAGGAGGTAGTAATTAGTATAGTGTTGGCTACTGTCTGATGGACAAACATGTAGTTCATTGGCTCCAGCAAAATGATAAATCATATCGATTTTTCTATTTTGCCACTCACACATATTTTAAAAATCTTGTTGTGCCAGGGTTCCTCAATAAAAGGCACAGCTCTTATCTCCATTAAATTGAAATTTAAAATGTTAATAACACCAATATATGCTACCGACTTATTGATTAAACTGAGTATTTGGTAGAGCTTGAGCACTGTTGTTCTAGCTCTACCAAAAAGAGGAAAATATCTGGGAAGAAATTCACAGAATAGAAAAAAAGTGCTAAGAAAGGATTCTATACACATCACACCATAAAAATAACATTGACTTTGAGAAGCAGGAAGGACAAGTTCTTGGCAGAGAGGCTGGCATCTTTTCATCTGTCCCTAAATTACACACTGATCAGCCAATGCAAGGTGGGGAGCTATGATTTTTTTTTTTTTTTTTTTGAGATGGAGTCTCACTGTGTCACCTGGGCTGGAGTGCAGTGATGCGAACTCGGCTCACTGCAACCTCTGCCTCCCAGGTTCAAGCGATTCTCCTGCCTCAGCCTCCTGAGTAGCTGGGATCACAGGTGCATGCCACCACGCCTGGCTAATTTTTGTATTTTTACAAAAAATATATCTATTTCAGCATTTCACCAGCTTGCTAGGGGAGAACTTTGTGTTTCACAAGGCATTTGTTTACTCTTGAAAAGGAAAATTGTTGACATTTTCCTTCCAATATGCTTATCTTTAAAGATTTATAATATAAAATATTCTCTGTGTGATACATATTTATTTGAACTATTTGAATTTCCTATAATTCCAAAAGGAATTTTACCTTTCTTTTTCAGTATTCTATTAAGACAAATTTGGTTTACCCTTATGAAAAGAAACACTTTTTATTTAACTGTAAAAGTACTCATTGAGTAAGAGTAACAAGCTTTAAATAATTTGTTACATATTATCCCATTTTTTGGTTAATAATGAAACAAAAATGACTATCAAATATTAAGTGTTAATATCTAACACATATTTGAGTCCAAAAAGTGTTTACTCAATGAATAAATGAACAAATGAATAAATATACTTACTTTACAATGGGAGAAACTGAGGTCAAAAGAAAAGTATTAGCCACAATCTAGTATACTATAATCCAACTAAAAACTATCTAACTATCTAATTCAAGTATTGTTTTCCCTTGTTTTATTTAGAAGACAAATGAAAGCTTTAGTACTGAACATTTTGAAACAGAAACCCGAGAATAATGCCTTGCGGGGAGAAAAGCTTCAGATTAAAATTTCGGAATAAAAATAAGGAGAAAAATAATTTTACCCAAACACCACTTTGCCTTTCCTTTACTCGTAAATTCAAGAGTCTCAAATAACCATTTAAATACTGTGAAGTTAAAGAATTTTCTTAATTATAAATAAATTGTGCTTAAGGGAAACCTGGAAGCTTTAGTAAGTTTCTAATTTTTAAAATTATGTGCACCACCTTATTTATATTTTCTAAATGACTATTCCAAGTGGGAAATAAATACAGTAATACAGTTATGTCTTCACCTGCCAACCAACACCACAGTTATGGTCCAATGAACTGTATTTTATGGTATATAGGTTCAATATTCACTTTTCCTCCTTCTTTGTAACAGAACGTTGAGAAATGTGCCCAACTTAAAAAGAAAAGGAAAACTCCTTTTGCAGCTTGCTTTGCAGAAAGGGTTGACCAATGAGGTATCAATGGGAGTTTTTATGTCCAGCTTCTGGGAGAGCTCTTTTGCCCTCTCTTTCCTTTCCTTCTAACTGAAATACAGTTCTGATACGTGGCATCCAACCACCATCTTGGACTACTGAGGAGAACCTGAGGATAGAAGTCATTCACTAAAATGGCTGGAGAGGAAAGAGGGAAGAGCCTGAATCTAAGGATGGTGGAGCTTCCATTCCAACTGTTGACCACCTACCTTCTATCTTCATTTACTCCAGAGACAATTAAACTATAACTTGATTAATTGATTAAACCATGTTATTTGAGTTTTCTCTTACATACAACCAAGCCTAGTCACAACTAATATAGCCATGTTATAGCTGTGAGACTTTTAGCAACTCATTTCTCTATACCTCAGTTTACTCATCTGTAAAAATGGACCCAATAACAGTATTGACTCAGAGAGCTGTTATAAGGATTAAATGAGTTAATATATGTAAACAGCTTAGAATTGTAGCCAACACAGACTAAAGACTCAATGAATCCTCTATTGTTACTATTCACTTGTACCACCTATAATATAATACCTGCAGAATAAATGAGAAAAGGAGTATGAAGAGGAGAAATAACATTTGTTTCCCACCGCCTTCTTCAGAGATGAAAGACCTGGGTAAAGAGCATAACAGAACATGTAACACATCATCCTTCTCAATTAAAAGCACTTTGCAGATTACAGGTCATTCTGTAAAGATACTCGAGTTGTTCTAATCCTTACCAGAGCTCTGAGATGAGGGTGAAAGTTGAAACTTGCTTAAGTCAACAGGTCATTTGCTTGCTGGCTCAAGAGCTGGAGCCCCAAGTTCACTGTTCCAATAAAGGCCAAGTTGGCTTGGTTCTAGTTCATGACCCTAGGCACGACAGTATACTTAGCTTTGGTTAATTGTCCTCTGAATAGGATTCTAAATTTAAATCGTGTGGGAGAAGACATGAGGAGGTCTGAGCCATGCTCCTGAGAAGCTCCAGGCATCTTCCTTCTCCTGCTGTGACTGGCTCCACCTGCCAGCAGGTGTGTGGGGGTTGTAACTAAGCCTTTTTGTTTTTTAAAGGGAAATTTCCTGAATTTTTTCAAGGAATCTATTTTTTCCTCCAGCTAATTTATTTAAAAGCCTTCTGAGCCTTTGGGTCTTAACTTTAGGATGACTCCCCAGTGAGCTCTGTTCACATCTTAATATAATAATGATAACAGCTAATATTTTTTAAGCTCTCATTATAGGTGAGGTACCATTTTAAGTGCTTACTCATATCATCCTACTTAATCCTCACAAAACTCCGCAAAGTACTATTGTATTTGCCTTTTACAGATAATCACCCTGAGGCACAAACAGTGGAGTGACCTACTTACTCAAAGTCACTAGGAGGGGTGGTGGCAGAGCCAGGTGAGACCCCATGGTCCTAGCCACCACCCAGTACTCTTGTCTCATATTTAAAAACTCTCCACTATCTGCCTTTACTTTTCAAGCCTCAACCACTCGGAAGGGCCTGGGCGTGTTTCTTTGCTCAGGTGCCTTTGATTGTGGTCATATTTGAATCTTGTTATTCTACATGCCAGTCTTCCATTACTCACAAAAGATAATAAAATCCCTTAGGTGATGTCTTCCACTGCATCAGCTACCCAGGTTGTTCTGTAACCTCGAACTCCTGGGCTCAAGCACCCCTCCTGCCTCAGCCTTCTCACTCGTGGGGTATCCTTTTTCTTCCCCAAGCATTGTAAACTTATCCCTAGACTCCACTTTTTAAATCCTCGTCTGGACACTAGGGCCTTTTCATTGTGTTAGGGAGACTCAGAAAAGGAAAATGTTATAAAAGACCAGTTTTCCCTGATGGCTAAACAATTAGTGGCATAATTTACCAAAGAATTGTAGCCTGTGAGACACAAGATGCTGAATACAGCCAAGCAAATACTTTCTCTACTCTTCTTAGCTTAGGAAAGTGGATATGAAAGGAAGGATGTTAACTGTCTCAGGCTATGTCATGGGCATTTGCCTTTGACAGAAGGACCTCCTAGGATGAGGGGAGGTGGTGCTGACAGCAAGCAGAAGGAGAAGAGGACCCAACAGCTGGCTGCTCTTCATCCCTCAGAGAATGGCATGGAAAGAGAGCAAATAATTTCAAAATACATGGAAAAACATTTAGATAGCACAGGCAATTTATTTGGAACCTCCATATCAGGAAATTGCTTCTCTAATGCAGTGACTTACTACTGAAAAGAAAAAAGTCTCTCATGTTTGCAAAATGGGCTTTGTACAGTGCCTCACACTGAGACCTAGAGATCTAATGAGAATGTGGATTATTAAATTTCTCACAGGGAGGAAAGGGGCCCAGGAAGTGTCTCCCAGATCTGGTTCACAGCCTAAGGAAAAAAATGCTTATGCCTTACTATCAAAGGGTAGAAGAAAATAGCATTAATCTCCATTGTCCTGATTAATCACTCCTAAAGGTATAAACAGAAAGTTCAGGTCGGTTACCACCCTCCTAGGAGTGCCAGCATATTTTACAGTCCACAAAATCCGGCGCAAATCTCCCTTCCCCATTCATACCTCAGAGACAGAAGAGTAAGCCAAGTTATTTGAACTATGATTTTGCTATTCGTATATATCAAAGCGCTTTCATGTTCTCACAAAACTTGAGTTCCCGAAAGTAAGATTGATGCCCTGCCAGGAAAATTGGCTTTAAAGTAGTCCCACTACTGCTATTGAGTAAACCTTTCAGAAGAGCCCTCAAGGCTTAAGAAATCAGACATAGCAGAGCCCCTACAGAACTAAAACACATTTCCCCCTAACCAGGATTCACCTGCACTTCAGGCTGGGACTTTTTTCCTAGGGCTCAATACTCACCTCCTGCCTGGCGAGGTATCTTTCCTCCCAAGCTCCCTCAACACCTTTTACACATCTGTCGTGATACATAACTTCTTGTACTGAAATTGTCTATTGATACATTTGTCTCTCCCCAATTACACCACACTGTCCTTGAGCAGCAAACAGAATCTTTTTCAGTTTTATTAGGTTGGTGCAAAAGTAATTGCAGTTTTGCACTGCAATTACTTTTGCACCAACTTAATAGCTTCCCAGTGCTTACAATACATAGTAGGTGCTAGTTAATATTTGTTGAATTTAATGGAATTGAATTCATCTGGCCAGTTTTCCTGCCCAGCCTGGAATGGCACTGGAACAAGTACCATACAAGGCTCCACACCCAGCTATGCTGCCATTCTGGTGACCTTTACTAAGCCCTTCCCTATGGCAGATATCATTACTATATAACCCAGGAATCATAAAAGTTGCCACCTGGATCAGTAGAAACAATAAAAACATATATCCCTGTCTATAAAGTGCCCTAAGCTCTTCAGAGGAGAGAACGATGGGTTTGGTTCAAGGTTTCTATAAAGAAGATGGTATATTAGCCAGCACAGTAGAATCCCACAAATACGACAGGACTTTACTACATGGTGTATACTTTTTTTAAAAAAATAAGCTTTTTAATTTAGAAAAGTTTTAGATTTACAGAAAAATTGCAAATATAGTACAGAGTTCCCAACTATTCTGCACCCGTTTCCCCTTTCATTGACATCTTACATTAGCATGGTAAATTTGCCACAATTAATGAGCCAATACTGATGCATTATTATTAACTATATTCAGATTTCCTTAGGTTTTACCTGGTGTCCTTTTTCTTTCCAGGATCCCATCCAGGATACTACGTTACAAATAATTCTCCTATCTCTTCTTGGCGGTGACACTTTCTCAGACTTTCCTTGTTCTTGATGACTGTGACAGTTTTAAGGAGTACTGGTCAGGTATTTTGTAGGATGCCCCTCTTTTTTCTTTTTTGAGGTGGAGTTTTGCTCTTGTTGCCCAGGCTGGAGTGCAATGGCGCGATCTCGGCTCACTGCAACCTCCGCCTCCCGGGATCAAGCGATTATCCTGCCTCAGCATCCTGAGTAGCTGGGATTACAGGCATGTGCCACCACGCCTGGTTAATTTTTTTGTATTTTTAGTAGAGATGGGGTTTCTTCATGTTGGTCAGGCTGGTCTCGAACCCCCGACCTCAGGTGATCTGCCTGCCTCGGCCTCCCAAAGTGCTGGGATTACAGGCATGAGCCATCGTGCCCGGCCAAGAACATGATTTTTAAAGTTGACATATACCAGCTAGGAATTAGAAAGAACTTCTTAGTATCTAAAAAAAAAAAAAGACTGACCAATATCTACATTTTTGGTGGGTAAAAAGCACTGAACAACAATTTACTAGACAGTGTTCATATCAGAAGATGTTTTCTTCCATAACTTATTTTGACATGGTTTAGTTCCTCATTGCTATCACTTTATTATATAAACTGACCATTAAAATACATTAAATCTTGAAAAGATGGACCTTGATTTTATATCTGGTCTGAGTGATAAGAAATGGATTTATATGCTCTCTGGCATTTTGTGAAACTGGCCACAAATCAGAGGACTACAAACAATTATTTTGAAATGACTTACAAATATTATATACATTATCATTTTTAAGAGGAAGTAATTTTCCAGCAGAAATGGCCAACAAGATTACCTGATTTCTCCAATAAGCATGAATTGCATACATATCATGTACTGTGTTTACCTCCTAGAAATTAAAAAATGGGTAAATCAAAGATACTGACACCAAGAGCTCAGAGACTGCTTGGGAAAATAGAGAATAAACAGAATTATGGTACAATGTGGTAAGTACCATAATAAAGGCACATAGTCAGAACTAGGAAGCAAGAGGAAGGAAGGCTTTATAATAGGCTGGTCGCTCCCTCTGCCTAGATCTGCTGGGGCAGGTGAAGCTTGGCTTTTAAATTGAGAGTTGAACGATAAATAAGAGTTCAAAAGGGCAGGTAAAGAGAATTAATTCTAGGCTAAGAACCACCTGTGCAAAGGCACTAGGGTAGCGAGTACAGTGCCTTCAGGTGTTAGATACTTTACTATCATTGGGTCGGAAAGAGGCAGTTACCAAAGATGAGGCTGGAAAAATAGGTAGGGAGTAGATCTCCAAGGCCTTTTAAAGCATGCCACGGAGGTAGACATTACCTGTAGACCAACACTTCTTAAATTTTAATGCTCATATGACTCATTTGGGGACCTTGTTAAAATATAGATGCTAGCTGGGCACAGTCGCTTGCACCTGTAGTCCCAGCTACTCAGGAGGCTGAGGCAGGAGGAGTGCTTGAGCCCAGGAGTTCAAGGCTGTATTACACTATGATCATGCCTGTGAATAGCCACTGCACTCCAGCCTGGGCAGCATAGATAGGTCTCAGGTGGGGCCTGAGCGTCAGCTTTTCTAAAATGCCCCAGATGATGTCCTGCTACAATAAAGTTGGTCTACAGACCATGTGTTAAGTAGCAAATATTTACAAATTACAAATTCTATTACCTGGAATGAATTCTATATACTAAGACATACCTTCAGCCCTTGAAAGGAACTGGGACACGATTCAACTAGAGCTTCCAGGATGGTGAATTCTGCCTATAAGTTGCCTCCTGGGTTTACTGCGGGTGCCCTACAAATGCAATAATTTTTTTCGACATGTTCTATGATGTGAAGACAGTGGGGAAGCAATGTAGCACAAATAATCCAGTCAGTACTATAAGAACCACAATTTGGTTTTTTCGGCTGCGGGGAGAGGAGTGCAAACAGTCCCAGTTACCCAAAGCAGCTGATATTCATTGTCAGCATGGCCCAGAGCCTTTTTCCCCCAGTAGTAATCATTTGGAGATTGAAATCTTGGCTCCAGTTCACCTCTGCAGTGGGACTTAATTCATGCCAGACTGTGGTGGTTTCTGCAGCAGTCCAACTCTGCCAAGGCTCAAAGTCCAAAGATTCTGTCATGCAGTGGCAACAAAGGAGGAGTAGAATTAAAACATAAAACTCTTGTTCTATGACCTTTCAGTTATTATTGCTTAATTATTTTTATGAGATTATAAGTCATTTTGCCAAGTCACTCCTTAGCCCTTTTTGAAACTGTGACAATGATTACTAATTTGGTCACTTTTCCTAACAACCTATAATAGATATTTGGAATAGGAAAATGTGAGACTGTATGAAATGAAAGAAATGTGAATTTCTGTGGAGTCAGTTGGCCTTTAGGTTAACGTTGTATATAAGTATGTGTGTAGGAACATAGTCACACATATGAGATTGTACCTGCAGGTCAATTTCTAGAAAAGAAACTGCTCACAGGTGTTGCCTCTGGAGAGAAGTGGGGAATGGGAGAAGGGTCAGCTCTGCGAGATCTTTTGGGCAATAGTACTTCTTCTATTCTGTTTTAAATTTTTTTCTAATATGATGGCTTAACTTAAAAAATACCAAAGAAAGAACTGTCTCAATGACTGAAAAGTATGATAATACTTGCAGGTTTGGGTAATATAATACCTTTCCTCTGGGTCATCTAGTATTGAAACTCTTTTTGTACTGTGTTTAAGGAGAAAAGATTAATGCCTTTAGGTCCCCTGAAGTTTAAGCCCAGTTTAAGCTAAATTACCTAAAGTTTGTTAGTAAGGAAACCAATTTTTGAAATAAAAAAATTCCCCGTAAGAATTTTTTTCAGTTGTTTTCTCAGTTGATGATTTTTGCCCCCTCTTCAGACAACAGTGAAACAT
Organism: Homo sapiens; assembly: GCF_000001405.40. Taxonomy (NCBI): domain Eukaryota; kingdom Metazoa; phylum Chordata; class Mammalia; order Primates; family Hominidae; genus Homo; species Homo sapiens. The sequence goes on from NC_000005.10 coordinate 115,195,714, forward strand.
AAAATGAGATGCAGCATTACAAAACGAAAAGAACTGGAGGGAAAAACATTTGCTTTTGATGCAGTCAAGCATCTTCATTGATGCCCTTCTGTCCACTTTCTCTCTCCCCCAACTATAATATCATAGAATGCTGAAGGAAAGCACATTCCAGATACATGTTGTGTAGACTAGCAACATTTAATGGATAACTTCCATTATGCTATTACAAATTTACAAGCATAGAAGAAGCATTATCTTCCACAAATACTATGAGTATTAAACACTCAACAGTCATAACCCAGTTTGCAATCTCCTATGACTTACATAAAATTTCATCTTAATAAATTGCAGTGAAAATAGATGGCACACGGGAGGTAGGACTAAATTGCAGCTCCGACTCAGAGCAGCATGCAGAGGCTCTCATCATGAATTTTGCTCCAGAACGACTGCGAGAACAAACCAGAAATCCAGAGAGGACCCACAGAACATCTGAAGAAAGTGGACTGCTCCTGCAGGACCCAGGAGACACCCAAATACTGTGCTGGAATCTATGGCTGAGAGACTTATAGACGGTTCACATCGCAGGACTCTGTGAAGACAACCTGAAGTACCAGCCTGGAGCCGGGTAGACTTGCTGCATGGCTAGACTCAGAAGAGAGATAACAATCACTGCAGCTCAGCTCACAGGAAGCTGCATCCATAGGAAAAGGGGAAGAGTACTACATCAAGGGAACACCCCATGGGACAAAAGAATCTGAACAGCCTTCAGTTCTAGACTTTCCCTCTGACAGAGCCTATCAAAATTAGAAGGAACTAGAAAACCAATTCTGGTAATATGGCAAAACAAGGCTTTTTAATATCCCCCAAAAATCACACTAGCTCATCAGCAATGGCTCCAAACCAAAAATTTACCTGAAAAGGAATTCAGGAGCTTAGTTATTAAGCTAATCAGGGAGTCATCAGAGAAAGGCAAAGCCCAATGCAAGGAAATCCAAAAAACGATGCAAGAAGTGAAGGAAGAAATGTTCAAGGATATACTTAGCATAAAGAAAAATGTAATAAAAACTTTAGGAAACATTGGACACACATAAAAATGCAAAATGCTCTAAAAAGTCTCAGCAATAGAATTGAAAAAGTAGAAGAAAGAAATTCGGAGTTTGAAGACAAGATCTTAGAATTAACCCAATCCAACAAAGACAAAGAAGAAAAGAATAAGAAAATATGAACAAGGCTCCCAAGAAGTCTGGGATTATGTTAAATGACTAAACCTAAGAATAATTGGTGTTCCTGACGAAGAAGAGAAATCTAAAAGTTGGGAAAACATATTTGGGGGAATAATTGAGGAAAACTTCCCCAGCCTTGCTAGAGACCTAGACATCCAAATACAAGCAGCACAAAGAAGACCTGGGAAATTCATTGCAAAAGATCATTGCCTAGGCATATTGTCATCAAGTTATCTAAAGTTAAGATGAAGGAAAGAATCTTAAGAGCTGTGAGACAAAAGTACCAGGTAACCTACAAAGGAAAACCTATCAGATTAATAACAGATTTCTCAGCAGAAACCCTGCAAGCTAGAAGGGATTGGGGCCCTATCTTCAGCCTCCTCGAACAAAACAATTATCAGCCAAGAATTTTTTATCCAGCGAAACTAAACTAAACATCATATATGATGGAAAGATACAGTCTTTTTCAGACAAACAAATGCTGAGAGAATTTGCCACTACCAAGCCACCACTAAAAGAACTGCAAAAAGGAGCTCTAAATCTTGAAACAAATCCTGGAAACACATCAAAACAGAACCTCTTTAAAGCATAAGTCACACAGGACTTATAAAACAAAAATACAATTTAAAAAGCAAAAACAAATAACAAAAAACACAAAGGTACACAGGCAACAAAGAGCAAGATGAATTCAATGGTACCTCACATCCAAAGTTGTTTGAAAAGACTTAAAAGCAGTGCTTCCTGAAACTCATTTTTCTGCTTATATACTATAATCCTCCCATTTAGAAATTACTTTTTAAGGTTTCATCTATAAGGAAGGTAGGGATAAAATATAAACGTTTGGCTGGTCATGGTAGCTCATGTCTGTAATCCAAGCACTTTGGGAAGATGAGGTGGGTGAATCGCTTGAGCCCAGGAGTTTGAGACCAGCCTGGGCAACATGGCAAAACCCTGTCTCCACAAAAAATACAAAAAATTAGCCAGAGTTGTGGCATGTGCCTGTGGTCCCAGCTCAAGAAGCTGAGGTGAGAAGATCGCTTGACCCTCAGAGGTCAAAGTTGAAGTGAGATGAGATTGCACCACTGCACTCCAGCCTGGGCAACAGAGCAAGACCCTGTCTCAATCAATCAATAAACGTTTTCAATATAACTAACACTGAACCAACCCCACTTCGTAATTGTTTTCAATAAAAACATCTTCCTTCTCCAGTATTGAACATAGTAGTCTAGTTAGCTAGGCCTGAAGCAGACAGTCTAGAGCTGCTGGTCTTTACTTTTTTTTTTTTTTAATCTTCAGGCTTCCTATTACTGATGAACCTCCTAGGAAAAGAATACTTTTGACAGAAACTTAACTGCCTCCTAAAGACACTGCTTCAAACCACTATTTAAGATGCATAATACACATAGTACAATAATTACCAGCCTGAAGTCACTTTAAGATCATGGACTCTCCATGTTAGAAACGGCTTTATGAATTCTTTAATATAGGGATTGCTAAACTTGGCTTCTTATCACTACTACCTGTAGAACTTAAAAAAAAATTTCTATCTCCACCATAGCCTTCTGAATAAAAAGCTTCACAGGTGAGGCTTTGTAATCTGTATGTTTTATAACTTTACTAGGTGATTCTAATGAAACTAACCTTTCATTGTGCAGATAGATTTTTGAAATAATCAGTTCAAAATTTTAGCTGTTACATAAACTTACATGCCTTCAGTGGCCAGCCACTTAACAGAAGTGTGAGAGGCAGCCCTGTGTAAAACCCAAGAAAGTGGTAAAACTGAGAATGATGAGAGCCTGGATTCTAACACAATCAAATTAATATTTTCAAAACTTTGCAGTTATCAGAGTTTTGAAACAGAGACAATAGTATAATGGTTGCCCATTCATGCAGATCACAGATAGAACTATTAACAATATTTTGCCATACTTGTTACATCAATCTCTTTTTTCTTCTCTCTCATTCTGTAGTCATTTAAAAAGACATCTTCACTGGATATAGAATTCTCAGCTAACAGTTTATTTCTTTTAGTACTTTAAAGATACTACACCACTGTTTTGTCACTTGCATTGTTTCTGGTGAGAAATCTGTCATACTTTGTTCTATACATAAGGTATTTTTACTCTGGCTGTTTTTAAAATTTTCTCTTTATTACTGGCTTTGTGCAATTTGTTTCTTGTGCTTGGAGTCTGCAGGATTCTTGGATCTGTGGACTTATACTTTTTAATAAAATTTGGGACTATTTTAGCCATTTCGAATATTCTTTTGAAACTCCAATTACATGTACCCTAGGCTGCTTGAAGTTGTTCTGTAGCTCACTCATGTTTTCACTTTTTAGAAAATATTTTTTCTCTCCATTTCATTTTACATAGTTTCTATTGTTATGCCTTCAGTTCCTCTAACCCTTTCTTCTTCAATATCTAATATCCTGAAAATACCATCAGTGTATTTTAAAAATCTCAGACACAATAGTTTTCACATCTAGAAGTCTGATTTGGGTCTTCTTCATATTTTCCATGTCTCCACTTAACATGTTCAATCTTTCTTCCAGCTTTTAAAACATATGGAATATAGAAAAATGACTATGTTTATGTCCTTGTCTTCTAGTACTAACATCTGTGTCATTTCTGGGTCAGTTTCTATTGATTGATTTCCCTCCTCATTTGGGGTCATATTTTTCTACTTTGTATGTCTGATAATTTTTGACTGAATGCCAGAAACTGTTTTACCTTGTTGAATACTGGATATTTTTGTATTCCTACAGCTATTCTTGAGCTTCGTTCTGGGATGCAGTTGAATTGCTTGAAAACAGCTTGGGTGTTTGGTGGCTTATTTTTGAGGTTTATTGGGTGGAACTAGAGTAGCATTTAGTCAATAGCTAATTATTACCACCACTGAGTCAAGATCATTTGGAGTGTTCTACTCAATTCTCTGAGTTTGGAAGTTTTCCAGTCAGTCTGGTTGGAACAGAAACTATTTCTGGACCTGGGTAAGCTGTAGGTAATGTTCCTTTTCTCTCTGGTCTTGGGTAGTCTTCTTCCCCCACACACTGAACTCTCAAAAAGGATACCTTGCAGATATCCATATATACTTTCTGTGCAGCTTTCTCCTGACACTTTGCCTTGTGAACGCTAGCCACTTTGGATTCCCAGAACCCTTAGCTTCACCTTCTCCATCTGGGGTTCTTAGCCCTGTATTATGGCCTAGAAAATCTCTAGGCAGTAAGCTAGGGCAATAATAGGGCTTACCTCATTTTTTCTCTGTCTCTCTGGGATCACTTTCCATTTCCTTATGTTCAATGTCTTGATAACCACTGGTTTATGTATTTAATCCAGGTTTTAACTTTTTTTTTTTTTTTTTTTACAAGGGAGGAAAATCCAGTCCTGCCACTTCATCTTGGTTGGAAGTAGAAGTTCCACTACAGTCTTTGAAGTAAAGCTATGACATCATGCCAGTCCAAATTCTGAATGTTTCTAAAAATATGAGAAAATTTTCTTATATAATAGAAATGACTATAACAGCTAACAATTAAAAACAATTCTTTAATACCTAATAGCTAGGTCATATTTACATTTTCTTAATTATCTCAAAAGTGTTTCAAAAGTTGGTTCAAATTAGGACCCAAAGTCAACATGTTGTATTTGACTGCTGTGTCTCTTACATTTTTAGAACAGTCTACCTTTACTCCCCTCCATTTCTTTGTCATTAAGTCGTTGAAGAAACCAGACTTGTCTTTAGCATATCTGCCTTTAGGATATGGCTGATTGCTTCCTCATGGTGTCATTTTACTTGTTCCCATTTCACTTATTAGATCTAGACCAAATTTGTCAAACCCACAGCCTGCGAGCTGCATGCAGCCCAGGATGGCTTTGAATGTGGCTCAACACAAATTCATAAACTTTCTTAAAACACTGAGATTTTTTTTTCTAGGTCATCAGCTATCATTAGTATCAGTATATTTTATGTGTGGGCCAAGACAGTTCTTCCAATGTGGCCCTGGCAAGCCAAAGATTGGACATCCCTGATCTAGATGTTAGATCTATCAGACTGACTAGATTCAGTCTCAACTTTCTGATAAGGATATTTTATAGATGACCTTGTGTACCTCACATTGCATTATAGCAGGAGGCATGCAATGTCTTGAGTCACTTTTAGAGATGGCAGCATTGATCAGTGGATTCAGGTGGTGGCAGCTTGAGCCTTCCACTTTTAAGTTCTCCATCAACCTTTCTCCTGATGGTTTCAGTATCCATTGATTGTTGTAGCCTAAAAATCTATTAGCATTTGTGAGATAGTTATTTTCTAACCCCATTATTGCTTCTCCATTTATGAACTGAGACTTTTTGAAAAAGGAAACTTCCCTTATCATTAGGATGATTTGTTTTCCCTGCAGATGCAGTTTCTTTAAAACGAGCAATATAATTTTTTTTTTAAGAGAAATGAGTTGATGCTGTATCGTGTGTGTGTGTGTGTGTGTGTGTGTGTGTGTGTGTGTGTAAAACATTGCCCTGCCAAAACCAAAAGTGAGTCAATCCTGCAGTCTTCATGCTCTTTTCCTGATTTCCAGAATGAGCCTCACCTTCTCCAGCAGCAGCAGCAGTAGCAATGGAGAACTTGCTGTGGCTACCCATTCCGGCCTCATGCAACTCTAGTTGGAAAGTTCTTTATAGTTCTTAAATATGAGTTCATTTATTAATTCCTTTATTCAACAAATACTATTAGTTGTGCATGCTAAACGTTTTGAGAAGTCCAGTTACTGATGAAGCCAAAGTGTGGCCATGGAAGGATGTACAATTAAGATTAACCTGTAATCTTCACCTGCTCTCTCAAAAGCCACCTCAAATACACAATAAATAAGAAGTACAGTTATATGCAAATCACCTTCATGGCAAGCCCTCTAAGCTTCACTTTCTTACTGATGGCCACCCCTAAGCCCCTCCTAAACAGGAATTCTAAAGTTGCCACTGAATGTAAACCTTCTTCCAGAGAACAGACCTTTATATATTTGAATGTGAAAAATATGGTCTATTTCTCCTTGCCCTCCTGGAAAGCCTGATCTTCTCTGACCTTTTTAATGTGTGGCACCTTGAACCTATTGTGGTACCCGGACAGTGCAGAGGACAGTGGTATCATCACCCTCTTCATTTTAGCTACCCTACTTCTATTAATTTGGCAGGGATACTAAATTTGAAAAATTTGAATGTGCATTTTACCTCTGCATTTCCCATTCCATCAGAGGCATTCATTTACCTTAAGAGGTTTAGAATATTACAGCAAGGATAAAGTGAGGAAATATGCAGCTTCTGAGTTTGCAGCAAAACAAGAATCATAGTCAGACTTTGTCACTTGAGAAAGGATTTTTTAAGTTTCTTAAACTCCAATTAAAATGAAAATCAGTAGTAGAGAGAACTCAGGAAATGGAGAAAAAGGAAGAAGGGAAATTCTCCTACTCCCACCCCTGGAAAGTGTGGGAAGGATGAAAGATGGGAAAAGGAGAGGATATGTGTGGAAGTAACAAGGTCTAGACAGGCATGAAGGAAACTAAGAACATAGAGGCTGGTGGCCTGCCAGTGCTGCCCTTAGATCTGGGCAAGAGGGTCTCCTGCACTTAAGAGGATGCCATTCTGGTGCTTCTGTCCATAAGGTAAGGAATCAGTGGGGCCCCTTTCTAGACTCTGCCCCACATACCAGAGAAACTGGAATTCCCTATCTCAGTCCACTTACAGAACCTGCATGGGCTTCTTCCCTGGGTCATTTTTGATTAGGCTGCCAAAGTATGTGGACCCCTAGGTCCAAGGTATGATGAAGGAGCAGTTTGGGGGAGCTGGAGGTAATATGGAGCTCAGACAAAGGGGTTAGGATTCCTTCACAAATGTAAGGGAGCTCTCAAAGCATGGAAGGGGTTCTGGGATGGGAGTACAAGGGCCAGCAGTGTGCTGGGAACTTTATAAGGCCAAGATTTCTAAATGGGAACCTGGCCTTCTAACTTCCAGTTCCTTTAAAGCACCCGAAAGGGTGATGTCGGTGGGGGCTGGAGGCTGGGCACATATTGTTGAGTGAAGATTGCCTGAGTCGGGCTGGGTGGAGTAAAAAGAAGCCTGTGCTCAGATGGAGAGGGTGCAGGTGGACAGAGAAGACTAAGCAGGAGAGAAGGGACCAAACCACTGCTCCCTCTATAAGAAGAGAAAGCATATGTTTATCTTGTGGATATGCCCAGTGACTGTAGGGAGCCAGGGCTGGCAAGTCAACAAGCCAGGGAGAAATCTCTTCCCTTTGTCTACTCTGCTCCAGCCCAGCAGCAGCCACTGCCAAATCATGGCCTAGAGTGGAAAATGCAGTAAATTTTGAATTTGTGCTATTCACAGTTATTTGATATGATTTGCTATTTTTTCAATTGTCATTATGAAGATATATTTGCCAACCTAAAAATATAGAACATAAGAATTTGCTAGTTTTATTTGTAACTTAAAAATTAAAATTTAGACATGGTAATGTGGGGTGGCCTTGTGACCTGCTTCTCCAGGCATAGCCTAGAAAAGGCTGTGTGCGGTCCTAAAAGAATCAGACTTTTGGCTTATCTATCCAGAGTGTCCAGGTAGCATTAAGGTGGGAAGGGAGGTAGCTATAGGAAGAGGAGACAGTGTTCGGGCATAAACAAGATCTAAGAGTTTCTGCATTTGCCAGATAGCAAATGTGCATGGGGAGGGGAAGTGGGGGAGAGCAGAGGATACCGACATGGAGTCACTAAGATCCGTTGGATAGAAAGAGGCCTGGGACCGGAGTGAAGAGGCCACAGAATTGAAATCAGAGGCAAACAGTAACCCACCTCAAAAGGCCACACTAGCAGCAGACACCTCAGTAGGCACCAGTCCAGGGACCAGACCAGAGCAGCAGTGTGCAACAGAGACCCTCCCATGCCCCACAAAGACTCATACATACCCAGACAGCAAGGAGCAGGAAAAAAAGACACTGCTGAAATCGGAAGAGACTGAGATTGTTAGCTAACACATTCAAATGGCCCTTTTCCTTAGCCTCCCCCCATCCCTTAATAGCCAAAGATATGGGTAAATAAAAATGAAATCCATTTGAGAAAACGTTTTCTTTGCATATCTGAGTATTTATTATGTTTTCGATCCAGCTACCACACACTAAAATCATATTAGTTTTTCGGGGGTAGGAGTAAAGATCACATTGTTGAATTATAAAGAGCTTACTGTTAAGAATCCTATCTTTTTAAAATATAAATTTGCAAATAATCAACTGTTTCTACCCAAGCTGCTTTTTCTCTATCAGTGATTGGTTCTCAACTTTGAATGTGCATTGAAACCACTTGGAGGGCTTGTTTAAAACACAAATGTCTAACCCTACCCCCAGAGTTTCTAATTCAGGAGGTCTAAGGTACCGCCAGAGAATCTGCACTTTCTAACGAGTACCCAGGTGATGCTAGTGTTTCCATCTGTAGACAACATTTGGAAAACTAGTGCTCTAAGTCCTGCTTTAGTGGAGAGACATTATTCTGATTTCACTCTCAAAGGCATACAGTTGGCATTAATTCATACAGCACATATAAAGAATTAACCTCCCCCCAAACTTATTAGAACTTGATTTCCACACATTATCAATAACGGAATACCATTTTCACCCACCTAGAATGAAAAAACTTTAAGCTTGATAAAATCCGGTGTCACAAAGGATATGAGGAAACAGGCACTCTCATACCTTGTTGTTGAGTTTATGAATGGCTACACTGTTTCTGGATGGCAATTCTTGGCAGTAACTACCAATATTTTTAAAGCATAAATCCTTTAGTCCAGGAAATTCTTTCTAGGAACACCATAAAAATAAATAAGTGAATAAATGAATGATGTTCATAGCAACGTTTATGAGCTGTAAGTAACCTAAGTTTCTCTTAATATGATAAATATTAAAATATATCCAGTCATAAAAGTGAAAAGCATCTTCTGATTATTTCCACAAGTTAACCACTGAATAACTGTCTACAGTATGTTCTGTAGTAGAAAAAAGATACTCTGTAACAGAATCTCATTTGTGGGTGTTCTAGTGTGGTACTCAATTGCTGAAACTTAAATGACAAGATGAAAATCCATTAACAGGCTAGCATACTACTTAGTTGCACTTTATCAAATCGATTTTAGTGATTGTTTTCCTTCAATCTTTAGAGATTTCATAAAGCTCTACCAAACTCCTTGACTTGCTCATGTAGAATTAAATGAGAGGGAAATTGGCTTTGAGCCTAAATTCATAATCTTTTACTTTTTCACAATTTCTCCAGTGAATTGTATGTCTTTCATGATCCCACCTATACTTTAAGAAAACTTTTTGACTCACAAGTAGATGCAAACATACATGAGTGAGGTCCCATGTACCAATCACCAACTGCTTTAATGAGGACACCTTATATGCTGGTAGTGCATTACCAGTTGGTTCAGGGAATCCCACATACAATTTTAATGGCCACCCTTAATTTAGTTAGAGCCTCAAGATATTTAATGAAAAGTTTGAACAAACATGGAAAAACATGGAAAGAAGAGGGTGGAGAATGATCACCTCAGTTAAAAAAATGTGGCATAAAAAGAATGTTATTTCTGGAGACAGAAAACATGCACTCTAGTTACAGTACTGCTACTAACTGTTAAAGCTTTATCTTGTGTGAGTTAATTCATATTTGGAATTCAGATTTATAATTCGTAAATGAGTTTGAGGAACGAAGCCACAAAGGTCTTTTCTAATGCCACAATTATTACAAGTAGACAGTTTTACTATCAGAAACCCATTTTCTGATCATATTTAAAATCTTAGTGTCAAGATAAAAGTGTGCATTAGTACAACCTTCTTAAAAAGCAGCTTGGCAAAAACAAAAACATCAAATTTAAATTGTGCACACTTTTTGCCCCAGTAATTCCTTATCTATAAATTTAAAGAAACATGCAAATGGGCAATTATACATTTTCAAGGATCTCACAGCAATATTTTTGTAGTTGTGAAAAATAAGGCACTGATTAATCAGTGCCTCATTTGCCATTAAAATGGTAAAAAGTGCAATTACTTATGCACTGACCTAATATGTTTATGCAACGTGATACTATGCAACTATTAAAGTATGGCTATTGAAAGGCATTCATAATACATTGTTGAATGAAAAAAAACCATGGAATATTTAGTACCTCAGATCTTTATGTATAGTATACATACATATATCTATTTGTATAAGTATATATTGTATTGGGATGAGTAATACTTAAATGTTCAGATATTTAAAGAATATTCTCTATTTCTATATCTCTATATACAGAGATTAAAGGTCTGAAAGATGTATGCAACAGTGGTGTTTACCTCCAGGAAGTATAGGCTGTGGGTATAGTATAGGCTGGGATGGGGAGAGAACTATCATTTTTCTTTAAATTATAAAACTAAATGACCATTTTAAAAAAAGGTTCAAAGTGAAATAAGCTATATATTTTTTAAAATTGTAAATATCTGAATAATTAAGCACCAGTAATCTCAATAGCACTTACTTAAAAGTTCATTTTCTCACTAACTTGAGATGCTGCCTTTACTGTATTCTAAATGCCACTGAGTCTATTTCTGGAATTCCTCTTCTGTTCCATTGGACTTCCTATTTATGTGCCAATACAAAACTTTTCATTTATTCAACATTACGAATGCCTTCCAATATCCATACTTTAACAGTTGCATAGTATTGAGTTACATAAATGTATCATAATGTGTCTTATTTTTCACAATTACAAAAATGTGGCTGTGAGATCCTTGAAAATGTATCATTGCCTATTTGCATGTTTCTTTATGCTAAATCTATAGATAGAGAGTATCTGGGCCAAAAAGTGTGCACACTTTAAAAAATTCTGATAGCTTCTGCCATGGAGGATTTAGAGTATGTTTTAGTGTCGGATATGGCTGGTCCCCTCTAATTCTTTTCAGTTTCCATGGTTATTCTAGTATGTTCTCTCAAATAACAATATAATTTTTATTGGAATGGCACTGAATTTATAAATGAACCTAAGTGGGGAAAGACATGTTTTGATGTTGTCTATCTAAGAATATCATGTATCTTTCCATTTGGTGGAATCTACATTTTTGCCTCTCAAGAGTTTTTTTAGTTTTCCTCATACAGATTTTAGATGTGTCTTAAATTTACACATTAAGTTTTCTTTTTACTTTTGCTATCACAAAGGTGGTCTTCTCTTCAAGTATCTTCTAACTAGTTTAGGTTTGCATATACATACATATATATATATATATATATATATATAGTCTTGTTACTCTTTTTAGTAAACATTTTTACTGAGCTATAATTATACATACAGAAAAGTGCACAAATCATATACAGCTTGATAAATATTCATAAGGTGAATGCACCTACGTAACCAGCACCTAGATCATGAAACAGAACATTACCAGCACCGCAGAGTCTCCCTTGTACCCTCTTTCAGTCCTACTGAGTTAAAGCCAGTTGAAAAATAATGTATACTATATGGTTCCACTCATATAAAATTCAAAAACAGACAAAACTAATTGATGGTAATTTTGACAGCACTTACCTTTGGGAAGAGAGGTAGTGACTGAAAGAGGGTGCTGATTTCTGACACCATACATAGATGCTGTCTGTTTTGAACTTCACCGAAATGGAATCAAAGTATGCACTTGTGTCTGGTGAAGCCTACTGATATTTTTATGTAAATTGTATTTAATAGCTACTTTACTAAGTTCTTTTATTGTTTAGTTTTTCAACAAGTTCCTTTGGGCTTTCTAGATACATATTCATATCTGCAAATAGTTTTACCTCTTCCTTTCCAATTCACGTCTTTATTTTGTCTAACTTCATTGGCTATAACTCTCAACACATTGTTAAGTAGCAGAGGAGTTAGTGGGCATGTCTTGTTCCTGACTTCAGCTGGAAAGTCTCCTTTGCTTTGAAATTTAAGATGCTGGCTTTTAGGTAGAGGTACAATGTTAATAGATTATTCATCAATTTCTACTTAGTATAGTTAACATAAGTGAGTGCTCAATTCTATCATGTCTTTTCTGCAAAGATGAAGATATTTTTTAACTCTTAATATGAATAGTAACAGATTATCTAGTATTGAACTACCCTTGCATTCTTACAATAAACCCAACTTAGTCATGATTACCTTTTGAAAGTGCTGTTGGATTGTTTGCTAATGTTATCATTAAAACTTTTTATTAATATTCATGAGATTGCTCTATATTTTCTTTTTGGTACCATCTTTGTCAGGTTTTTGAATCAATGCTATTACATTCATTTTATAAAATGAATTCAGGAGTTTTTCTTTATTTGTTTTTTTTCTTTTTTTGGCACTTTGAGGTTCAAGATTCTTTTCCTAGTCTCTGCAATTGTTTAAGCAAGAATGGGATTATTTAATCTTAAAAGGTTTGGTAGAAATCCCCTTGAAACAATCTGGGCTTGATGCTTCTTTTGGTAAGGGGTACTTTTAACTATTTGTTTCTTCTACGGTAATTGGTTTGTTGTGACTTTATCTACCTAGAGTAAATTTTGGCAATTTGCATTTTTCTCAAAATAGTTTTTGAATTTATTGTGTAAAATTGCTCAAAATAGTCAATTTAAACAAATTTCCTGTTTTACTATTTCCCCCTTGTCATTTAAATTTTTGTATTTGTGCTTCCTCCTTTTTTTCTTAAATAGGTTAGCTGGTAGTTTATCTGACTCAACTCCCCGCACTACCCATCACCAACTTGGATTTATTATTGCCTCTATTGTTTTGGTTTTCTACTAGTAATTCTTTTTTGCTTTTATTAATTCCTTCCTTCTGCTTTATTTTGCTTTTTACTCCAAGTGTTTGGTACTTGGTTAATTTTCCCCTTTTCCTACTTTTATTGATAACTGTACTAATTAATATAAATTTCCTGTCATATTTGCATTTTATTTTTTGGCAAATATTAGGTTTTTATCTGTCTTGTGGTCATGTCCTTCCGGTGTGCTTTCATTGTCTGTGAGGATGTTGATCTATTTATTCTCTTATTTCTTATACTAACTTTGACTGGAGTTGGACTGTAATCCTGGCTCACTTACTCTTTTTTTCCCCTTAACTGAAATGAGTTTTTCTGTACTTTTAGGAGGAAGGAGTGGCTCTAGGATGACTTCACAGCCTTAGAGCTCCCATTTTCACAGTGATTTAAAAGAATATATATATATATGAAAATACACATATATAATGTCTCTGTGTCTTGGCCTTTCTTCCCAATACTTATCTAGATCTTCTTTCCTTTGTCCTATTTTACCCATCCTGCCCATTTGGATTCTAATTCTAGAAGTTTGTCCTCAGTGCTGGGCTTTGTCTCATAAGCTTCAAGAGGTACACAGCGTAAAACCCAGACAGCTCTAATGCAATCAGCAGACCTTATCATATTGCTTTAACATTCATCTGCAAATGAGATTCTGTAGTCACTTCCCAGTTTCAGTGTCTGTTCTTAGATTGGCCCGCTGCACTTTGTAGTTGAGAAACTGTGGGCAGTGTTGTAGTTCTCCAATTTGCAGAGCTGTCAGAAACCAGCTGCCTTCCTTCTACTTCCTCCCACAGATACTGAAACTATGTGGTTCAGTGGTTTGTCCTCACTTAGTTGTATTTTGAAGTTCATAGAGATACCTTGTCATCTAGCGTTGTAATAGTGTCTGTGGCTATCCTAGTTGCTCTGTATTCTTATGGGGAGATTAGAAAACAACACTGTTGTCATCATTTTCCCTGAGGTTAAACTGTTAAGACCTCTTTCTGTTGTAGAAGAGAGGTTTTAATTACAAAAATAATTTTATGATCATTATAAAGAACCTATAATTTGAAATTTGCTGTATTCCAGGTACTATCCTAAGTGCTTTATCTGTATTATCTCATTTAATCCTAAACCCTGTGTGTTAGGTTTTACCCTTATTTTATCCACGGCAGAGTTAGGGTCCAAGATCATGCTGCTGAACTGGCAAATCTGGGATTTAAACCCAGGTCATCTGATTCCAGAGCACCTCCTCATTAACTGTCTCTCAAAAATGATCAGGTCCAACAGTTTTCAAATTATATACCACTGTCAGCAAGATTTCTATATGAATTTAGATTAAATATAAATAACTAAAGATCTAATAACACATATATATTATAGATCAAATCTAAAAACACTGAAATGATAAACAGGTTAAATTAGGCCATATGATCTGATTAATCTCATTTGTACACAGATGCTCAAAATAAAGCTCCTCCTCCTACCTTCTAAAAAAAAAATGCCACAAAATTAGGGGGCGGGAAGGAGACAAGTATAGAGTAGGTAACAGAGCTTTTTGAGATTTCGGACTTCGTATTTTCCCTCATTACATCGCTCCTGTTAAGGAATAAAGTGTATATGTGAAATATTGCTTATAATTTATTTAATCGATAAATGCTTTTCTTGTAAATAACTATTTAGAAAAGTTAGAAATAGTTTCTCCACAATTCACACTGGGCTGCTATTTTCTGGTCAATTCAGTTGCTGTGGAATGTGAACATTTACTAGTCCATAAAGTTTCACAAGAAAGTCTCCCACAAGTGTATCAATTAGAAGCATACTAAAATTTATAATCTTATGGTATTAAATTATCAGGAGTTAGAAAATATTTAGCCTTATGAAATACTTTTAGATTGGAATTTTTCTCTAACATTTATGAATAAAATCACTGTTACTACCTTTATTGCCTTCTAACCTTTCTTGGTGATACAGAAAAAACAATTTGGGCTTTTTATATAGTCCTAAAGCCATTATATATATGCTACTTTAACTTCCAATGTCTAAGAGATGACTTAGTTTGAGATATGGATGTCTTAATCTGCCAGGATTTAAATAGTAGCAACTGGAATAACCCATAGACGGATAACATCTGTTATTAAGCTTACTTTTTCCCCCACCATCAGAAGATTTATTTTATTTCTAATTAAAAAACATACAGTTGGCAAACTCAGGTTTAAAACTAAGCATGCCAATAATAAATCAATCATTTCTCCAAGTACACAGTGTTTCCCTTGGGAAGGACTGTTATTTCACAACATTTTTTTCCCTCTGATTTAGAAAAAAAGATAACATTTAAAGTATTACAATGCCTAAACAGTGATACCAGTAATCCAGTTTTTATACTGATACTTGTATTTCAACATTTATTATCACCAAGACTAACTTAAAGCCAACTCCTTTAGTGAAGAGATTTCTTTCCCCATTTCAGTACTAGACGCAATAGTTCTGAATGTCACTGAGCAAGTAACGGATATGAGTTATTGATAAATTAATTACTAATGAAGAGTTTTTATACTACCTCCTTTATAATTAGCTAGTTCATAGACTTAAAACAAAACAATGAACAAAAACAAAACCCTATTTCTTACCCTCTAAATGGTCGCATTTCCCTTTCACTTACCTGAAAATATGAGAATAAAAATGACCATGTATTGAGTTACACCACTGAATCTGTTTGAATGGTTCTGTTTTTGTATTTTTTACTTATTTAATTTGAAAAAAATTAGAAAAGTATTAGTTTGAAATTAGAGCAGCTAACACACTGGGGGCAATAAATTAAAAACTTCAAATGGCTAAAAATGAAAACACAAAGTATCTTTCCTTCTAGATAAAAAAGATTGTTTTCTTCCTAGAAAGCAAAAAAAAAAAAAAAAAAAAAAAGGCAACTAATGATTTGAGAATAAAATCAAACATAACTGGTATTCACCACAGCAATGTCTAGATAAATGACCCACATAGCACAAAACTTTCTCATTCACAATCACATACAGTTAAGTTGCTTTTCCCTCAGTTACATAATAGTTGTCTTCAAACAATCTCCTTTTAGAAAACTATCACATTAGTTAAACCTATTTATTCTTACTATGAAGTTATTAACTTCATTTATATAGGCCACACAGGTTTAATTGGCACACTTTACTTAAGAATAAGACAAAATAAGTCACTCTTCTTTAAAAAAAATTATGGTCATCTGTTTTCAAAGAATAATCCCAGATACTTAATTAATTAAAGCAAATTTTCTACGATCAGCAGTGAGCTTTTTAAATGATCACTAAGTGTTCACCTGAAGATTATCAATGCTATATGAAGTGTAAACTTGAAAATTTGTGTCCATTTTATAATAAGATACAATTTGCACTGAAGAGTTTTTAAAAAGATAACCTACACACATACAGTTAATTTGCCTCAAACAACTTCTTAGAAATACAGTATAAACATTTAAGAACCACGACAAAGTTGTGGTTCAAACTTCAACAAAGATTTTCTTGAAACCCAGTATAAAGATTACTGGCTCAAGACCATATCCCAAAGTGAAATCAGCAGGAGATTTGATTGTAAGACTCTACCTTTTAAAAAAAGAGCACACTTGGTTATACATGGCTTTTAAACTTGAGCTACAGTTATGCTACAAATCCCCCCACCCTCCCAATCTAAAATCAGTCATGTGGAGATATGTACATTCTCTGAGCATTGTTTAGAGTCCTTGGTTTTCCAGCTTTGATGGAGATCTAGAAGGCGTTCAGAAGTCCGTGTGCTTACATTCAGAGCAGGATGAACTTTACAAATTCCACTTTCCTCCATTAGTGACAGGCCACAGATCCCAAAGTATGCATGCAAAGCATCTGAAAAGAAGGCATTTAAAACATCATAATAGGCATTCTTACTTGTACATTCTACAGAATATTTTAGCCACATATTTACCAGCCCATCACTCCATTAAAAGTAAGTTTAGAGAAATGCTAATATAGTTTTAAAAATATTTGCTTTCTCAAAGCCTCAAACACCAATTAAAAAAAAAACTCAGATGATCAAAATAAAATATTTTATTCATGAAAATATCATTAACAAAGGAAAACAGTTTCCAGCTGAAGAGCTGATACTGTCCATAACCTCTGTGATTAAAAGACAGGAGTAGCAGCAGTCATATGTAAGACTTCTCACTTTGGGGAGTTTCCCCTCTTGCTTACTAGAGAACATGAAAACGAGTAGCTTCAATGCTATATCATTAAGTTTTTTTTTCTTTAAAACGAAAACAAAACTCTGAATCTAAGTTGCAATATCCCTCGCTCCACGTTTTACCTCTGAAAGTTCCTAAACCATATGCAGTACTATCCTAACATTGTGTTAAATAAAAGGAGCTTATGCAAAAATAATCCATTCTGGAATGCTGTGCCATATTTAATCCTCCTATTTAGGGTAATGTCAGTCATTGTAAAAATATCTGATCTGACAATAAAAACAAACTCACATTCTATTTGGTTGAAATAATATGAGTGCTCATACCATGACAATTCTGCACTGGCTCACTAGTTTCCCATCTTTCAGGGGGCAGCGATCCTCTTCTATTAAAGTGGCCAATGAAATCACATGGCCATTCCTGCCTAGGAGTCTTATGTAGACTTCTGAAGAGCTCAGAGCTTTGCAGTTATAGGAACATTAAAAAGACAGTTTTGTACCAGTCAAAATTTTTTTCTATTTTTGAATTGGCCGACATTTATGGCCTTAAGAGCTATTAAAGTTCAAAACAGGCTGGGTGTGGTGGCTCACACCTGTAATCCCAGCACTTTGGGAGGCCGAGAAGGGCATATTCCTTGAGCCACAGGAGTTCGATACCAGCCTGGGCAATACGGTGAAGCTCCATCTCTACAAAAAATACAAAAATTACCAGGTATGGTGGCGTGCGCCTGTAGTTCCGGCTACTCGGGAGGCTGAGGTGGGAGGCTCACCTGAGCCTAGGGAGGTTGAGGCTGCAGTGAGGCATGATTATATCACTGCACTCTAGCCTGGGCAAAATAATGAAACCCTGTCTCAAAACAACAACAACAAAAAGTTCAACACATCTTACCACATCAAACTTTGTCAAAAGAGTTAAAGAAAAAGCTTTACTTACAACAGTATCACTTATTTTTCAAAACAGAAATGACAAATAGCTGTGCTTACTCAATGCCATTGTGAAAATGTTATTTAACTAATGGAGGCCCATGTTGATCACCTTTTAGGCCTTTTCAGAAAATACTTAGGTTTCTTCTGGCTCACTTTCCTTTGACTTTCAGACTATAAAAAATAAACTTGATTTCACCTGTCATATTACATCCATATAGTTATTCTAAAACTACAAAGGGTACAAAGCAACATTAAGCTTTGTTTTCTAGAAACTAGGAAACTTTTCTAGGAAAAAGTACAACAGAAAATATATATCTATAATAACATAAAATAGAACTGTGTAAAACTAAAATCTCTCTGGGTAAAGTAACAAATAAAACTTATTTGTTTCTCAAAAAGATTTTTGTAACAGCCAATGAGATCAGAACTCAATTGTTTGAAGCCTCAAATTGTGTTTTTAAAAAAACTCCTTATCTGTAAGTGGCAACGTACAAGCACTTTAGATGTGGAACTATATGTTTACTCCATAATAAAGCACTTTAGATGTTGAAATATATATTTACTCCACAATAAAAGGTTATTCTTTTGAAGTTTCTTTCATAAATGTATATAAAATCCCTTTGTATCAAATTTGCCACTAAATTCACTAGAATGAAGAATAAGCTTAATTTTAAAGAATCTTGTTAAAATGATTAAAGATTCTGGGACCAGATCTTTACACATAAATTCAATTTAGCAAAGCCCTTCTATGCTTTCTATTGCATACTCTGAAAACATTGTAATGTATCTGTAAAAAGTAAGTAGTACATCCAAATATTTACACAAATGTTAAAGTTAGCAACTGAACTCTCCGGAAAAAGCCTCAAGAACTTTCTTTTAAAAAAGCTATTGGAAACACTGAATGTATTTCAAGTATGTTTATACAAGAAATGTTTCCTAAGAGACTGTCATTTCCCTACTCCCATTATTTGTTAAAACAGTACCCTGCACTGGTTTAAAAAATGGAATGAAGACCAAAATAATTCTCAGTTTTGAGGCACTAGAGATATCAAAAATTTCAAGATATTATTTTGCTTGAGAAATTAACTTCTGAAGACACACTTTGGCTTACGACTTTGAAAGCAATGTACACTTTCTCTAAGAAGACATGTTTTACTACTGATTGATTGATTGAGACAGAGTCTCGCTCTGTCGCCCAGGCTGGAGTGCAATGGTGAGATCTTGGCTCACTGCAACCTCCACCTCCTGGGTTCAAGCAATTCTCCTGCCTCAGCCTCCTGAGTAGCTGGGACTACAGGTGTGCACCACCATGCCTGGCTATTTTTGTATTTTTGGTAGAGACGGGGTCTCGCCATATTGACCAGGCTGGTCTTCAACTCCTGACTTCAAGTGATTCACCAGCATCAGCCTCCCAAAGCTGGGATTACAGGCGTGAGCCACTGCACCCGGCCATTTATTTTATTTTATTTTTTGAGATGTACTCTTGCTCTGTTGCCCAGGCTGGAGTGCAGTGGTGTGACCTTGGCTCACTGCAACCTCTGCCTCCCAGGTTCAGGCAATTCTTCTGCCCCAGCCTCCCAAGTAGTTGGGATTACAGGCACCCACCACCACGCCTGGCTAATTATTGTATTTTTAGTAGAGGCAATGTTTCACCATGTGGCCAGGCTAGTCTCAAACTCCTTGCCTCAAGTGATCCGCCCACCTCAGCCTCCCAAACTGTTGGGATTACAGGCGTGAGCCAAAACTCCTGGCCTAGGAAGCATGTTTTATATGAAAATATAGGCAAGTAGGGGTGTAAGGAAATATTCCTGCTCATTTCAAATACAAAAATTGATTTCATGAGCTCCTTATTTATATTCTGATTCAATCACACATTCCAACCACAGCAGTTCTGTGATGGAAGATGAGTTGATGAGGCACTTTCCAGGCTGATAATAAAAACCACGACTCTATTGCAATACTGGCAAAAACAATCATTCCTTGTGTCTAGTTTCATATTTGTAACTAATTCTTTAACTACTTGCTTATCAAAAGTGTCAGTGTTTGAAATTATTTCAAAACACACTTAAATGGATTTTTATAGGGAAGCTGTATATAGACTCATTTTGCTGGAGGTGAAAACATATGTCGGGTGAGGTGTAGGCTGCAGAATGATGCTAGAGGTGGGAGAGGAGCCAAATTTTGGAAGGGCCTTGAGTGCCATGCCATTTATATTGTCTGAATCTGTTGAAATTTGGAGAACAAGAGTATGGGAAGTGAGAAACACATATATTCAGGATTTGAAATATTTTATTTAATGACTTTTTTTTTTGAGACAAAGAGTCTCGCTCTGTCACACAGGCTGGAGGGCAGTGGTGCAATCTCGGCTCACTGGAACCTCTGCTTCCTGGGTTTAAGTGACTCTCCTGCCTCAGACTCCCGCATAGCTGGGACTACAGGCACGCATCACCACACCTGGCTGATTTTTGTATTTTTAGTAGAGTCGGGGTTTCAACACGTTGGCCAGGCTGGTCTTGAACTCCTGACCTCAAGTGATCCACCTGCCTTGACCTCCCAAAGTGTTGGGGTTACAGGCATGAGCCACTGTGCCCGGCCTATTTAATGACTTCTGAAAAGAGTAAGAACTGATTCCCTTCAGGATTGGGAGTAATTTATTATACTTAGTTCAAGTCATGACTAATAATCCTAACGGCTTTGGATGGCCTAAATAATTCTCTTCTTTGGAAAGGACCCATTCAGACCATCTACATTATTGCTGCAAATGAAATAAAACATTACTAAGTAAAATATTTGGGAAAAAATGCACACTATTCCCATGCATCTTGATAATAAACTCTTTCATTTATACTCTCTAATACCCTAAATTTATCCTAAGCTTACACAATATACCTTTTAAAAAATATTATTTAATGTAACTTTGCAACTGGATATATTTTCTATCATATGCCTTTTCTGATAAAGATGCTTGAAGATCTATTCAGGAAATAAAGGTTGTTCTGATTCACAAAGAAAATAATTACCTGGATGACTGTCTGGCCACTTGGCAAATCCCCCTACAAGGCGATCTTGAGTTGATAAGATGTAATTTCTATTTTTCTCAAAGTTAGTGTATTGGAAAATTTTTAGAAGCTGAAATGACATGACAAATAAAAATTTACTGACATAAAACTCATATCAACCTTTGGCTCAAATTTCAGATACGTGTCATTTAGATATGCTTTTCTTTAGCTAAGGTGCTCAGACCAAGTCTCTGGGGCCTTGAGCACTTTTGAAATGAGTAAATCACATTAACTTTTTAATTTTCTTATCAAATCTACTCTCCTTTTCTCGACTCTCTATTTCCTTCTTCTGAACCAGGCCAACTGAACCCTTTAAATCACATTAAGCTAAATTCAAAAGACAACTCGAATCCACTCAACATAATCAGTCATTTTAAAAAGTACAATTTTATCTACCCATATTTTAACTCTTATGATAAGCTCTTGAGCTATTAGTTATAAACTAGTAGTAACTGGAATTAAAAATATTTTTTAAAAAAAGAGCAAACAAAAATTACTAACCAGATGCTACAGACAGTTTTGAAAATAGTAAAAAAGTATAGCTCTTTAATTAGGAAAGAAAAAGGTAAGACAAAAATGATTGCAACATAAAAAACTATATAGTTTTTAATGATTTAGGACATGTACTTGGCTTTTCTCTCAAGACCCCATAAAAGTAAAATACAAATAAATAAATAATACTGTGAAGTTCAAGATGAGGTGCACAGTAGGTAAGAGGGTTCAAGACATTTCTGATGATACAAAGCAATTTAATATATGTTAATGAACCAGAGAGAGCCACAGCTTTTAGTGACTAATGAAGAAGCATTATTTCTCAAAAAGAAAAGCTAAACTCATAAGAAAGTTATGGTACAAACAGGAAACAAATTTATTCATTTACATTGATTTAATTAATAAAATATAAGGAAAAAGACTTTTTTGAATCTTGATGTTAGGAATATTTTCCATCAGTGGCACACTGGTCATTACATAAAAATGAAAAAATTATAATAGTAACACTGCACTTGGCTTAGCAATAAACAATATTTTCACTATCCCATAATAAGTGTTGATTACTGGTTTTTAAATTTTAGAATCAACCTATAGGCAAAGGCTGAAAGATGTGATTATTAATATTGAACAAATATATGAATGTGTCCTAACTTAACATTATAAAAATAAAGGTAACCTTATATAGCATTGGAAGGTAGAAGATGAGGAAAATATTCAGAACTAACTATAACGGGTAACAATTTGTTGGAAAAGTGAGAGGCTAAATCTTAATTTCTCATAGTTGGGAATCATCAATAATGTCTAAAGGTGATAAGAAGTCAGTCTGTGATTTAAAGTTATGGTAATGTCCACAAGAATTAAAACATTTTTAAAAAGTTTAAAAGTGGTTGCCTTCAGAAAGCTGTCAAAGACTACTGACGTCAAATAAAAAAGACTTGGGACAACTTGAAAGGGTTCTTATAGACTAAAGATAGGACAATTTAAGCATTATATGTGTGTGTGTATATATATATATATATGTCATATATAACTAATATATATTATATATAATATATGACTAAAAAATGTTAAAATCTATGTGTTCACAATGATTCTCAAAAAAAAAAAAAAAAAACCCAAACTCTAAAATCTAATATTTTATTGGAAAGGCTGAGGGGATGGTAGGGAACCAACTCATTTTGTTGAACACTATTAAGGGAAAGAATTCAGTATTTATCTGTCCTTCTCTGTACAAAGTATATCTCAGGGTAAGGTAAAATTCTTCTTTAAAAAACAATGCTAGTTAATAAATTGAGAAGGAATGAAAGAATACCACTGTTTTGTAACCTCTTAATGCCATAATTGATTTAAGCAATGATCCTTAATGCCTGTTAAAACTATTCCATAAAAAGTTGGTAGTTACTATAGACTAGCAATGAACAATCCAAAAGGAAATTAAGAAAGCAATTTCATTTACAAGAGCATCTGAAATGATTAAATACTGAGAATTTAATCTTAACAAAAAGGTGAAAGATTTGTATGTTGAAAACTACAAAACATTGCTGAAAGAAATTGAAGACCACCTATATAAATGGAAAAGCATCCTGTGCTCATGGATAGGAACACTCAACAGTGTCAAGATATCACTACTACCCAAAGGGATCTACAGATTCAATGCAATTCCCATCAAAATTTCAAAAGACTTTTTTGCAGAAATGGGAAAGTCAATTACCAGATTCATATCAAATTGCAAGGGGCTCCAAATAGCCAAAACAATCTTGAAAAAGAAAAGTTGGAAGTCTCAAACTTCTTGACTTTGAAACTTACTACAAAGCTACAGTAATTAAAACAGTATAGTACTGGCACAAGGGCAGCCATATAAAACAACAGAATAAAATAAGACGTCCAGAAACAAACCTCACATATATATAGTCAACTGACTTTTGACAAGGGTGCCAAAACCATTTCATGGAAAAGGACAGTCTTTTCAACAAATGGTGCTAGGAAAATTAGATATCCACATGTCAAAGAATGAGGTTGGATCTTACCTTACATTACATAAAATAATTAACTCAAAATTGATGAAAGGCCCAACATTAAGGCCTGAAACCATAAAATTATTAGAAGAAAACACTGGGGAAAATCTTTACGACCGTGGATTCAGCAATAATTTTATGGACATGACACCAATAACACAATCAATAAAAGAAAAATTTTGATAAAATTGTACTGCATCAAAAAACTTTTGTGCGTTAAAGGACACCATCAACAGAGTAAAAAGGCAACTCAAGGAATGAGAAAATATTTGCAAATCATATATCTGAGAAGGGATTAATATCCAGAATATATGAACTCCCACAACTTTATAACAAAAGAAACCAGATTTAAAAATAGGCAAAGGGTTTGAATAGATATATCTCCCAAGAAGATATACAAATGACCAATAAGTACACAGAAAGACACTCAATATCATTAGAAAAAAGCAAATCAAAACCACAATGAAATGACACTTCAGATCCATTAGGATGGCTATTATATTAATATATATACATAAAAACAAACAGAAAAAACAAATGTTGGTGAGGATGTAGAGAAAATGGAACTCTCATACATTGCTAGAGGGAATACAAAATGTTGTAGCTGCTGTGGAAAAGTTTGGCATTTCCTCAAAAAGTTAAATGAAGAACTACCATATGACCCAGCAATTCCACTCCTATATACATACAGTACCCCTGAAAAATGAAAGCACGGACTTGAACATATATTTATACACCCATGTTTTTAGCAGTATTATTTGCAATAGCCAAAAGGTGAAAACAACGCAAGTGACTATCAACAGATAAATGAAGAAGGAAAACGTGGTATTCATATACAATGGAATATTATTATTCAGCCATTAAAAAATTAAATTTTGATATATGCCATGTCATAAATAAACCCTGAAACCATTATGCTAAGTGAAATAAGCCAGAAACAGAAGGACAAATATTGTATGATTTCACCTATATGAGGTACCTAGAATAGACAAATTCATAGTGACAGAGAGCAGAGGAGAGGTTACCAGGCTGAGGGGAAAGAAGAATAGGGAATTACTGTTTAATGTATACAGGATTTATGTTGGGTATAATGAAAAAGTTTTGCATGGTAGTGACGATTACACAACATTGTAAATGGAATTAATGCTAGTGAACTGTATACTTACAAATGTTTAAACTGTTAGTATAATGTGCTATGTATATTTTCAACTGTGGAGCTCTTTGATTAAAAGGAGAGATAATTGGATATTACATGCCTCTTGATGTGATACAATAGGAAATATACGTGATACAACAGGAAATCACTGGATATTTAATGATAATAAGAAATTATGGCTAATTGTTTAGATGTGATAATGACACTAAGGTTCTGTTTTTTTTAAAAAGTTATTTTCATTTAGAGATTATATTAAAAAATTTCCAGAGAATATAAAAAATGATATATGGGATCTGCTTTAAAATAATTCAGTGAATTGAAGGGAATTAGAGTATGGATGAAGAAAGGGTAGCTTTCGGTTGATAATTGTTGAGACTGGTTGATGGACACATGGGTGTTATTATACCTTTCTCTTTGCTTTTGAATATGCTTGAAATTTCCCACAGTCCAAAAAAATTGAAATGCACCTGAGAAATGGTACTACAAGTGAGGAGAGACAGGGAGACTACTGTCATCATTTTAAACCATTCTTTTCCAAATTTTTTTCAACCTTATACATAAATTTTAAGAGAAAAAATTAGGATATTATGGAGAAGACAAACATGGACTCCTCTAACAGACTCCTGTTACATGGCAGAATATCAGAACAAGGTAACAATTCTTAAAGATGAAAAGGCAACTTTAAGACAGAGAAAACTTGTGTGTATTTAGTGACTAAATAACCTTACGGAATTAGGTATATTAAAAGGTAGTAGAGATGGGAAAAAATGTGCTGGCATGTCAATTGATGAGTTTCAGAAGGTTTAAACAAATAAATAATAAAAAAGTCCTTACATGGTTTTTGAAGAAATGACCCATGGTTTGTCTTTTAAGATTAATACCTTCCCATAAAACCTTTACTGCTATCATTTTCAGACAGATCCCTGATTTATATGAACTAGTCAGTTCCAACTTTTTTATTACCTTATACCCACAAGAAAGTAAGTATTTAATATGTTCTATGTAAGGTTTTAAGTAGGCATAAAACTCAAGTTCTGGGTTACTTGAGTTTTCCAAGAATGAAAATTTTCAAGCAGCACAAGAGATCACTGATTTCTATGGAAAAACCATACAGAGACTAGCTTTGGCAGAGCAAAAGAGAAAATCCAGTAGCCTAAACCTAACAATATTTAATACACATTACAAAGATCAAACCTTTTTAGCACAATCTATATGAACACAGAATATAGGTTTCTCATTTTTTATTATTTCTCTTACCTTCAGAGTTGCTCCCACCCAAAAAGAATAACAGGTGTCTACAGGCTTATTAGGTCTTCCATGATAACCATTTTGTTGCCTCATTATACACCACCTCTTTATCCTGTTCAATTCTTTTTCTGAAAAAACTTCTTCTAGTTTACCCATCAGACATAGTGAGGCAATGCCACAAAAAGTTGATCCTCCTGTTAATCAAAACCACACAACGTTTTAAACTTCAAATTAGATGCTTATGAAAATAGTACAAAATGTTCAAGGGGAAAAAGTGGTTATATAATTCTAGAAAATAGTGAAATAAAATTTAAATTTAAAAGATGAGATTTTAAAATAACCACTAAACACAAGTCTTCAATATTTGTTAAAACAGAGAATATAAAGCTATAAGAAACATTTTACTTATGAAAAAAAGTAAGACTTGGAACAAGATTAAGGAACTTGTTTAAAATTACATGGTTAACAGCAGATTTGGAACTAAAGTCCGGGACTGCTAACTCCCTGCCCAGGACCCAATCACCTGAGACTGATTTTTAACTCTCTTAAAGACAGTATATTGCTTATGAATTGAGGCTCCATCAACCCTAAGCTACAAACAAGTTTTCACAAATAAGATAAACAAGTTAGAAGCTGATATACAGATACTACAACTAGTCAGCTTAAGAATTTTAAGGAAGTAGTTTACAGTCCCACCAACAGTGTAAAGGTGTTCCTATTTACTAGTTCAACCATTGTGGAAGACAGTGTGGTGATTTTTCAAGGATCTAGAACTAGAAATACCATTTGACCCAGCGATCCCATTACTGGGTATATACCCAAAGGATTATAAATCATGCTGCTATAAAGACACATGTACACATATGTTTATTGTGGCACTATTCACAATAGCAAAGACTTGGAATCAACCCAAACATCCATCAATGATAGACTGGATTAAGAAAATGCACACACCATGGAATACTATGTAGCCATAAAAACGGATGAGTTCACGTCCTTTGTAGGGACACGGATGAAGCTGGAAACCACCATTCTGAGCAAACTATCGCAAGGACAGAAAACCAAACACCGCATGTTCTCACTCATAGGTGGGAACTGAACAATGAGAACACCTGGACACAGGGTGGGGAACATCACACACCGGGGCCTGTTGTGGGGTGGGAGGAGTGGGGAAGGATAGCATTAGGAGAAATACCTAATGTAAATGATGAGTTAATGGGTGCAGCACACCAACATGGCACATGTATACATATGTAACAAACCTGCACGTTGTGCACATGTACCCTAGAACTTAAAGTATAAAAAAAAAAAAGAATTTTAAGGAAGAAAAGAATGGTGGGGGATGGGGGCGGTAGGAAAGAGGGAAACCAAATATGAAAGCAGATGCACAGCATTACTTCAAAACGTATCCATACCCACTGCGTAGGCTGAATAATGCCTCCCCAATATTTAAGTCCTAATCCCTGGAACCTGTGAATGTTACTTTATACGGAGAAAGAGGCTTTGCAAATGTGATTAAGTTAAACGATCTTGAAATGGGGAGATTATTCGGTATTATCTGGGTGGGCCCTAATTGTACTCACAAGTGCCATTATAAGAGGAGAGAAGGAGATTAGACTAACAGAGAGGGGGTGGCAATGCAACTATGGTGCCAGAGATTTGAGTGTTGTAGCCAATGGTAAGGAATGCCAGCAGCCACTAGAAGCTGGGAAGAGTCAAGGGACAGATTCTCCTCTGGAGACACTGTTGGCGAAAGGAGCCGGCCCTGCTGACATCTTGATTTTAGCCCTGTAAGTCTCAGTTCAGACTTAGTTACAGATGTACAGCTCTGGCCGGAAATGGAGAGGATAAATTTGTGCTGCTTTACACCCCTATATTTGTGCTAAAATGTTATGGCAGCGATAGAAAACTAATACACTCACAAAGGTACTTTCCTCAGGAAATGAAAAGTCAGTATTTTTCCATATAAGAAAACAAACAACACTTTTTACTGGCACTATTTGTTGTCAACTCCAAATAATTTGAAAATACTTATACTTGCAATTTATTATGACTTCACCTAGTGATTTTTATTAATTTCAGCAATTTAAATGCCTTGTTCCTAATACATCTCATGCCTTAACTTTCCTTTCAGTGTTACAAATCTTGAATGTATTCTCTGGCAAAGGAAAGGTGAGCATTCCCTCTAGAAAACTCAAGGTAGTTATCATATTAGAAGTGTTACTGTCAGTTAAGAACTATTTAATCTTCAGAATTAGTTGGGACATCTATGTTAGTCTTGAGTGAATCAAAAGAAAAGCTAAAAAAATTATTACAACCTTTTAAAATAATTTCTATTAAGCAACTAGTAATCTTATTTCCTTTTCAAATGACTCACTAGTTCCAATTTTTCTTTCATGATAACCAAGCCATGACTTCAAGTTTTATTACATCATTAAATATAAAGTCTCTAATAGACAGTAAGTAACCTTTCAAACTCCCGAAAAGTAAAAAGAGGCAATTAAGGATTACTCCTCAAACTACTTATTAGGATTACTTAATGCAAACTGGCACAACTCAAAGAAAAACACTCTTTACTTTGTCCAAACTACTGGATTTTGAACATAGTAACTCCAGAAGTAAGTTTGGACTCTGGATTGCCAGAAACATTTACAAAGTCTATGCTTTAACATTCATTTACCAACAGGTAAGCCTGTTGCTCCTAAAGTCTCTTGTTTTACACAAATCTCTAAAAAACTAGTTATAAAACCCTGTATAAAAACTAGTATGTTAGGCTGGGCATGGTGGCTCATGCCTGTAAATCCCACCACTTTGGGAGGCCAAAGTGAGAGAACTGCTTGAGCTCAGGAGTTCGAGACCAGCCTGGGCAACATAAGGAGACCCTGTCTCTACAAAAAAATATTTTTAAAATTGGCCAGGCATGGTGGTGTGCACCTGTGGTCCTAGCAACTCAGAAGGTGGAAGTAGGACGATCCCTTGACTGCACCCCAGCCTGGGCGACAGAGAGAGACTATGTCTCAAAAAAAAAAAAAAAAAAGTAGTAGTATGTTAGAAGAGTGTTAAAGGCAGACATAAAAACAGGAAGAAAAGAAAAGTGACATTTTGATAAGTAGATTACAAAATTCTATTTAAAAACAGGCACAAGAACTAAAATGGAATATCTTTTTGGGGCTGAATGGGGTTAGATCAATGATGTGTACACACTTCAAAATATTTCAAGAATACTATATCATTATATTAAAAGTACAATACTAGAATTGTTCTTTATTATAATGATTTGAATTCATCAAGAAAAGGTGAAACTGTGCTCATTATGCCTTAGTTGAAGACATAGTATGAACAAAAGTTTAAGGATAATAGTAAGAATATTAAGGCAAATACAAATAAAAGAATAAGAAAGATTTTCATCTGAAATGGTTAAAAGTTTGCCACCTACGTGATGTGCTTCAGTTATATGGAGAATTAGCATATGCAGAATACTTCAGTCATAAAACATCACAGATGAAAGGGACCATAGAGACTCTCTCTTAACCTACCCCAATTCTTCCAACTGCAGGGTAAAGGAGGTGTTCCTGACTTCAGCTCTGTTATGTTATGATCTACTTATATTTTAACAGTGTAACAGTTATAACTTATTTTGCTCCCACAGGTTTTCCAGCTCAGTTTTAGAGATTCTCTTAGTACTTGTATATACTAAGTTATCAGAAAGAATCCATGTCTTCTGAAATTTAAGGTAGTCAAAAATCATATAGCTAAAGTAGAAAACTAAATAAATAGGTACATAAATAAGTACATCATTTTACAATTAAACACCATATTAAAAAGGTAAAGTAAATTTTTTTTTTTTTTTTGAGACAGTCTTGCTCTGTCACCCAGGCTGGAGTGCAGTGGTGTGATCTCGGCTCACTGCAACCTCCGCCTCCTGGGTTCAAACAATTCTTGTGCCTCTGCCTCCCGAGTAGCTAGGATTACAGGTGTGTGCCACCACATTTGGCTAATTTTTTTTGTATTTTTAGCAGAGATGGGGTTTCATCATGTTGGCCAGGCTGGTCCTGAACTCCTGACCTCAAGTGATCCACCCACATCGGCCTCCCAAAGTGCTGGGATTATAGGCAGAGCCACCATGCCCGGCCAAGTGAAGTAAATTCAAGGGAGTTGATTATTTAGATTTAATATTTATCTTTATAATTAAGAAGTAGAGATATTTTAAAAGAATCATGGAACCAAATTAATTTATCTGAACTGCATTATGAATCCTGAGTTGGCGGGGGTGGGGGTGGGGGCAGCGAGAATAGTTTTATCTCTAACAAAGCAGGAAAATTCAATTCTTCCAAAACAAAAGGAACATTTTACCCTAAAACTGTACAAGATGAGTATCTCTAATCCAAAATTCTAAAATCTGAAATGCTCCCAAATCCGAAACTTTCTGAGCGCCTGCATGACACTCAAAGGAAATGTCCACTGGAACATTTCAAATTTCTGATTTCTAGATTAGGGAAGCTTAATTGGTAAGTATAATGCAAATATTCCATAACCCAAAACACTTCTGGACCCAAGTATTTTGGATAAGGGACACTCAACATGCACTATCTCAAGGGAATCATGGGGATAAAGAGAATCACTACATTTGATGATCACAGCCTAAAAGGATAAAATATGTCTGTTTAGTTTTCATGAAAAATGGGCTCCAAGCTAAGCTACAGTTGGAGAAGAGTAGTTGAATTAAAATATATATATATAAAATAATATTTAAATTGGGGAATGAGAAAGGCACACGAAGAAACTAAATTAATAACAAACTAACAGAAGTACACATTCCAAATTCAACTTTCCAAGCAAGAGATGCAAAGTGGAATACAGGATAACTAATTCATCAAATAGTACATTGTACAAGGGCATATGGAATAAGACATATGACCAGCTTACAATCCAGCAAAGATAAACAGAGGTAAGTACCATAAAAATGGCATGAATGAAGTATTATGGGAATACAGAAAAGGGAAATTTTGCTCAGAACTAAGGGGGACAAAAGATGAAGAAATGTTTTATAGAGAAGGTGACACTTGAACCCCTGGAAACAGGTATAGAAAGATAGATTAAACTCTGACGGTTATGAAAAGAGAAACAAGCAGAAGCAAGTGGAAAGGAAGCATTTCAAGCAAAGGAAAAGGAATATTAGCAACGTCCAGAGGTGAAAAGCCACATACAAATGTTTGGAGAGTATGTTTTCTTACAACCTAGAGTGCATGGAAGGGGTCACTCAGATGTGGGTCTACAAAGCTAGACTGGAATCAGATTACAGAGGAATAAACTAAGGGACTTAATTGTAGGCAGGATGAGATTACTGAGCAAGCACAGGGTTTTAAAGTGGGTTATGACACTTAACCTGATATGTAAGCCTACTAAGCAAGTGACTTCTCTGAGTGAAATAACAATAATTATTGTGGTTTTCTACTGTGTCAACTTGGCTAAGCTAGAATTCTGTTCCCCAGGATCCACTTCCCTGTATGGTCAAAAGTTAGAGCAATCTGTGTGAGACTTGTATGGTGGAAGTCAAGTAACACTCATTACCCTGGTTATGGTTAGAGGAGGTAAGCAACAAAGGCAGTGATGCTGGTAGAGTCCAGCTTGCCCTCATTCTCCCATATACTTGTCATCCAAATTCTTCTTACTCTTGCCCTGGTTACGTCAGGCCCACATACAGATGCAGGAGCACCAGCCCTTCACAGACTTATCCACCACAGTCACAATCTGGCAGGTGACTGTGTCTGGCTTTCTAGATTTCCCTGTATGGCCTGACTTGTCCACCTGTGCCACTGTTTCAGGAGACTTGTCAGTGATTTTCCCTGACCCTCCAACTACCCCTTTTAGGTTCTTCTCCATCTTCTTCCACACTTGTGTATAAAATCATATTTCTATTACAGCCTTTATTCTTTAATACTCATAGTGGTTTTACCTCTCTGAGTTCTGACTAAGACAAAAATGTCTATTCTCAGAGAGTTGATATGGGGATTCAATGAGACTGTATGTAAAGTATCAGATGGTAGTGGGCAAACAGCAGCTGGTTAATAAATACATTATTTTCCTCTTAGTCTGTAGATCAGGGATTATAAGTTGCTAATTTATGGAGGACAACTGGTGTAACTGGCAAATTAAAAACAAAAACTGAAAAGGAGATTAAAATTAAACTCAAAATTCCAGATTGCTGGCTTCCCCCAGGCCAAAAAAATTTTTTTAAAAAATCAATAAATCTACGTTATTTCTGAATAGCATCAACAGGCTGAAGAGGAGAATGACAGTTTTAAAAATATGCAGTTTGAGATACTGAAGTCATATCGAGAAAGATGCCTCGCAAGCAAATGGAAAGAGGGCTATGCAGCACAGAAGTAACAGTGCAGACTGGGAAACACAGTTTTGGGTGCCATCAACACAGAGATAATTAATAAAGAACCATCTGTTAGTTTGTTCAACTATGTGCCAAGCATGTTACAGGTGTAGAGGATACATCAGTTTGTAACATAGGCAAAAAACTCTGTTCTCATGAGGTTTAAGTGAGAAGAAGCAGACAATAAACAAATAGATAAAACATAGGTCGTTTATAAAATAGTAAGTGATGTGGAGAAAGATAAATCTAGAAAGGGGGTTAGAGAATGGGATGTGTATGTGCAGTTGGTTTGCAATTCTATTATAAATACTGCATGTGTATCTGGGTGGTTTGCAATTTTAAATCACGAGCTTGAACCAAGATCTGAAGGATGTGAAAGAAAACCAGGTGTATGCTGGGGGTGGAGGATGATGGAGGAAGATTCTATGTACAATGAACAGCATGTACAAAAGCCTTGAGATTTAGGAAGAACTATTCAGAGAAAAGAAAGCTGAACTGAGGTAAAGAAGTGACAGGAAGAAACAAAGATGGTGAAGGAACCAGAACTAATTCATGAGGAAGTAGGACAAGTGGAATGTGACGTTTTAAGAAAGAAGTGGGGAGGTTAATAGCTCAAATGCTTCAATAAATATAAGATGAGGAATGAGAAAAAGATATTGGATTTGAAATACAGATCACTCATGACTTTCAAAGACAAACTTCCTAAGTTGCTAAAGGCTTACACAGAGAATTACAGAACAAGTCATTTGTGAAGAAAGGTGAATAGTACATTTGGAACACTTTTCCAAAGACAGTAACAATAAAAAAGAAAAAGAGAGAACACAATGACTTGATGGGTTGCCAAACTGCAGGACTACTTTTTAGAAAGAGGTTTCACTTGCTAGTATAGATGGTGATGAGAAGGGGAAAGAAAACTAAACCAAAATCCTTTAGGGTAGTACTTCCCAGCCTATCTAACCTCATAGCACACAAAGAAAATTATAATATTTGGTATTTGTAGGCCATACTGTAATACTGAGGAAGATGCTCCTGGCCGGAGACAACCTTACCAGGGACTCCAGATACCCAGGTCCTGCTTGGTTGTTCCAAAGGCTGAAGGGGCTATACTTTGGTATAATAACCTATTTAAGATATACAAATACACTGTGACACTATGATTAAAAGGCCTTCCTCTAGGGCTTTAGGCCTCAAACCTACCAAGCCAAATTTATAGATAGAAGGAAGATATACGCTTTGGGCATGAACTATAGCCCATCACTGATGATCCTAATGGGTACAGCCTACTCAAGCCATACCAATTCAAAATCATGACTTGTATAACTCAGGAAGATTTTTTCCTGACAGGACCCATTAGACAGTGTCATGTTTGGGCAGCCCCTCTGTTTCATATTCCAGAGAATATAATCCCAATGTCTTGGAAATAATATCAGCTGTCTCACAGGTGAGGTGACTCCTTAGCCAGAGTGTACACTAATACCACCTACAATAGTAAACACCAGATCCTGTCTTCTTAGAAATTCTTAGAGCCGCCAGATTTCCTCTTTGTACAACTATAACTATATCCCTCTTGATCATGTGGTGATGACTAGTAACATAATTGTTATTGCCAGCTCCTCCCACCCTCCATCTCATAGAGACTCAGGCACACACAAAAACTATGGTGTCATAATTATAGTATGGCTTCAGAGGAAACTCCAGGACAGTGTTCTATATACCCCTTAGAGACACATACTCTACAACTACCTAAATTGAAGGAGGGAGTGAAGAGGTGAGAAGAGGAGGAAATACTTGATAGGACAAAATCCCAGAATGTATACAAGGCTATGGGATTAAGGAATATTTGTTAGAAATATCTTTTTATACAGGTTTATGATTTACAAACCACTTTCCCCCATATCTCTTATAATACTAACAACAATCCTAAAGAAAGATGGAATTCTTTCTACTCTGTTGATGAGGAAACCCTCCGAGAAATTACATGAGGAGCCAAGGTCACTCAGTTGGTGTCAGGGCTGAGACAAGAACACTGATCTGTTCTTTCTGCTACATTATGCTAGCAAAGGGATGGAGATAACAAATAATTATATGGAAAACTGCTGTGATGAGGAAGAAAGTGAAATTCACTCAGAGAGTCTCCATGACCTGGCCTTTTTCTTTTTAGAAAAGAAGAATGGAAGCTTATTTATCTCCAAATGGAAATTTCAACTTGAGAGAATTCAGGCTATTGATGTGCTGACACTTAGTGACTATCACATCATTATTCTAGTTCTGCCAAAGTGGAAAAAAACATGAAAGAAAAGACTGTATTAATGTTTGCACTGAATATAAGCTAAGCAGCAAAATGTTTTACAACTATGACTAATAATAATTTTGTTAAGGAAAATAAAAATGTTCATTTCTTCATGAACTTGTGCATTCATATTTAATATTCTATATTTGGTCTAGCCTTTTAGAGTTATGCCAAAGAAAACCTGTTGTTTTCTAATGATAGTGTAAGAAACAATCCCAAGATATTTTCATGCAGATAACACTTGAATAGATTACTAGAAAACATCATATGAACATCCCAGCCTGAATAACACCTGAATGATTACTGACCAAAGAGGCTTCAAATAGACAAAATGGTGTCAAAAGAGAATCAGGAAAGTGACAAAGAAGAAAATTATGCTGCACCAAGGGTTGAGAAAAACTTCTGAGGTTCTCCATACTGAAGACACCAAGATGTTGTCTAAGGGAACAAAAGAAACTACATGTTCACTTATTTAAGATGTCTTACCATGAGATTCAAGTCCAGCTCCCTGTGCCAGTCCATTGTCATAGGACTGAAAAAGAAAAACATTGTTCAGTTTAATAGGGAAATAATAATAATAATAAATGAATAAATAAGTTGCCAATGAACTAAGTTTTTTAGGTCTCTTTAAATTTTATTTCTCCTTTACATCTTCCAAAATATGCGTTTTTCCCCATGGAGAAGTAGAATTAGGCATTTTCAAATACCTGATTTTCTCTTCTTATTCACCAAGCCAAATCACTAAATGCATACACTAGGCACATTCTGAGAATAGATTATTCAAAGTTATCTACATATTCAATCCCTACTCAATAAAAGCTCCAAACCTTACTCCTTTACCATTGCAAGTATACGTGAGCTGGAGGAAAATGTAAGGATTTCATACTGATAGAACATTATAAACATGAAACAAGTCTATTCTGAGGCAGTCTGGGGTCACTGAGAATAATGGTAGCCATTATTGGGTACCATTATTTGAATCTCCCCACATACACTCCAAAATCAAAACAGAAGAAGAACAATAAAACTTTGAAATCTCAAATCTTAGCAAAGCAAGAAGACACACTCAAGCTTCAGATTACCTGTCTACAGAAAAAGAAACATCAAATCCCAGCAAGCCGTCTATTGCAACTCTACACACCTTTGCAGAGAGCAAGGGTGATTTATGAAAAATCATGAGAGGAGGGGAGCTAACAGTAGTTCTGAGATTGATCTAAAATCACTGCCTAAGAGAAAGTCCACCCTAAATATGAGAAATACAGGCAGTTCTCACTTTGCACAGTTCTCTTATGCACACATTCCAGTTGCCATGGTTTAGCTAAATAACACAACAAACTTCAGTAACCACAGCAGCATATTAACCATAATTGCAAAAAGTACAAAACTCCGTTGCTGGCTCTTCACTCTGCAAATCACTACATAAATAACACATGTGCATCGCGATCAGTGATCAATCATACCACCTTTTTCAAAGTCTGTTAGGAATTGGTCATTGCTCATGTTATTCAGTTCACACACAGATAGCAGACTGTGGTTGTGTTCTTTGTCTCTCAGTGATAAACCCACATGATGTTTTATTAAAAGGCATAACAGAAAGAGGGGCTTGGCCAACAAAGATGAAAGTGCAGTAAAGAAATAAAAAGCATTAACACTGGGTATGAACTTAAAATTAGAGTTATAGAAGAAACAGCTATTACGGGAATGTTGATAATATTGCTGTTTGAGACTCTAGGTATACCACCAGAAGAACTAAGTGAAGGTGAAACATCTATAAGCAAGGGAAGAGCTTGTGATAAAAAAAGAGGAAGATGTTCTAGGGAACTGCTATGGGCAAAAAAACTTCACATAAAAGGAATTCTCAGCGACTTCACAACACTGAAAACACAAAACACACAACGTTGGAAGCTGATAGAAACTTAGATTGTGGTCATTTGCCAAGACACAGAAAAAATACTCCATCTTATAATTTATATAATGAGAAGAAGGCAATATTCACAATATTTCTAATGTTTTAAATTATAGTATACCATATACTGATTTTACTATTTAAAACATCATAGTATACTATATACTGATTTTACTATTTAAAACATCATACATTTATAACTGACAGGAAGAGTTTTCAAAGTTTTGGCAAAAATTTTAAAGGTCATAAAACAATCATAATTTTTCCCATTGATGATTAAAATCACCTTGTATCATTTCAGCTTGTGTGGTTATCATTATAGTATGGCACTGTCATGCAAAATGAGGATAGCCTGTTCAGAAAGAGGCCTGGTAAACACAGCACTGGCTATATGGAAGGCACTTAAAAGAATGTGCAAGTCAAAGTGGCAGGGCTCAAAGAGTGTAAATTTTGGTGAAGAAAGTTAAAAAAGGAGGGAGAAGCCCTTTGAAAATCAGGTGATAAAGGAAAGCTCAAAAAAGCAAAATTTAGATACCTGAGAAACAAAAGAGAACCTTTTTCCTATCAGAAAAATCATAGAACAACCCCAGCTACAAAAAAAGCCACCCAGTAAAGAAAGCATACTGCATTACAATGAAGAGAACAATCTTAAACTAGGAATTCTTATCAGAAAAAATAAAAATCACTAACATACAAAGTAACTCTGAGATGAAAATACAGCAAATGAAACGCTAACACCTAAGTATATGAAAATCTGCCTCTACTCCCAAGAAATAGGCATGAATCAGAAGAAAACTGTAATGTAGCACTCCACACTCAAATACATACCCTCAAACAACCATTTGGAAATAAAAAACGAAATTAAAAGCTAAAAACAGATGAACAAACAATAGAAATAAAAAGAGAAATAGTGTTAGAAAAGAAATAGAAGAAAAAGACAAAATAAGAAATAAATTTTAAATTACAGGATGACTAAGGAAGAATAATCTCAAATGAAAATACAAGGGACACTGAAAAAAGGAGAAAACATCCAAGAGAATAAAAATGAGATAAGTCAAAAAGGTCAAAGAGAAAGTGGCTGAAAAGAAGGTCAGGCAAAAAAATAAGAACAGACACTAAAATGGAATTCCTAAAAAGAAAAAAAAGAAGGAAAAAAAAAAAAAGCAAATGCAAAATAATGGACTAGAACTAGGGGTCAGCAATGGCCCAAAGGCTAACTCTGGCCTGCAGTCTGGATTTGTATGGCCCTCGAGTTAAGAAAATGGTCAATTACACTCATAATAAAAGAAATAATAAAATGAAAAATCATGAGAGGAGGGCAGCAAAATTAAAAATATACTGAAATATCACTTTTCGACTACCAGAAAAAAAGGTAAAAACAAAAAAAGTATAACGCTTTTTATTGGTGAGGCTATGTGAAAACAGGCACTCTCTTATATTGGTAGGAAAACAAACTGGTCTATCCTTTTTGGAGAGAAAATGGGCAATCTCTAATAAAATTACATATGCATTTACCTTTTGATCAGGCAATTCCACTACCAGAAATTTACCCTGAAGATGTATCTATAACAATATAGAAATATATATGCAGGAAGTTATTAATTACAGCATTATTTGTAATTGCAAAATATATGCTCTAAATGTAGAATAGCTGAAAAAAACCATGGTACATCTGCACATCCACACAGTGGAGTAATATAATAGGAAACTATAAGAAAAAGAGAAAAATCTCTCTGAACTGATAAGGAGTAATTTTCACATTGTATTGGTGTTTTTTTTTTTCTCCCAAGCTATATTGTTAAGTGAAAAAAGCAAACAGCAAAAAAAAAAAGAATATGGTATGCTACCTTATGAAGAAAGGAAAAGCATTAAAAATATCCATATCTTCTCATCAATAAGAAATGTAAGAAAGATAAACTGAAAACTAACGAGAATAGTTACCTACAGGGTGACAGGGAACAAGATGTTAAGTATGGGAGTTAAGAAGAGGGGGGAATACAGGGAGGGTGAGGGGCAAGGAGTCACACTTCTCTGTATATATCTTTTTGTATAGTTCTGACCTTAAGAACCAAATTAGTTTTTCACATATTAAGTAAATAAATAAAGTCAACGAAGTTGTGGGCAGGAGAGAGCTAAGTGAAGGAAAAGCCTAAAATGGAATTCAAAGAGAAACAAATAACCTAATGGTACTTCAAACAGATAACATAACCATATTAAAGGGGGGAAATAAAATAAGTAACTGGAGTACTTCTTAAATATAGTACTTTGACTATATGCCCTCAGACTCAAAACAAAAAGAACCAATGTATTCTGGGTAATAGGAGCCAGGACTGCTTGTCACTATCAGAAATGGAGTCATAAATGAAAGGACGAAAGTTAAAATGAGCCCTGTGGTGTTAAGACTGAAATTTGAGGCATCACGATAGATTCATGATTTTAATATATAGACATATAAATAGATACAGAAATATAGATTCTGTGTGTCTGTAAGGGGATGCCTATGTACACATACATTTCCTATCTCTGCCCGAGAAAAGGCCTAGAAGTAATGACATCGCAATACCAATGAGCATACTTAGTACCCAGATTCTAGTTTCTAAACCCTATCCTCCAACAAGAATAACCAAGGCTCCTCAAAGAAATGACTGATTCCAGAGCTGAGGATGGAAAAGTAGAAGATAAACCTGGAATATCTTGTGCCAGAAAGCAAGGAGGTCTTCAAAGAATGAGGGTAACATGTCAAAAGGGCATAGAGCCTACTAAAAGGGGTTCCACAGGCCTAATCTAGGACAATCTGAGCATCAAAATAATGACAGTAACAGATTACAACCCACTGAATAAAATAAGAAACTGAAGTCCATAGAGATATAAATAAGTAAGTATAAGTAAATAAATAAATGCAGAGAGAAAGTTTTTTTCAAACAGTAGAATTTTAACTGATATTTATAGGAAGGATGCTAGAGCTGGAAAATCATCAATGCATACTAACAACACTATTGGATAAAAATTTGATTAGGGACTCACTGAATATTTAGTCTCCAGGTATCTCACCACAAGATATTCGGTAATTACAAAGGGAAAAACACTAACTTTACAGAGAAAACTCTGGCATATGCCACCTTAACCAAGTGAGCAGACACAGGGCAAATCAACTTGCTGCACCTCCAAATACAGTGCACTGAGAAGACAGTATTACTTCTGTACTATTCATACCAAAAATTCTTATCACCCACCCTCCTATCAAACATAAATCTCTTTTCCTCTTAAAACTCCTTTAATGGTATCTTCTTTCTGTATCCAGAGGCTTTTTAAAATTTGGGCTGTTGTGGAATCTACAAAAATATGATCCACTGTTACACACTCACTTAAATGCAACTCCATTCTTCTTAGGAACTCACAGGCATTTTCATTTTGAAATATTGCCTATGAAAAGTTGAATTAACAGCCTAAAATATTCTAACAGCCTCAAAATAATCTATAAAATGAAAAACTTCATATTTGGGAAATAATAAACCTGGAATGCAGAAGTTTTATTTCTCCTTTTATACAGAGATGACACAGTAGAGCAAAGGATAGTTCTGGCTAAGACTAAGCTTTCCTTACTAATGCCAATAAAAAGATGAGAGAAATAGTCTCACCAAAGATAACATAATCTTCCAGTTTGCGTGTCAGGACTCTCTACTAACTCCTGCTAGAATAGGCTGTCAATATTCGACTTTCAGATTTTACTTATTTTTCTTTTAAGTCAACCAATCCCTTTCTTATAAAGATACTGCTTCTTTAAATAAAATCATATTAAATTTTAATGGCCAAGGAGTCAATCTGCACTTTAAGATTATTTCTTTATTGTGTTCTGATACACAATTTACCAAAAAGCAATCTTAATGCTCTTATTTACAAATTGTTGGCGGAAGAGATGAGACATACACTATAATACAGCCCTCATGTACCAGCAAAAACAACCTAAATAGTCAATTTTATCAACAGAACTCACCATACTCCTTCTAATATAGGTGATGGCTTTTTTCATATCCATGCCTGACCAGTTGTTGAGCATATAGCAAATACAGGAAGCACAGTACACAAATCGCATGTCATTTTCACTGCCTTCAGGTACTGCACAAAAACTGAAAATAATAACAACAATATGATTTTCTATTAACACTGGACTCTGATTTTTTTGCATGGGGGTTAGAAACACCTCCTGCTTGTCTTTACTAACAGAAAAATCTGTTGATTATTCTACTTTTATTATTCAATATTCTACTTTTATTATTCAATAAAGAATAAGACTACTAACTTGAATAATATAAAACTTTCTCTAAATCATCATTCTACTACAAACTTTTGACTTCTTGGTATTTTTACACACTACCATGTTACTCCCTCCTGGATGCTTACTCAGCATAAGCTTATTTGATCCTAGCCAGGGACAGCTGCAGTATACTGGCTTGAGAATGGCAGAAAAAGTAAAAGGTAAAACCTGAGACCTACTGGGTATACGAAATTTCCAAGCCCAAGTTTTTCTATGTGAAATTTCTTCTAAATGTATACACAGATAACCATTTAATCGATTGATCATATTGTATTTTAATTTTACATATTAGTTGTAGAGAGGCAGCAATCTATGTTGTGTATGTATTTATAAACAAGAATAAGGAAGCAATAATCAAAGACTACACTGAAATATTGAGACATAAGTCATATATGTACTGGATGAAGTAAATATTTAGTTTCATAGGGTTTCCAATTAATGTCAATTTATTCTACTTGTCTACATTTATTTTTCCCTCATCAAGAGCAGTGTTTTGAAAACACTGACGGGAAAACAGAGCTATTAGTAGATGGAGCACAAAGAGTTAACAGCACAGCAGGATTTGTTTGCAGTCTTTTCCTTAATCTTTTCACTACTGCTTTATCGCTTCTCAGACTTAAAATTTTTTTTCTACCTTAAAGCTCCAGGAAGATTCATCTTTAGACACACTATGTGAATCACCAAATATCAATGAACATACGAACTCCTTTTTCTATCCTTTAAAAATGTCATGGAAACTACCTACTCTGGAATACAATATTCAGTGTTCACCCCTTTCTTCCCTAATCACCATAAAGCAAGGAACTGAGGTCCAGACTAAATGTATGCGTACTTCAAAATATCAATTTTTCATCTAGAATGTAAATTAGATTCCAATCCTGAAATTATTCAACCATTTATTTATGTACCCATTGTTATTAAGAAGGAAGATAAAGGTGTTTGGCTATTGTAATTACTATTATTTTCACTCACAGAGGAAATCTGAGGTCACTTTTTTGACTATGCACTTAATTATGTACCTCGTAAGCTTTAGGTGGGGTTCTAATAGAGTATGATCCTCTAAAGATCTAGTATAGTACTGTATCCATTTTTTAGTTCCAATATATTTTTGTTTATTACAAAAAAAGTAACAAAGAATCACTCATACCTCCCATCTTCCAGCTGAAGGGCTCTCAAGCCCGCTAAGCAAGCTTCTTTATTTACTCGGCTTAAGTCGTCTCCAAGAATAACTAAGCATGAGAGGCCAGTGTAGGTCATTGCAATGTGGCCACTATCATAAGGATGAGCTGTTCCAGGAGCCTAAATACAAAATTAATATAGTACTAATTAATGAAGTGAAATGAAAACTTATTTCATTAAGAAATCTGACATAAGGTTTTAGTAAATAGTAAAATTAAATATGGCTTATACTGATTTGTATAGACATCTTATTGAGAAAAACAAATCTCCATTTTATGTATGTCTCAATATGAATATGATTGCACAGGCTACTTAATCTTTAAATTCTTTGATACCTCAGGCATTATGGAAGTAGTTATGATATTCAGGTAAAGCAAATTATGTATTACTTATTTTTTTGGATTTTTTTTTTTTTTTTTTTTTTTTTTTTTTAGTAACAGGGTCTTATCTGTCACCCAGGCTGGACTGTAGTGGTGCAATCATAGCTCACTGCAGTCTCCAACTCCTGGGCTCAAGTGATTCTCCGGCCTCAGCCTCCAGAGTAGCTGGGACTACAACAGGCACAAACCACCATGCCTGGCTAAATTATTTAAACCTCAAACTTAATCACGCTATCACTTATAATTTAAGTCTTATAAAGTCAGAAAAGCATATAGCCTTCCAGAAAAAAAGATTTCTAAAACAAAACTTATTTTATATAGCACAAATCTAAATGAAATACCACAGTAGTGATCACCATATAAGAAACTAAAAAACGATACAATTAAAATAAACTCTTCTGCCTTCTATAATAAATGTAAACTTTTACAATCATTGAAATGCATAAAATCCTGGTTCTATTTCTCACTGGCTTGCTTAATGTTCCTAATCCTAGAAAATGAAGATATTAGTACATCACAAGGTTATTGTGACGATTAAGTAAGTTACTGTCTAAAAAGCTGTTACTTATCTTAATGGTGACTAAGTGCAAGGCAAATATCAGACGGACCACTAGTTCTTTGGAGTCAAGATCCAAGGGTCTTGAAACCACCCATGAATCGTAAGATTTTCTTGCATACTTACCTTCTATGGTTCCTCACAGAATGAATTTGAATGGTGTTCACTACCCTTTTTATAATAATCTGAACCCACCCCACCTACCCACCTTTAGATACACATTTTTTTTTTTGAGATAGGCTTTGCTCCGTCACCCAGGCTGGAGTGCAGTGGCACAATCTCGCTCACTGCAACCTCCGCCTCCAAGGCTCAAGCAATCCTCCTGCCCTGCCTCAGCCTCCCAGGTAGCCGAGACTACAGGCACCTGCCACCACATCCAGCTAATTTTTGTATTTTATGTACAGAACAGGTTTTTCCCATGTTGCCCAGGCTGGTCTCAAACTCCTGAGATCAAGTGATCCATCCTCCTCATCCTCCCAAAGTGCTGGGATTGCAGGTGTGAGCCACTGTGCCTGGCCAGATATGCAGTTCTTTATATGGTCTCACAAATGTACCAAGCAAATTTCCATCTTTATGTCTTTCATTCTAAGTTCCTCCTTAGAACTCAAGCTCTAGTTCTCCTGGCTATCCTATTCCACATTTACAACTGACTTCTTAGAATTCCTATTGCATATTTAACTTTTTGATACTTAAAGTAAATACCTGCTATGTTAAAACAACTGCATGGAAGCCAAACATAAATTAAATGTGGTCCTTAACCTTAAGAGCAGAAGATAAGTCTACTCAAATAATTACAATAGAATGTAATGAGTAGTCATAAGGGAGGGATAATAATAACATGGGTTTAAATAGGAATTCTTTTCTGCAGAAGAGGAGCCTGGGCAGGTATAGATGAAGAGGAGGTATTACAGGTAGAAGAAAAAGTAAACGCAAATTAGAGAAGGATAATTCTGGGGTGCACATTAAGGACAACACAAAATTTGCTAGAGAGCATGGGATTTGTGAAAGGAAATTGTGACAATAGTGGGAGGATCCATCAGTGTTTCTCAAAAAGTGCTCTACAGCCATTGAAGGTCCCAAGCATTTATCAGGTAAGTCAGTGAATGGTCCATAGGTAGTTTGGTGGCTTCAGAAGAAAACTCAGTGACAATATTTTATTCATATACTGTACTGGACAATCTAATGTGCCTCCTCACATTCTCTTGGCCTAATCTGTCTCCTAGACGCTCAGTCACCACTCTCAGTGACGGTTCTATGTGATACCACTTGGAATATCTAGTTCCTTTTACCACCCAGAATTCAGATGAAGGTAATACAGCATGAAGTGAGACCTAGCTTGCCCAGAAGATATCAGGGTGCAGGTGAATGAAGGTCCAAAAAGGAGTTTCAGGAGACTCTGTGAACCAAGGGCAATAATGGTTTTTTCTTCAATTTTACTCCTGTTATTTTGAAAATGTTTTGGTGCAGGCGTTGGTTGGGGGAAGGATCATATTTTAAAAGTAATGTTATTAAAGCACTGTAACAAATATAGGTAGACATCTATATATAGTATAGTACTATATAACGGTCATCATAACTAGTGGCACGATATTCTGTTCATTATGACTAAATGAAGACATTACCTGTATTCTGGATTAGCTTAAGGTGGAAAATATGATAGGCATGAAAAGGGACAAATTTTCTGAATCCTTTGTTTTCTCA
Source organism: Homo sapiens (assembly GCF_000001405.40). Lineage (NCBI taxonomy): Eukaryota > Metazoa > Chordata > Mammalia > Primates > Hominidae > Homo > Homo sapiens. Next base: position 115,240,527 of record NC_000005.10, read on the forward strand.
TTCCCTGCTAAATGCAGTGGGCACCCATAATTGGAGTCCTGCTGGTAAATTCATATGACCTTGACACAGGCAAGCTGGTTTACAGCTTAAGGCAGAGGAAGAAAGCTGAAGTAGTACCTCTATCAAAGTATGTCATCTTCTTCAACATTACTGCTATTTATTCCAAAAATTTGAAGCTGATTACGGAAAAACTGGTAGCTCTCCACTTACCTTGCAAGTGGATACTCAGCCCAACAAGATACTGGCTTATAACCATTACATAAGCAGGCTGGCCCCATCAGGGAAAAAGTTTCTATGGTGTGAGGCCGCTTTAGAAAAAATGATGCTTTTCTCCACTTTCTACTGTAGAAAAATACTTGTATTTTGTGTACATATGGAACACCTACAAAGTTTCTTCTGGGTCTGCTCCTTTGAAGAAGAAATAAAGCTCCTCCCTCTGTTAGGACTCACTGTTTTTATATTGGCATGTGCTGGTATCAAGGCCTTTGGATATAACCATGAAGAAGTTCTGCATATTCTAATAAAAGTCATTAAAATAATCACTACCTAGGTCTTCAATCACTGCCTTTAGAAGGGCTTTTTCTTTTATTCCTAAGAAATGTGAGCTAAATGTAGAGTCTTTCTATAAACACAACAAAGTTTACTGGCTTCTTACACAGCAGGTATCAAAACACTTCAGTGCTCTGTTTTCCTTTACTCAGGAAATCACCAATAACTTTTACACACAGATGTATGATACTGAGACAATTTTTTGTAACAATTAATAGAAATTTGTGTGTGTTTATGTACTGCATGTATTCTTCCCGGAAGAAAGTGCACTTCTTTGAGGAAGTAAAGTAGGTATAGGTTTCCTTTAAAGGATTTCAGTTTATAATATATATATATTATTAGACAACATTTAGCCACATTGAAATCTGGAAGCCTGTTTTTTTCTGTGTAACTTCTTAGTTTTCTCTTTTATTAAAATATCCCTACATCCCTTCTACTTCCTTCTGAACCAAATAGAACCAACCTTTGATGGATTGAACGGAATACCCAGGTATGAAGAGCCTCGGAAACCACAGCGATTTAGATTTGATCCTAGAAAATAAAAGCATGTGCTTATTTAAAGTACACTTTATTTTTGCACAGATTCTAAAGCAGTTTAATTACACAATCTTTCAGAAACAGACTATTTTAGTCTCCATTTTCATACTGGCTAATGCTGAATGCTTACCATGTGCCAGGTCCATTCTAGGTGCTTATGGGAATTTCCTCATTTAATTTCCATATGAGTCACAAAAAACATAATTATTTCTATCATGTACCTTTTTTTAATAGCCCACCTCACTGCCTATACAGTCCTTTCATACTTCTCCTGTCAGATCAATTTTTATGTGATCAACATGTTCAATCCCCCTTTCTACAGAACAGAAAACAGAAGCCCAGAGGTTAAGTGATTGTTCAAGGTAACGGTTAATAACACAATAGGGTCTACTGTCTTTTTACTTTAACTCATTTAGTGTGTTTTTACTTTAACTCATTGCTTCTTTACATGGGAGCAAACTAAAGGTTTAAAGCTGAAGAGAAAATATGTACTTTGTATTTCCACATTAGCTAGACCTTCGTTCTGAGTCCAGTAATCCACTTGGCTTTGAAGTATGTAGAACACTGTAAGTTAGCACTTAGTCTCTCTCTACTCAATCAAAATATGTTTATCCATACTTTTTTTCTATCTAAAAATTTTCATTTCTCAAGATATCAATGGAATATAAGTTGGGAACTTGAAAGAACAATCAACTATACAACAATTATGGTTTTAATAGCTATTAGAAAATCAGTATGATAGATGCAGAAAATAACAATGCAGTATCAGCAGACTGTAAATGCACCGCTGATAAAAAAAAATCGAGTTGGTCTAAAAATAGTCTCTGATATGAAGAACTACCTTCATAAGAGATTATGACTAGTGTATGACTAACTTCATTATTAACTGTTTTCACTCTCCTACTTCTGCATTAGGTACTATATTTTTTCAGCTTCTTATCCCCCCAAAAAACTTAAAATAGTAGCTTATACATTAATTCTTTGAACAAATTAGGAACCACTAAATTTAAACTCTCCACCAATTATCATCTCCCTACTGGCGAAAAATGTATTTTAAAAAGATACTAGCAGCCAGGTGTGGTAGCTCACGCCTATAATCCCAGCACTTGGGGAGGAGGCAGAGGAGGGCGGATCACCTGAGGTCAGGAGTTCCAGACCAGCCTGGTCAACATGGTAAAACCACATCTATACTAATAATACAAAACTTAGATGGGTGTAGTGGCACCTGCCTGTAATCCCAGCTACTGGGGAAGCTGAGGCAAGAGAATTGCTTGAACCCGGGAGGTGGAGGTTGCAATGAGCCAAAATCGTGCCACTGCACTCCAGCCTGGGCGACAGAGTCAAACTGTCTTGAAAAAAAAAAAAGATACTAATGGTGATTATGATTTCAGTGATTATGGTTCTCTTATCCTAAGGACTTTTAAATTGGTAAGCTACTTAAAACTTGCCAATATATAACAGAAGTTATAAAAACACTCATATCCTTTTGACCCAGTCAAATTATGGTTCTCTTATCCTAAGGACTTTTAAATTGGTAAGCTACTTAAAACTTGCCAATATATAACAGAAGTTATAAAAACACTCATAACCTTTTGACCTAGTCATGATATATCTGAGAATCAATTCCAATAATTTCAAGTATGAGAAGAAATGCACACTGCAGTTTAATAATAGTGAAAATCTAGAAGCACCATAAAAGTCCAGCAGGTTAAGCATATCATGCCTCATGTACTGAAAGAAACGCTATATTCCTATTAAAAATAATAATCAGTAGAACTATGTAGCAACACAGAGAAATGTATTTGATCAAGTTAAGCAAAAAAGTAGGATCCAAAAATAAATGTGCATTTTTATGTTTATAATTAAGCAAATGGCACATATCAACAAAGACTGGAAGGGAATAAACAAAATAATATGAATGGTGTGAGATGATATGAATAAGGCTGAAATTTGTTCTCTGTATTAGTCACTGTTGCCATAACATATTACCACAAACTTGGCAACTTAAAACACCTACTGCCTTACTGTTTGTAAGGTCAGAAGTCTAACACAGGCATCATCAGGCTAAAGTTAAGGTGTAGGCAGGGCTACCTTCCTTACTTGGAGGCTTTGGGGGAACAATCTGCCTCCAAGCTCATTCAGGATGCTGGCAGAATCAACTTCCTTGCAGTTGTGTGACTGAGTTCTCCATTTCTTTGCTGGTAGGTATCCCTTTTTGCTCCTAGATCCTCTCTTGCCATTTCTCATATATGGGCCCCATATCTCAGAGTGGCAACGGCACTCAAATCTTTTCCATTAGACCCTCTCTACCTTCTCTTCTCTCTTCTGCTCCCTTTCTCTGCAATTCCATGACGAACGTTTCTGTGTTCGTCTGCTGTTCATGTGATTATACTGAGCCCACCTGTACACATGTCACCTATGGATAAGCTCCACATTTTAAGGTCAGTTGATTAGTATAACTTTAACTCCCATCTACACAGTCCCTTCACAGCAGTACCCAGATTAGTATTTGACTGAATTAACAGGGAACAGAAATCCTGGGGCAACATCTTTAGAATTCTACCTAACACAGGTTGGGCGCGGTGGCTCATGCCTGTAATCCCAGCACTTTGGGAGGCCGAGACGGGCGGATCACGAGGTCAGGAGATCAAGACCATCCTGGCTAACACAGTGAAACCCCGTCTCTACTAAAAATACAAAAAATTAGCTGGGCGCGGTGGCGGGCGCCTGTAGTCCCAGCTACTCGGGAGGCTGAGGCAGGAAAATGGCATGAACCCGGGAGGCGGAGCTTGCAGTGAGCTAAGATCGGGCCACTGCACTCCAGCCTGGGCAACAGAGCGAGACTCTGTCTCACAAAAAAAAAAAAAAAAAAAAAAAAAGGATTCTACCTAACACACCCCCCATATTCCAAATTGTACATAATGCTATACTTAAAAAAAAAATAAAAAGTTATCTTTCTCTTACCAAGTTATGAATTCATTTATCCTTTTTATTTTTGAGACAGAGTCTTGCTCTGTTGCCCAGGCTGGACTGCAGGGGCATGATCTCGGCTCACTGCAACCTTGCCTCGCAGGCACAAGCAATTCTCCTGCCTCAGCCTCCCAAATAGCTAGGACTACAGGCATGAGCTACCACGCCCAGCTAATTTTTGTATTTTTAGTAGAGACGGGGTTTCATCGTGTTGGCCAGGCTGGTCTCGAATTCCTGACCTCAAGTGATCTGCCTGTCTTGGCCTCCCAAAGTACTGGGATTACAGGCAGGAGCCCACCGCACCCAGCCTATCCTTTTATCATCACTTCTTTTAATCCTTCTCTAGTTGGATGAGGGGCAGTATCAAAAGGCGTATTTTCCTATATGATTAAAACATTTTTAAATCTTTTTTTTTCTCTTTTTGTTCTTGGGATTGTCTTTTTTAAAGGGTATCCTTTCAAGTTACTAATCTGCTAACAGTCCTCCATAAAAATGTGATCCCATTTCTACTTTTGATGGAAGACAGCTCTGATACCATCTGTCAGTTCTGCATTTATACTTGCAACTGGACACCTTTGTTGAGTACCCCACCAACTTAAACAATTCTGTCAGGTGTTTTACATAGAGGCAGACATATAGTAGTGGCTCAATAAAATATCTGCTTCTGAGTGAAATAAATGAATTTATTCATCTTCTTAGAGGTGAATCAGTAAATGACATTTCTGTTTGTTCACTTCTGTTTTTAGCCTGATTAAATAAATAACTTTTCTGAAAAGCAGCAGAAATATCAATACTTAAAAGTACCATATAAGGTTAGGAGATTATGGCATGGACACTTGGAATCAAACTCAGGATCCTATTCTTCCTATCAATGAGTTCTATAGGCAAGTAACAACCTCTCTGAGCCAGTTTCTTCCATTTTTGAACTAGTAACAATAACATATTGCAAGTAATATACTTCAGGCTTCTTGTAAAGGTTAAAGGACATGTTTAGATTGTACTTAGCAAAGTGAAACAAGGCTTAATAAACAGTAACCATTCAAAATCAGTTAATTGTATTTTATCAAAAGTGAAACAGGAAGAAATGAATAGCTTTTGTTGCAATTTATCAAGGAAAGCTTTTTTAAAGTAAAAATGTTTTTCTTTTTTTTTCCAGAAAGACTGTATACTGTCATGAAAAAAGTGTTTGGATCTTAAGCACCACGGTCACAGTATAGGGAAAAGACAATGTAGTATTTTTTGCCTTCTTCTTAATCACCTGTGGACTATGAAACTGGATAAAGAAGTTTATTCTAAAGTTTATACTTTATTCTACAGTAAGAGAATTCTCCTGTTTCTTATGAAAAGCTATGATGAAGTAACTAAGAAATCAAGAAAATTACTCATTTACTAAATTGAGTTATCAGTCACACACTTAAATCCTAATGTTTTAAAAAATGATGCTCATTAGGAGGTAACATTTTCACCACTTAATTTTTCACCACTTAGGCCGGGCGCGGTGGCTCAAGCCTGTCATCCTAGCACTTTGGGAGGCCGAGGTGGGTGGATCACCTGAGGTCAGGAGTTCGAGACCAGCCTGACCAACATGGAGAATTCTACCCCATCTCTACTAAAAGTACTAAAATTAGCCGGGTGTGGTGGAGCACACCTTTAGTCCCAGCTACTTGGGAGGCTGAGGCAGAAGAATTGCTTGAACCCGGGAGGTGGAGGTTGCAGTGAGCCAAGATTGCGCCACTGCACTCCATCCTGGGTGACAGAATGATACTCCATTTCAAAAAAAAAAAAAAAATTCACCACTTAAAAATATTTATTAGGTACTCTTTTGCGGTTTCTGTCAATATTTGTCTGCTCTTGTGTGCTTTCCTTTGGAATTCTAGTAAGCATACCTTTTCATGATAATTAAGAAAGTATACACACACAATTCATTGTAAATTTATCGCTGAATGCATACTCTGGGTACAGTATAAATTTCTTTCCAGGTTATCAAACAGCACCATCTAGTGTTCCTATTTAACAGTTGCAAAACAAACTGAAAATTCTTTGTGTGGTCTGGCTGCCCATCAGAATCAATTGCCTATTTTGAAAAAACAGAGATGCCTCTTGCATCTCCCCTCCCATGCCTGTTAAAAAGCATGAGGATAGGGCCTGGAAAATTGTATTTAAAAAGAAAAACAATCCCGGTTTGACACATAGTCAGAATCAAGAACTACTGATTTGGTAAATATACTTTTGTAGAACTATAGAGTCAAACTTGTTTATGCTGTTTAACATAAGTACTTTAGATAGCACTATATCATAAAAATTGAGGTTACTGAAGAAAAATGAAAACTGGGTAGATGAGAAAGGCAGCAAAAATGGGAGTATGTACATGGATGTAATATGTGTGTGTGTTTATGTGTAAGTATGCAGGAAGTGTGTTATTAGAAAATATAATGTATCTATAGTTATCAACTATAAGGAAGAATAATTCATTTATTTGCACGTTTGTACATGAAAATTTATTAAGCTGACTCTTGCCTGATGACTGAGTCATATGTCACTTTAAAACTTAGTGTTTTACTATTAAGCTCATAAAACCAACTATATGTCAAGCATTGAAAGATAGTACATTTAGATATTCTTTAAAAAACGGTTATAAACTTATGGAATATAAAAGTTTGAGAGTTTAAAGAGGTTTATTTTAATCAGGGGAGTTGCTTTTCATAAAAAGCAATAAACTGTATTGTGAAATATAAAATTGCATTCAAAATTATATTTAGGTATAATAAAGGACAGCTCTTGGGCCAAAATATCACCATACTATTAATGATGATTATGCTTCTTAAATATATTTCAAAACTGATTTGCTCATGTTCTTAACTTCTTAACTTTCTAATCCTCATTTTAAAAGTTTTTGCCCTAAGCAAACAGAATTCAAGTGAGGAATGTGGCTACTTTCTGATTTTAAAATGAACATTTATATTTTATGGATAGAGAAATAATTCCACATAAATCTCAAGAAACACAATTTCCTAGTAAGAAGACATGCCTTACACAACTCCTTAAGGATGTCAAGAAAGTAATGAAACAAGGTAAATGAAACATTCAATAGCTAAAAAAAAAATTTTAAATATACCTATTTTCCACATTTCACACATTTGTTTTAGAATTGGACCTACACCAATTAAAGAAAAGGCAGACAGGAGATATTCTTTCACAGAGATTAGAGACTTAATAATATTTCCCTCAACAAGATAGCAAATTGAGAATTCAGAATTGCAGCTGAACTGTGAAAAGGTCTGTGGAATGGTCTACCAGACATCTGACCTGGGAATGCTGGATATATAAATGAACATTGTAAAACCATTTTTGTCAAAATGTCTTGATCTATAATATTTCCAAAACAGATGACTTATAATTTTTAAAATATGCAACACGCTTGACTTAGCCACATGAAACCATACTTACTTCCCCCATGTTATTTTTTAAAAAGTGAGCCATCTGAAGAATCCACTAAAAAAATGAAAGCATTAAACATTTTACCCTTTAATATTAAATCTTCTTATCTATGTTTCCAAACACTTAATCCTAATAATTTATGGGATCTATTAAGGAACAGATACTAGATTTTCCTGTAAAGCTATAAGACAGTCTCTGAGTTCCCATGAGAAAAATCTGTACCTCACAGAAAAACATGCATGGTAAACAGAGCACCTATTGCACTGAATCAGCACATATAAGTAAAATATCCAAAGGACTAGAAAACTGCATTCTAATCTTGTCTCTAGCATTAACTAGCTGTATTACTGTGGACAAATTATTAATCTCTTTGAACCTTAATGTCCTCATTTGTAAAATGATGGACTGTAATAGTCCTCACTCTGTTCTAAGTCTAAAATTCTCTGGTTGTGCCCTCAAAGAAGGGCACACACAATTCCCAACCTGACCCATTGTGTTTCCCGAATACTTCCCTCCTGAAGTTAATGAGAAGGACCCGATCCTCCAGTGGTCTCACCATACACTTATTACTAGGAAACCACTAGGGTCTTTATAATCCTGGAGTTAAGTGGAGGCCAGGGTTAATTTTAATTAAATATTCACAATGTCCTTATATGCCAAACGTGATTGTCTCCACTCATATACTTAAACAGTAAAACAACATTGAAACCTGGAGTCAGAAGTGCCAGATGTCAATCCGATTCTATCTCTTATCATTTGTGTGAGGTTTCAGACAGGTCTCTGAATCACTTTGCGTCTCAGTTTCCTCTTCTTGGGACAGGCCAATTAGGTGAAGAATAAATCTATCTGATTATGTATTTGGCAGTGCTTTGAAAATTATAAAATAGTAAATAATGTATTGCATTATTTCTTCCATTAGCAAAAATATCAGTATTTACGTATAGCTATGAACTTTTAGTTTTTATTTTTGTATGTTTTGAAGAGAGGTTAAGCTAAGTATTTTTCTAGTTTAAAACTTTAAATACAGAAACATATTTACTTATGGTAAACATTCAAACAATTCAGATATATAGAAAAACAGTAAAGTATCTTATCTTGCCATCCCCCCACCTCTGTTCCCATCTACTTCCCCCTCCACAAAGATTTTCTATGTATCCTTTCTGAGTTTTTCCTGCACATTTATATAGATTGTTAAAGCACCTCTGTATATGTTTTAAATTTATCATTTAATCATATATATTATAAGTAAAGTTTCGGTGCCACAAAAGAAATAGCACTCAAATATAAAATTTTCTTTTTTCTTCTCAGCATGGCAATTTACTTCTATAGAAGGATGTGCCCTTACAGATGGAGCAATGGTGAGCACACACTTGGACAAGGGAGGGGAAGGGGTTCTCATCCCTGACGCGGGTGGCCCCTGCTGCTGTGTTGTTCCCCTATTGGCTAGGGTTAGACCAAACAGGCTAAACTAATTCCAACTGGCTAATTTAAAGAGAGAGACAAGGTGAGTGGTTTGGTGGGAGTCAGGGTAGATCAGAATGAGTCAGGGTGGAGCAGGTAATCGGAATGAGTCAGGGAGGAGCAGGTAATTGGAATGAGTCAGGGTGGAGCAGGTAATCAGAATGAGTCAGGGTGGGGCAGGCGATTGAAAAAGGTTGCTTTACGAGGAAGTTAAGTTTAAAAGTAGAAGGCAAAAAATTGAACATACTGACATATTGATTCTTTGAAAAGAAATTTAAAACTCATATCTAATATATATGACAGACAGTTTCATGTCAGTATATATATAGAGCTCTACCTTATTTACTGCATAATATTCTTTACTGGGCCATAGTTTATGTAACTTTCACTTTTGATGAACATTTATTTTGTAACATTGTTTTGACTGAATTTCCCTGATTTCTAGTAAGGTTAATCATCTTTTTATGTATCTGTACTTCTTTTGTTAACTACTTAATAAATTTTGTCATTTTCTAAAGGACAATGTATCTTTTTCTTCTGAATCTTTAACAATTCTTTATAGTCGATGTTAATATTATACAAGCCATAATTTTCTGCAAATTCATCACTTATTTATCTTTTACTACATAAAGTATTTAAATATTTATTTAGTCAAATCTATCAAATTTTTGCTTTATAATCCCCAGGTTTTGTTTAACATTTCTAGATGTTATAATTCCCTAGATTTTATGTGGTATCTCAAAGTAGGACAAATACAGACCTATGAGTTGCAGAAAGCATATTCTACCAGTTTGCAAATGCTTTATGAATTAGAAAATATTTGAAGAGCCAGATGAGGTCCTAGGCTAAATGTGAAAATATATAAAAGAGGAAGAGAAAAAAGTTGGAGAAGGGGCAGGTGATTTAATAGTCTAACAACTACTGATACACAATAAGCACTGAGAGGGAAAAGAAATAGAAGACACATTCACTTGTCTCCCTTCCAGAGGTTTGCAATTCAGGTGGAGGCAAAAATATTTTAAGTAACTTAAGCAGCAATGACTGAAGAAAAAAATTGGCAGTGGGTTTCAAACCAGTGAAGTCCATGGAGTTGACAGTTTAATGGGAAAGAAAATTCTGATGGTTCTCAAAAGGAGTGGTGAGCTGCAATTCTAACTCCAAAAAATGTTTAAACTTTCCCTGAAGTATAATAAACATCAGAAAAGTACTCCTATAATAATTAAAAAGCTCCATGAACTTTTTCAAAATAAACTCACCTGTATAACCAGCACTCAGCTCAAGAAAAAGTACATGACTAGCACTCCAGAAGCCTCTCCCACTTCCTTCTAGTACTCCCCAAATGCCCAGACTGGTTTGACCTATTTTTGTATTTTGTAAAAATGGAACTATATACAATGTACTTCTTTCTCTCATAAACATGCTTGTGACACTCATTCAAATAACTGAATGTAGTTGTAGACTGTTCATTCCCATTACTGTATTATTTTCCATGGTGTGAATATGCTAATATATCCTTTATCCATTATACTGAAGATGGGTAGTCTGTATAATTACTAGTTGTAGGCTCTTATAAAAAATACTGTTATAAACATGCTAGAACATATCTTTTGGGGAACATGTTTTAATTTCTGCTGAGTATACACTAGAACTGTTGGGTCATAGAACATACATATGTTCAGCTTTAGTAAATATAACCAAATAGTTTTCCAAAGCAGCTATAAAACTCCTTTAGCAGTGAATGAGAGTTCCAGTTTGCTACATTTTTGTGAACCCTTGTTATTTTCCACCTTTTTAATTTTTAGCCATTCTGTTGATTATGTAACAAACAAAATTATTATGGATAATATGAAACTCCAGATAATAGCAAATCTCTCACAAGATTAAATAATGAGAAGAAGTATGTAGCTTTTTAAAACAACATAGATATAATAGCGTTATAAAAAACTCATTTCACTAATAAAATGGTAGGGGGAAGTAAACACTTATTAAAGAACAGACCAAAAAATTGCTCAATTACGGAGCCACCAAATAATCCTTAATAGTGGGGGGAAATAGAAGAAAAGACAGAAAGTAGGAAGCATGGTGAGTAAGTGACCAATGGTCTGGAAACTATAACCTACAGCTTGAGTTCTCTCATTAAATGTTATGGTCCATCCTTTTCTATAAAGACAATAGCTATTTTATTTCAGGAGTACGAGTTTCAGTAAATTTTTAATTAAAAAATAATATAAAAATATATTTCGGCAAGAACTTAGGGAATAGCTTTCGTATGTGCCACAGTGTGTATATGATTTCCTATCTGTACCATGTAAGATACATTTCTTTAAAAACCGGGCATGTACTTATAATTAAAAAAAAATACCAAGCACAATCTGTAATAATTCTACCATACCTCAGTCTAATAATCAACTGTTTAAAAAATCCCAGACTTTCACTTAAATTATTAAAAAACATCCGGCAAAAAGGGAAAACAACAATTGACATGTATTTTGCAAGTGACTAGGACTAAGACGTGGCCTCGGCCACATGCTCCTGGAAAATGAGGACCATAACTTGCAACTTATCACAGCTCTTCTCTACAGGTTTAGAAGAATAGTACTCTTAGCAGAAATTCAATAAATCCTACTCATCAACATGTTAGATCTGTAACTATTGACCAAACTTATACATGCTTTCATTGGGGCTAGCAGAAAAGTGATTAGATATTTATATATTTAATTCTGATAGACCTAGTTCAAAATACTTAAATCATTTTTTAATAAGACTTTGTAAATAGGCATAGATTTAAAAAGTTATATAAAAACAAACACTATGAACTTCAAGAATAAAATAGCCACAAACTATGTTCAAGATCGTCTGCCAAACAGAGAAAACCTTTCTTTCTAAGTAAAGTTTTAGCTTATTATTTCTCCAAAGTTCACTGGATGAGATTTACATATGATTACTCTAACCAACGAACCACAAAAAAAAACAAGCATGATTTTCTAGGAGTTTGTTTGTTTGATGTTTTTAAGGTTAGAATTTATAACATGTATAAGTTATATCTATCTTAGATATTTTATACTTAATAGAGTGAATAACAGAGTTTATAAAAACTTGTATATTTGCAGTTGATTACGTAATTTATGAACTCTGAGAATTCATTTAATTAATCAAAAGTTTTTAAGTGTTAAGTGTAAAAATGACTGAAGCATACATAAGAGCTTTAAGAAACCATTAAAAATGCTAATGAAACACTGGAGGGAAAATAATCAGGAAACTGAAAGAAAACTTTTCGATGGCAAAGAGTTTTTCACTGAAAAGACAAGAATTGTTGGGAATGAAAAACAGAGTTAATGCTACAGAACTAATCAAACATAAATACTGACTATAAATAATCAACAAGTAGTCATCAAAGTGGAAGTATACAACATAGTATGGTGCCACAACTGTGAATCTCTATTAAATTCCAGATAACTCTAAATTGTTTTCTTGAGATTATGATCAGATTTGTTAAGTACTGTATTTCAACAGAATGGCAATGCTGCATTACAACAAAATCACAGATAAATAAAATATGTTAACAGTATACAAGTACTAAGATTTTCTAGTCCAACACATGTTATGTCAGGTACAACCAGTCACACTAAAAATAAAATGCTAAAAACTCACTCACTGTCTTCTGTGGGAAGGACCTGCAGGGAATAAATCCACTCTATTATATCATCTTTGTTCACCACATCTAAGGAATCCAACATATCCAGCCCGGAGAGTGCAAAAAATGCAATTGTCAACCTAAAAGAAAAAAATGTAAAATTCCATCTTAACTATCATACCACTTAAGTCTGAAGTCTTCCTGGTCTAGAAAAATAATAAAATCATTCTAATTTTCCAATAATTTAAACAATACTTCCACCTTGCAAAAGCAAAAAATATATATATACATATTCTTGTAACTTAATACTATCAGTCAAGCCTTTTGTTTCAATTTTTCAAAAGGGGACATTTGGGGGTTAAGAAACCAATCCTACCCCATTGACACAAACAAGACCCACTGAAGCCAGAATATCACCAAACTGAAGGCTAAAGTAGATTTAAAAAAGGATTCTCTACAACTAATCAGTACAAATAGTACAGGACTTAGAAATATGTGAAAATGTCAATTTTCACTAATTTGTCAGGATCAATTATAGCTTGTATTTAATTCTGGAGGAATATGAGAATAATGTCTTAATTCAAAGGTGTTCACAAATAACATGATTCCTTGGGAAAAGATTTATAATAAGCTTTGAGAAATATAAAACATTTAAAAAAATACAAATGTACTTACACTCTATTTTCCCAGAGAGGAGCATTCTTTGGCAGAATGAAAAACTATAGAGCAAAACCTTCCCCCTCTGAAACTGTACACTATAAATCAGAAATCTAAACCTGTGCTTTCATATAAAAATCAGTATCTTACCGATGGCTTTGAACACAAAGAATTTGTTATATATAATTCCTTTCATGTTGAGAAGCAGTCTCTAGTATAGCTTGATTGAGTACTGTTACATCATTTCCATAATCTAACAATTCATATGACTAATAGTAATAAATTAACACTTCAAATTATCTGGTCTAAAATTTTACAGCAGAGCTACCTGATGTATTCTGTAATCTTTTCAATGAAGATTCTAAGAAATAGTTAAGCCTTAATGTCCTGAGGTATCCACTGTATGTAATAAATTTACTTCTCTCCTGTGCATCTAGAGTACTATTATCTAGAATAGTACTACAGGTTGAGTATCCCTTATCTGAAATGCTTGGGACCAGAACTGTTTCAGATTTCAGATTTTTTTTTGATTTTAGAATATTTGCATATACATGAGATGATACCCCACTGGGACAGGACCCAAATCTAAATATGAAATTCATTTAAATTTCATATACATCTTACACACGAAGCTTATTTTATATAATAGTTTAACAATTTTGTGCATGAAACAAAGTTAGTGTTAAGCACTTATGTGTGGAATTTTTCACTTGTGGCTTCATGTCAGTGCTCAAACCGTTTCTGATTTTGGAGTCTCTCAGATTTTTGGATTAGGGATGCTCAATCTGTACCAACTTTAGGAGAGATGAGAAAATAGTGATTTCTTCTCTTTTTTTTTTTTTTAAGGGCAAATTATCGCTCTGATCCCTGGTGGAAAAAGACTAGCAGCATCCATTAGATAACAGGAGGAGATATCAGAAAGTAATTTAATTCCAACCAAAGCTTAAGGGCAAAAACTAAAACTACAGAGATTTGGGTGCACTTCAGAAATAAATATTTGGGAAACATCCTATTGAGAGACTATTACCATGTATTAGACACTGAGCTGGGACATTTCTCATATATTATCTCAATTTAATCCTAACAACACACTGAGATCTATTTGAATTAGAGAGGTAATTTATCTAGGTAAGATCAGGATTATATTAAGGGCAGTGGAACTCCTTTATGTGGGAAGCAGTGTTGTACAGTAGTTCAAAGCTCAGACTCTGCAGTCAAATTTCAAGTTGGCCAATTTCACTAGACTGACCACATGACTCTGGGCAGGATACCTAAACTTTTCTAATCAGCTTCCAATAATTATTTTAATCATTACTATACCTTATACAGTAATTGTGCTTACCTACTCACAATAAGCACGCAATAAATGGAAGCCATTATCCTTGGTCTTTGCCATGATTTGGAGGGACAAGAGTAACAACGACTTTAGGATCTAATCACAGTCTATAACACTACAGGCCTTTTCTATAGACTCTTGGTTGTAACCATTTTCCCCAGAGGAATGTGCTTCTCCAAACACAATAAACCTTTAGACATGGGAAAAACCTCTACATAATAGCAACAAAGTGTGAAAATCACTGCCCTTGGTGGTAATTATGTCTCATGAGAGAAGGTCCACTTTGTTTGTATGCACTCAAATATTTACTGAACTAATAAAGGACCTGCAATACTACATCTAACCCTCCCGGAGAGCTCTAACAGGGTTTTTTGGTTTTGATATAATACATAAAGTAAATGATTATATTTATAGTCAGGTACAATTAAGCATCTACTAATACAGTTTATTAAAGCGTTATTAAGGAAAAGGGCAAAAAGAAGACAGAGACAAAAGTGGAGGAAAACATGAAGGACTTGAGGTCAGACAATGGATAAAACAAAGATCTTCCTGTCAGTAAAAGCTATGTAGTAAGAGAATTTATGCAAAAGGCTATAAAAACAAGTTGGCATTTTTTTCAAAATTAAGAAATTTAGAAATGATCTAGTCCATCTCTTTGATTTTCTAACTGAAGAATATAAAGCCCAAAAAATTCAAGTAATTTACTTGAAATTTCAACACTAGACAATCAAAACTACTCAAGAAGTCTAAGTCCCAAAGTGGTATTCTCCACAGGGGTGCTTCTCATTAGAATCTGCTTAAAAACTGCTCATTAGAATCTGCTTAAAAACAAACGACCAAAACACCACCAACATAACATAGAGATCAAGGTCCTACTTCACAATCAAATCTATGGGTGTAAGGTGGGGTCTGGGCCCTTTCGGTTTGTTTTTGTATTTAACTTCCCAGGTAATTTTAATGTGCAGGCAGGTTTCAGAAGCACTGTTTGAGAACAGTGGTTCTCTACTGGGAACACTGACCCTAACATAATATATCATAATCAAACATTCTTGGTTGTCACAGTGGAGGAGGGAGTTACTGGCATCAAGTGGGTAAAAGCCACGGCTGCTGCTAAATGTCTACAATGCACAGGACAGGTCCATACAACCAAGAATTATCTGGCCTAAAATGTTAATAGTGCTGAGGTTGAGAAAACCTGCTTTAAGGTCATACTCTTATCTGTATACGTTATCTGAATGATCTGTTTGTCATGTTACTTGCTCCTGGATATGAATGCACTCTACATGTAAGTGCCAAATACAAGAAATCAGCCATGTGATGGTATTTTAAAATCTTGCATACTTAATTATTAAGGGCTCCTGAAAGTCCAGCATTTTCAACTCATAGGTGAAGACTTAGGGTGAGACCATAAGGTTTATGAGAGTAACAGAGTTATGGTGAATGGCTTATGTTTATAAAAAGAGGTCCCATCAGAAATGCTTGGCAGACAGAACCAATAAGTCACTTTGGGGCAAATATCTGGCCTCCTTTAAAATAGTCTGGGAAACCATTCCTCTTCCAATCACATCAGAATTCTCAAGTAGTCCTAAAACTGAAAGAGAGAGAATTAAAACAAGCCACAAAAAACACAAAGGAATTTTGGGCTGTGGGCCTCCCAGAGAAATAGTATAATGTAGGGTTTTATGGTTCCTAGATGACTTCTACTTGGGAATAAACTGCTGGGCAACCTGACTCAGCACAGGTGTATAGAGGGGTAATTGTGCGAACACACGCACCTAAAATCAAGCCAATGAAGTTATTTTTACTTTTTTACTTCTTTCAGAGAATATCTGTTTATTCTGTTTCTTCTTTTCCCTAGAACTCAATCTGAATCTGCAGCCTGAGAAGTGTAAATAAGCAAACAATATCTTTCTGTTCACCCCTCTTCTCTCACTCTGAACAATATGTATAAGAAGTTTATCTTACAAGGATGAAAAAGTAACATCCCCCAACCCCCAATCAAGTTGCTTTACCAAAGAATCAATTCACAGACAAGAGGGTTAACCTAAGTGTCTCCAAAAGATGTCAAATATTCCAGGCTTAAGACACGCATACCCCAAAGATTAAATAAGAACAACAAGAAGGATGGGCGCAGTGGCTCACTCCTGCAATCCCAGCACTTTGGGAGGTCAAAGCGGGTGGATCAACTGAGGTCAGGAACTCGAGACCAGCCTGGCCAACATGATGAAACTCCATCTCTACTAAAAATACAAAAAGTCAGCTAGGCGTGGTGGTGGGCACCTGTAATCCCAGCTACTAGGGAGGCTGAGGCAGGAGACTCACTTGAACCCAGTAGGTGGAGGTTACAGTGAGCTGAGGTTGCAGTGAGCCGAGATCGTGCCATTGCACTCCAGCCTGGGCAACAATAGCAAAACTCCATCTCAAAAAAAAAAAAAAAAAAAAAGAATGAAAAACAGTCTATAGTCTGGACAGTGGAAAAAAGAACTTAGTCATACTGATATAAGAAATATACTGAAAACACTAATTTATGAGAGTTGACTAGATTCCCAAACTTTGGATCCCTTGTCCTGACCCTTTCTGGTGCAACCCCATCCTTTACCAAGTGTCTTAAACAAGTGTCTTAAACAATGGACTACATTCCTGCCTAGATACCAGATGGGCCTATGACTACATCATATTGCATCTAAAATTATAAATAAGCATCTACATTAAGAAATAAGAACACAAATAAAATTGATAACCATGTCAGTGAAGAGAGAGCCTTAGATGATACATTAGACTTAATCATGAAGTTAAAATACTAGCACATAGATGCTGCCATAATACTTCGAAACAAATGACTGAAAGACTGCATGAATTCTGGAATTTTAAGCATTATTCTTCATTTATAATTATTTTTCAATGGCTGATTCAACTGGTAAATACTTTTAAGTACAGTCACATATCTGTGGAATTATTTAACTTGTAAAATAGTTTTTCTACTATCATACTTTTTCAATAAGAAACATCTACTGAACACCTACTACAGACTAGATGTCACCACAAAAATGAATA
This sequence comes from Homo sapiens, assembly GCF_000001405.40. Taxonomy (NCBI): domain Eukaryota; kingdom Metazoa; phylum Chordata; class Mammalia; order Primates; family Hominidae; genus Homo; species Homo sapiens. The sequence goes on from NC_000005.10 coordinate 115,258,163, forward strand.
AAGCTTCCTAACCTTAAGGAGGTTACATGTTAAGTGCTATTACATGAATCATCTTCTTCCTTTCTCAACTGGCTCCTTTTGCCTTTTATTATCCAGACCAGATAGCAGTTCCAATTCAAGAATCCTGGGACTCCTTCTTTTTCTTCATCCCCTCTTTTCTAGCCCTACTTCACTGCCTCAGCATCTCTCTCCTGGACTACCACATGAGTGTCCTCATTGGTCTCCCTGGTTCTGGTCCTGTACCATGTGATATATGACTATATATATGACTATTCCTGTCACTTACATGATATCCAACTCATGTTTCTAGACAAGCACACAAAGCTTTCCATGATCTGATGCATGCCTACCTCTTCAGATTACATTCCTACCATATCCCTTTACATTTTGAACCACTACTAGAGAACTAATTGAAGTTTTCTGCTCAACACTCACTTCTCCAGCTTTATTCTTCTTATTGTCCATTTGCAACAACAACAACAACAAAACACTGGAACACATTCTTTAAGATTTAGCTTTGGGATTACTTCTTCCAAGAAGCCTTCTCTAGTCCCTGTCTCTCTTCAGGCTGAGCTACTTAGGTACTTCCAGAATGCCCTCAGAATATCACAATCATTTTGTCTAGTCAGGGGATTAGCCATAACAAAATCATCTGGGCACTTGTCAGAAATGCAGCATCTCCGGCTCACACTCAGCATCACACTCCTCAGCTATTGCAATATACTTTAACAGGCTGCTTCATGCAACACCGCAGCTCTTTCGCCTACCATTAGATTTACAGTTCCCATAAAGTAAATTTCTAAGACCTTAGACGTTCTCTGCTGCTCCTACACGTAAAACACCATACAGACACTCTATTAAGAGTTAATAACTTTACAGAGGACTGGGATGCACAGGAGTATTCATCTAAAAATACAATGACCCAGGCTTATGCAATCAGAATCTGCATTTTAACAAGATCCCCAAGTGATTCACATACACATTAGAGTTGGGAATCACTGCTGTAATAACTGCATATTTGTTTCTCCTATAAGGCAAACAGTCTCTAACTTTAGCCTGCTTTAGAACCACCTGAGATGCGTGTTATAATGCAGACTCCCAAGGCCCACACAGAATCCAATGAAGGTCTGGGAAGGGGCCCAGGTATGTGCATTTTTGAAAGCACATACAAGCCATTACTTAGAGTCTCCCACCACTACACTTTGAAAGATGTACTGCTAGACTGTGATATATTTAAGATAAGGGGGCCGGGCACGGTGGCTCACGCCTGTAATCCCAGCACTTTGGGAGGCCGAGGCGGGCGGATCACAAGGCCAAGAGACCAAGACCATCCTGGCCAACATGGTGAAACCGCATCTCTACTAAAAATACAAAAAATTAGCTGAGCGTGGTGGCACACACCTGTAGTCCCAGCTACTTGAGAGGCTGAGGCAGGAGAATCGCTTGAACCCAGGAGGCGGAGGCTGCAGTGAGGAGAGATGGTGCCACCGCACTCCAGCCTGGTGACAGAGTGAGACTGTCTCAAAAAAAAAAAAAAAAAAAAAAAAAGATAAGGGAGGAAACGAAAGAACAAAGTAGTTGCAGAATGGGAGGCAGGAGAGAGGTTACAACACAGGATACACAGGGGAAAATAGAGGGACATGAGAATACAAAGACTAGCTAGATTGTAAATGCTTTGTGAAATAAAAGCTAACTGCCTAAACCCTTCTTCTAGAAGAGGTGACTGTAAAAATAACAGAAAATTGTCACTACTTTGTTCCTTAATAAAAAGGACTACTCTAATTCCTATTACCCAAATACAAATGGCAAGAATAACTCATAACCACACTAAACTCCCTAAACTACTTATAAAAGAAACCTGGTAATTGATAAAGCTCCCAACCCAAGATTTAATATTCACTTGGATTATAAACTAGTAACTATCATTTTAAGAAGTCAATATAAAAGAAAAATCTCTGATGAAACCGCAGACAATACACTCTTTATTTTCATAAAGTCATTGTCACTAGAAAAGTAAAAATTATTCCTATTGGTCAGGCTAAAAGAAACAAGAAAATAAGAGTAATTTTGCCAAAATGGTGAATCTGAAAATAAGTGTCTAAATATCCAGTCTAATATTAGCCTTCTCAAAGCTTTTTCATACCTATTGGTAAAAAGAAACGAACAGAGGAACACCTGAATCATTAGTTTAACACTGTATACCTGTACCTAGACACATGGGGAGGCACTCTATGAATGACTGTGGAATTTAACTGCAATACCAGGTAAGAGTTGTGGCTTGCCCAATGTACTGTTTTGTCTTAAAGATCAGCAGAAACTTTGTGACCGGTCACCTTTGCTGAAAAGGTTGGAGTTTCTTCACAAGCATTTTAAAGTCAGTTATGAATCACATGCACCACAAAAGAACTTAGTGCTAAAGAAAATAAAGTCTGTGAGTTAGGAAAGAGAAAAACTTAAAATCACTACAGAAACTGACATATGCAGTTATCTTAAATGCGGTTAACTAGGCTATAAGAAAACCAAAATGATGTAAAAATTCTATTCATATGACAAACATTAGACAAAAAAGGATACAATATTGCTTAACCAATGCACCAAGGTGTTATATAACACCTGGTGTCGATCCTATGCTCATACTAAAGTTAAATAAGTCAGAAAATTTGTGCTGTTTTACTTATGCTGTGAACAGAATTACACAGTTTAATGCCAATGTGCATTATTCTATATGGATTTGTCCAAGCTGGAATTTTATAAAACAGGCCAAACACATTGGCATTTTGAAAATTAAATCACAGACTTATAGTGATAGCTGCAAGCAAAGTTCAACTGTTTAACAATCACAATTTAATCAGCTCACAGGACTTATACACTGCATCTATCTAAGCAGTGTATGTATACGATAAATATGCACATTATGTATCAATAACAAAAACAGGATGGAAGACTTTTTATCTAAAAGCTTTGAATTCACATAAAATTAATCCCTATTAAGATATAAACAATTTATCAACATTTTAAAACATCTCATATCACTACAATCATAACCTTTCGGTTTGGAAATCTGAATCTTTCAGTGAAGGTATAGGCTCTGCTAATCGATCAACACCTATGAGAGGAGGAAGGAATATAAACGTTTCACTCTTTCTTTTGTGAGAATCTG